>NC_000005.10:150955245-151255563 GCF_000001405.40 Homo sapiens | reverse complement strand
CTTACAGATGAGGAGAACAAGACTCAGGAAATCCATGGATTGAGACAGGGGAATGATCAGAAGCCAAGCCTCCCTGCTTTCAGTATCACCCGCTTTCCCCTACACAGCACTGTTCCTCACTCTCAAACACTTCCAAGATGGTAGAAGGGAGGGGATCAGGGTTGGACCTATCCCTTTGCTACCAGAAATGTGTGATGTCTTGACCACAGCTAGCAGCCAAGAGGCAATGGAATCGGGTTTTTGTTTTTGGGGTTTTTTTGTGAGATAGGGTCTCACTCTGTCACCCAGGCTGGAATGCAGTGGTGCAATCTCAGCTGTAGCCATGACCTCCCAGGTTCAGGCGTAGCTGGGCCTCTCACCTTAGCCTCTCAAGTAGCTGGGAATACTGGCGCACACCACCACGCCCAGCTAATTTTTGTATTTTTGCAGAGATGGGGCTTCACCATGTTGCCCAGGCTGGTCTTGAACTCCTGAGCTCAAGCAATCTGTCCACCTCAGCCTCCCAAAGTCCTGGGATTACAGGTGTGCACCACCGCACCTGGTCTTGGGTTTTTTTTAAATTGACAAACCATAGTTGTATACATTTATGGGGTACACTGCAATGTGAAATGTATTCTCTTAGTTGTTTTGAAATGCACACAGTTCCTGACTTACAATGGTTTGACATACCATTTTTCAACTTTACAATCGTGCCTAAGTGATAAATATTCAGTAGAAACTGTACTTTTAGTATCCATACTGTTTTTCACTTTCAGTACAGTCTTCAGTAAATCACATGAGACATTCAACACTTTATTATGAAATAGGCTTTGTGTTAGATGATATTGCCCAACTGTAGGCTAATGTAAATGTTCTGGGCATGTTTAAGGTAGGCTAGGCATGTTTAAGGTAGGCTAGGCTATGATTCTCAGGTTAGCTGTATTAAATGCATTTTCAACTTATGATGGGTTTATCAGAACATAACCTCATGGAAAGTTAAGGAGCTTCTGTATATAATACATTACTGACGATAGTCACCCTGGTGTGCAATAAATCTCAAAGCCTATTCCTTAGCAGAACTTGGTGGCCCACACCTGCAGTCCCAGCTACTCAGGAGACTGAGGTGGGAGGACTGCTTGAGCCCAGGAGTTTAAGGCTGCAGTGAGCTACAATCGCCCCACTGCACTCCAGCCTGGGTGACAGAGTGAGACCCCACCTCTACTCTCAACTTCTGTAAGTTCAACTTGGTTAGAATCCGCATATAAATGAGATAATAAAACAGAACTACCATATGAGCCATTATCCCACTTCTGGGTATATATCCAAAGGAACTGAAATCAACATTTCGAAGGGCTATCTGCACTCCCATATTCATTGCAGCATTACTCACAATAGCTAAGATATGGAAATAACCTAAGTGTCCATCAACAGACACTTGATGGATAAAGAAATTATCCATCAACAGACACTTGATGAAGAAATTATCCATCAAATTGAATGCATAAAGAAAATGTGGCATATATACACAACAGAATACTATTCAGCCTTTAAAAGGGGGAACATCTTGTCATTTGCAACAACATAGATTGAATCTGAAAGACATTGGGCTAGCTGCAATAAGCCAGGAACGAGGCTTTTTCAGGTGAAGGGATTACAGAACTTCCCTTTCCCAGGGATCTGCAGCACGGTGTGAATGAGAAGTGAAGGAAGAAGCGGTGTCAATGAGAAGTGAAGGAGGAAGCTTGGAGGGTACGGGGACTGTTGTCTCAGTGGCTCATAACCAAGGGCAGCGGGGTCACAGGCCTGGGTATTTGTCACCAGATGGGCAAATCTGGATCCTCTGGCCTGGAAAAGCTCTCAAACCCTCCCAACTCTCAGGAAGACCTCAGGGCATTCGAGCAGGGGAAGAGATGAGGCAGCAGGCCTTATCATGGGGGACATAAGGAGTGGGGGTCAGGAGTAAGGTGCAGGGTTAACAGGACTGAATCTCTGGGGGCAATGCCTTAGTTTTAAGGCTGTCTGCATTTTCACTCCGGCGCTTGGAGGGAGGGCAGGAGAGTGCAGACGTGAGATTAATCTCTCCAAAAAGGGCCTGGAGCAGAACAAGTCTTTAGAGGCCACCCTCATTGTACAGACCAGAATCCCATAATTAGTTACTTTGGAAGGCTCTAGTGCAGAGAACCAATTCTAGAGAACGGAGTGGCCACCCCCATATCTCAGCCAGACCCGCACACCCGTAGCTGGGCCAGGAGGCTGCAAACAGACTCTTAAAAGAGGGTGCACTCACCTTTTTCAGGTGGGCTTGCGCAGGGGCCGCGAGAAGCAAGCCCAGGGCGATCAGGAGGGGAGCCTGCATCAGGGACTGCATCGGGAAGGGTGGGTCAGGGCGGAGTTAACTGCAAGGTCTGTGGCGGCAGAGGTGCCTTTAAATGCCTTCCAGTATTGGTTACGCAAAGAAGCTGAGTCCAGTCACTGGCAGGTTCGCCCTGCCCCGTCCCGGCCAGAGACTTCCCGGCCGAGAATTGGACCGATTCCTCCCGGCTCCGCCCCCTCGCTCTTTTCATTGGAGCCTGTCTCTCTAGCGTAGGTGTCAAGGCCTTCCCTCTCTGGGGCGTAGGCGGAGTTGGAAGAGAAAGGGGCGGAACTGAGCGCGGCGGGGCTGAAGGCGGCTGGAACGGAAGGGAGCTTAGCACGAGGTTGGGGCGGGATCACGAGGGCGGGGCGGAGCTGCGCGCGCGGGAGGGGCGGGGGCGTGGCGCGAGGAGGGGCCGAGCGGAGTCGGGGGCGGGGCGGAGCAGAGCTCCTGGGAAGGGCGGGGCCGGGCAGGGGATGGGGCGGAGCTGTGGTTTGTGAACTCGTGCCGGGGCCGTCACCTTTGGAAGGACCTTTGGGAAACCGCGGATTCAGTGTTTTCATCCCCAAGTCCTTCCGGACAAAAATGTCAGACTCTCTGCCATGTTACGCTTCCCCATATGTGTGTCTTTTTTTTTTTTTTTTTTGCTTTGAGACGGACTCTCGCTCTGTCGCCCGAGCTGGAGTGCAGTGGCGCGATCTCGGCTCACTGCAACCTCTGCCTCCCAGGTTCAAGCGATTCTTCCGCCTCAGCCTCTCGACTAGCTGGGACTACAGGCACGCGCCACACGCCCAGCTAATTTTTGTGTTTTTAGTAGAAACGGGGTTTCACCGTGTTGTCCAGGACGGTCTTGATCTCTTGACTTCACGAATCCGTATCTTTTTAATAATTATAACCGTTATAAAAACTAACATTTAGTAACTGCTTGAAAGCATGCTAAGGACGCACAAGGGAATGCTTTTTTTTTTTCTTCCCCAATTTTAGCACTGAGGAAACTGATACACAGTGAGGTTAGCTCTGCCAAGGTCGCACAGCTAGGAAGGAATAGAGCAAGACTTCTTTTTAGACACCCCATCAGCCAAGATTTTGTCAGGTTAATATACTAGTTGGAGATTTGCTTTTAGAAAAAACAGGGATGTTGTTACCAATACCGCCAATTTACCACAGGATTGTAAACTACACAAGGGGTGGCATCATGATGCAGGCACTCATTTATACCCAGTGCCTGATGCATAATAGACAATCTGTTGAGTACATGAATGCATGTGTAGAATTTAAAACTCACCTGATCATCTTTT
The DNA here is from genome assembly GCF_000001405.40 of Homo sapiens. NCBI lineage: Eukaryota > Metazoa > Chordata > Mammalia > Primates > Hominidae > Homo > Homo sapiens. The sequence goes on along the minus strand of NC_000005.10, from coordinate 151,251,933 downwards.
TTAAAGTAAACTTTTTATTTTGGTTTACAGAAAAGTTGCAAAAATACTACAAAGTTCTGTTCGTTTCCTCTATTGTTGATAAGACACCCGTGGCCTGGCCGGGGGTTCAGACTGCAGACCCAGAGCTTGTGCTTGTGCATAACTGGGGGGCACTGCCAGCGACAAGGAGGTGGCAAAAGAATAAAAAATTAAAAAATTTTTTTTAAATCTGAGGGCATGACATTGGTACACTATTATTAACTAAGCTCCATACTTTACATAATGATCCTCCCATTCTGATCAACTCTTCCCTTTCACCTAGCCCAACTGAGGTAGGAGAATAGAGTCTGCAGGCAGGGAACCTAAGGCCATTTCACGCTGACTTCCTAGAACTAAATCGAAAGGAAAACCCTAACTTTCCACACCTAAGTAACAAGAGGACCAGAGGCTACTCTCTTTACAACCCCCCACCTTTTCTGTGCAGCAGATGGGAAATTGAAAGTACATTTCGATTTCTATGCTACATTTCAGTTTATATGTTAAAATTGCATAGAAGTGCAACTTTGTAACTTCACTTCAGCCTGATTGGTTGCTTTCCACAACCAATCAGATGTTTGCACAGGAGCATGACCTTTGTAACTTCACTTCGGCCTCTGATTAACCAGTCAGACTGATTGCGGGCCACCACTTCATTTACATGAGGTGAGCACCAAGTGGCCAATGGGAAACCTCTAGGGGGTATTTGGACCCAAGAAGATTCTGTATCTGGGCCCTTGAGCTGCTGCTTGGCCCGCTCCCACACTGTTGAGTGTACTTTCATTTTTAATAAACCCTTGCTTTTGTTCTTTCATTGCTCCATTTTTCCCTTGCTTTTCTGTGTGTTTTCTCCAATTCTTTGTTCAAAAACGCCAAGAACCTAGACAACTTTCAGTCAAAACCCTCTACTGGTAACATATTTTGGCAAGCCAGCCAGGAGAGAAGGTAGGCCCAAAGCTTGGGATTTATTTTTCTCCATTTCCCTTTTAATGCAGGGGAATTTTTCTCTCCCTCTCTCTTTTCCTTTCCAACTCGGAACCCAACTCGGTGGACAGCGCCTAAGCACAGAGGAAATTGTAAGTTTCTGGCCAGGGCCACTCTCTGGTGAGACTGAAAGGCTTCCGTGTCGAAGCACTTGACCGCCACTGCCTGGTCACTGAGAAGTCTTTTTCCTTGTTTTCATTTTTCTGAGTCCTATTCCTTTTCTTTTTTTCTCTCTTTTTTCTGAGTTCTATTCCTTTTTGTTTTTTGTTGTTTTTTGTTTGTTTGTTTTTTGCTTTTTCAGTCTTTCACTGGTCGTTTCCTAGTAGCTCCTTGGTAATTGAGGGAAACTGGCCGGGGCCACTCTCCAGTGTTCTCTGAAGGCCAAAGAGTGAACAGGGACGGCTGCCCTGCCCAGAAGGGTGAAAGACTCTTTTCTGTCCTTTCTGATTATAGATCCCTACCTGTGTCTGGGTTGGCAGCAGCAGCAGCTCATCCAGGGCAAACTCACACGTTTCAGGTGACTTAAACCTTATGCTAAATTCTTCCCTTCCCTTCCCCCACTTGACTGGCTAAGGACAGAAAACCCACCTAGCTATGCAAAAAGGTTATATGAGTCAGAGGGTCCAGGCATGTCGTAGGTGGTCTGTGTGATGCATGGGGAGTGGGGGGAATTCATGAAAGGTAATCTATTATTGCCTAAATTGAGAGAGTTAAAGGGTTGCTTTGCCGGCTGCGGTGGCTCACGCCTGTAATCCCAGCACTTTGGGAGGCCGAGGCAGGCGGATCACGAGGTCAGGAGATTGAGACCATCCTGGCTAACACGGTGAAACGCCATCTCTACTAAATATACAAAAAATTAGCCAGGCATGGTGGTCGGCGCCTGTAGTCCCAGCTACTCGGAGGCTGAGGCAGGAGAATGGCATGAACCTGGGAGGCAGAGCTTGCAGCGAGCCGAGATCATGCCACTGCACTCCAGCCTGGGCAACAGAGCAAGACCCTGTCTCAAAAAAAAAAAAAAGTTGCTTTAAGTGGCATGGGAAAACCTTAAGGAAAGTTCACAGTAGGTCTTCAGTGGTGGAGGGAACCATTCCAAAGCAATGCCTGCACCTATCTAAGGTCAGAGACATCTAACAGGCTAAGTCAGGGCCCTAATGGGGAGATGCTCCCAGGGACCCCAGTCTGGGCCCAGAATTTTTCCAGGAGGATGCCTCAGGTAAAATTTGGGTCACCTGGTCAGTCCTCTTCTCTTTTCCAGACCACTGTGGGCAACTCTCTACCTATTCCACCTGATTCCCCGCTCGGCTACGTCCTCCACCATTGCGATCAATTTGACCCTGACAATCTAAAGAGAAAACATATAATTTTTTTCTGCAGTACTGTCTGGCTCCATTATGAGCTGCCCAGCCTGGAAAAAATGGGTAGTCAATGGTAGCCTTAATTATGACATCATCCTGCAATTAGACCTATTTTGCAAGAGACAGAGCACATGGTCAGAAATCTTGTACATGCAGACTTCCATGACGCTTTACCAAAACCTAACAATCTGTGAAACTCCCAGAACCCACCCCACAAAGGAAAGTTCTAAGGGAGAACTACATATTATAGATGACCCCCTCTTACAAGGGCCACCTGTCTCTCAGAGTGAACAGTGACCACCCCCATATAGCCCCTTGCAAGTGCTCCTGAGGCTCAACCCCAGGAGCAAACACCAGAGACCCTACTAAGTCCCCCTCACATTCGGAGGGGAACCCTGTATTCAGCTCTTCTTCCAGCCCTGCTACACCTTAGGGAAGTAGCAGGAGTTGAGGGGCCAGTCCTAGTGCAGGCCCCCTTCTCTATAACTAATATTCAACAATGTAAGGAAAAGCTAGGAAGCTGTTCTGAGAATCCTAGGAAATTTGCAGATGAGTTCCACACTTTGACCTTAGCCTTTGATCTCTCATGGAGAGATGGTCAATTCATTCTAGCAACCTGTTGGCACTCCCTCAGGAAAGGAACAAATCTTTGAGGCTGCCAGCAGGGAAGTGGATGAATTATCCACCTGAAACCCTCAGGGCAATTACCGAGGCCCAGACACAGTTCCCACTACTGATCCTAATTGAAACTATAACGCCCCCATGGGAATGAACCACCTGGCTAAATTTCTTGAGGCTGTCCTTGGAGGAATGAGAAAGGGATTAACTAAGGCAGTAAATTATGATAAAGTAAGGGAGGTTACATAAGGCAAGGAGGAAAATCCAGCCATGTTTTATGGTAGGCTGGAGGAAGCCTTTAAATATATACTAATCTGGACCCTTCTTCTCCCGAAGGCAAAATATTAATGGCACAGCATTTCATTAGCCAATCTGCCCCAGATATCAGACGTAAACTCCAAAAGCTACAGATGGGGCCACAAGCTAATCAAAATCAGCTTCTTAATACTGCCTTTATGGTGTATAACAATATGACCTGGAGGAAGGAAAAAGAGAACAGAGTAAAGAAAGACGGCAAGCCAAAATTATGGCAGCCATCATTGGTGATGCCCTGAATGCCCAAAGAGCATCTAAGGGAAACCCGAAGGACTATAAAGATAATACCAGCAAAGGCAAGTCTTGCTTCAAATGCAAGAAAAGCGGGCATTGGGCAAAGGAATGTACTAAGCCCCCGCCCTCCAGCTCCCCTCAGGCCCCTGCTGTCAACGCAAAGGCACCAGTCACGAACCCTGGCACTGGAGAATTGATTGCCTCTGCTCCCACTGAGGGGCTGGGTTAGGCAAAACTCTAGCAGTGCGAAAGGAGGAATCAGATGAAGACTGAAGGGGCCCGGGGTCTTCCTCACTGCCCCTGTCCAGGAACTTTGTAATTACTACTGGGGAGCCTGGAGTAACTCTGGATGTCACGGGCACCCAAATTCAGTTTCTTTTTGTTACAGGGGCAAATTACACTGTCCTTACTGCTTATGCAGGGAAACTTCCCTCCTGGTCCATGAGTGTTATGGGAATGGAAGGGAAGCCACAAACCAGATTTTTTACTCCTCCTTTGATTTGTCAATTTGAGAAACGAATCTTCCAACAGGAGTGCCTAGTAGTATCAAGCTACGCAATCCCCCTGCTGGGAAGAGAGATTATGGTTAAAATAAGGGCACTACTACAATTTAAGCATCACCCAGTGAAATTGCTAATAGTCAAAAATACAGACAATGTCCAAGACCACATTAATAAACAGGTTAACCTGCTGGCATTGTATACTAGAAAACTGAGGAAGGCTAAAACAGCAGTGCCAGTCAAAATACAGCTTGAAGACCCCAGCTGTTTTCCCAGTCAAAAATAACACCCAATTAAGCAGGAAGTAAGAAATGACCTAGCACCCATAGTTGAGGTATTACTTACCCATGGGCTCTTAAAACCCTGTAATTCTCCCTGCAATACCCTCATCTTACCTGTTCTAAAGGCTTCAAGGGAATACTGGTTAGTAAGAACAGTTAATAAAGAATCAAGGAGGACAAAAAGAAGGATCCTCTTAGTATATGGGGTCAAAAATATATCTCCCTCAGACAGCCCAGTGGAAAGTTATAAAAACCCTGCCTGATTCTTTCCATGTTGGGAGGGATGCAACTCTGATTATGGTAAACAAGCTCTTTACTGGGTCTAACTTCAGTGGCTAAGCAGGTCTACAAAGCCTGCTAACTCTGTGCACTTAACAATCCAGGAAACAAAATCCTCCTCTAATAGAACCAGTCCAGAGGAGAGGAAAGTTTCCAGGGGAAGACTGGCAATTAGACTTCACCTATATGCCAGCTTGCAGAGGGTACAAGTTTTTGTTAGTACTAGTAGATACCTTTACTGGTTGGGTTGAAGCTTATCCTACCAGAACACAGAAGGCTAATGAGATTATAAAGGTTCTCTTAAAAGAAATAATCCCCTGGTTTGGGTTACCTCAGAGCCTCCAAAGTGATAACGTCCTGTCCTTTATCTCCAAATAACTTGAGTGGTTGCTAAGGCTCTTGGAATCAAATACCATTTATATTCAGCATGGAGGCCTCAATCCTCCAGGAAAGCAGAAACAGGTAACCAAACTCTAAAACAGGTGTTAGCTAAGCTACGTCAGGAAGCATCAGAAACTTGGGTCAGCTTACTGCTCATTGCCCTCTTAAGGATCCATAATACCCCAGAGCAAAAATTAATATAAGCGAATATAACGAAATGTTATACAGAAGGCCATTCTTAACTAATAATTACTGATCCAGAAACAGCCAGTAAAATACCTAGTCAACCTAGGACAATTTCAGCAGGCTTTACAAAAGTGTGGAATTCAAAGGCTCCCCATACTGGGAACTAACTAGCGACCCTAAATCAGGCCAGGAGATAAGGTACTTGTTAAAACACGCAAGGAGGGATCAACTGTTCAACAATTACAACCCAAATGGAAGGGACCATGTTCAGTAATACTGGCTATGCCTTCTGCCATCAAAGTACAAGGATTAGATTGGGTACATCTTTCAAGGATCAAGCCAGCAATACCAGAAGATCCGGACCAGGAACCTGAAGTTTCCATCAGCCACTACACCTGTGAACCTGTGGAAGCCCTGAAGTTCCTGTTTAAAAGACAGCCAAAAGATGAGTAAATGCCTACCAATTTTCCTTGGTGCCTTTGTTGCATAATTACCGTAGGCTGGATAATAGTAGTCATTTATTTTATTTTTGCAGTTTAATTGCCTTCTTCCAAATGGATAGAATCACTTCCTTTGTAGTAATTAAGTTGAATGTTTTAATACATTTTTATAACAAACATTCCTGACAGCATAGGTATCCACACCCAAAGTTCCCATTAAGTCTTTTAACCGAATTCATTTCCTCTCGCATAGAGACTATCAAGCCTCAGATGATCATGCAACAAGGTTTCCAGCCAGTTCCAAGTGAAGACACCACCCCTGGCCATCAAGAAGCCACCCTATCTTCACTAGACAGAGTAGGGAGAGAGTTCCATGATCTCCAACAGATAAGGACTACTCCCAAGTCAGCATGAAGCAGTTACAGAAGAAAGTCCATCAGTCCCTCTGCCTCCCATAAAGATTTATGGGGATCACGTCTCTCAGGGATGAGATGAGGCAGGAGAACAGGTCTGGAGGAAGGGAACCTAAGGTTGTTTCACAATGACTTCCTAGAACTAAACTGAAACGAAAACCCTAACTTTCCACACCTAAGTAACAAAAGGACCAGAGACTACTGCCTTTGCAAACCCTCACCTTGTCTGCACAGCAGATGGGAAATTAAAAGTGCCTCTGATTGGTTGGTGTTTTTTTTTTTTTTTTTTTTTGAGTTGGAGTCTTGCTCTGTTACACAGCCTGGAGTGCAATGGCACACTCTCAGATCACTGCAGCCTCTGCCTCTCGGTTTCAAGCAATTCTGCCTCAGCCCCCCGAGTAGCTGGAATTACAGGCACCTGCCACCACAGCTGTCTAATTTTTAAAATATTTTCAGTAGAGACGGGTTTCGCCATGTTGGCCAGGCTGGTCTCAAACTCTTGGCCTCAGGAGATCCGCCCGTCTCCAGCCTCCCAAAGTGCTTGAGCCACTGTGCCTAGCCAACTGGTTGCTTTATGCAGCCAATCAGATGTTTGCACAGGAGTGTGACCTTTGACATTTCAGCCTCCTATTGGTTGCTTTCTGCAACCGATCAGACTGATTGTGGGCCAACACTTCATTTACATGAAGGGAGCACCAAGTAGCCAATAGGAAACCTCTAGAGGGTATCTGGACCCCAGAAGATTCTGTATCAGGGGCCCTTGAGCTGCTGCTCAGGCTGCTCCCACACTGTGGAGTGTATTTTCATTTTCAATAAATCCCCACTTTCATTCTTTTTTTTTTTTTGAGACGGATGCTCTCTCTGTTGCCCAGCCTGGAGTGCAGTGGCGCCATCTCTGCTCACTGCAACCTCCACCTCCTGGGTTCAAGCGATTCTCCTGCCTCAGCCTCCTAAGTCGCTGGGATTATAGGCATTCACCACCACGCCTGGCTAATTTTTTGTAATTTTTAGTGGAGATGGGGTTTTGCCAAGTTGGCCAGGCTGGCCTTGAACTCCTGACCTCAGGTGATCCACCCGCTTAGCCTCCCAAAGTGCTGGGATTACAGGCTGGAGCCACTGTGCCTGGATGCATTCTTTCATTGCTTCATTCTTTTCTTGCTTTGCTGTGCGTTTTGTTCATTTCTTTGTTCAAAATGCCAAGAATCTGGACAACTTGCAGTCAAGACCCTCTACCAGTAACACAACCTCTTCATGAGATCCATGAGGAAGAGGACTTGCCCAGTGGTACACAGAAGAAGTGAAACTAGACATCACTTCTCCTAAGGCTGAACCTACAGATTATATGAGAGATGGCCATGTGGCTCTGCTCCAGGTGGACATGGGTGACAGATGCCGCTGTGGCTCTGCTCCTTGGTGGATGTGGGTGAGAGATGCTCATGTAGCTCTGCTCCTTGGTACATGTGTAGATGAGAGATGCCCACGTGGCTCTGGTCCTTGGTGGGTGTGTAGGTGATGGATGCCCCTGTGGCTGCGCTCCTTGGTACATGTGGGTGAGAGACACCCCTGTGGCTCTGCTTCTTGGTGGATGTGGGTGAGAGATGCCCCTGTGGCTCTGCTCCTTGGTGGAGGTTTGTGTGGTTGCTCAAGGTAACCACAATGCCAGCATGGTATGCCCTGCAGCATCACTGGAAAATAGGAAGGGGCTGCATAGACCCTTCCAGCATCATTCCTTGTCTATCTTTCTAGCAACCAAGTCCCCTCAACCCCATTACCCACCTCCTTTTGACTCCTACAGACACACTCCACCATAATACAAGAGGTCAACACCCTTAGTCAGTGAAAGGTTAACTCTCCCAGCCACCTCAGTGGCATATTCCTTTCAGATGAGAGTACCTGGCATCTCCACATAAAGGAATTTGGATGAAATTCTGGAAGGTCACAGACACAGTGACTGGAAACCAAACCATAAACAAGATGGAAGAAGGGAAGGGACATGTTCCCAATCAGGTAGACCCCGGCTTGCACCCTGGCCCTGCCACCTCCTGCTGAGAGAACCTCGGCAGGGCCTTAACCTCTCTGGCCTCAGTTTTCTCATTTGCAAAATGAAGATTCAAGATGATAATAATGAAACTACCTCTCAGTGAAAAACTATTCACTCATTGACTAATCGATTCAACTACTGAACAAGATAAAGGCCCTGCCCCTGCCCCCACAGGCACACCCCATCCGCCTATGACTAGAGTAAAGGGCAATCAGCAAAGAAAGAAATAAACAAGATGATAGCATCAAGTAATAATACTAGATGACAAAAAAAATCAGGTTATGGTAACACAAATTGGGGTGGGTTGCCTTTAGGGGTCTGATAAGAACTCTCTGAGGAGGTGGGCTTTGACTCTCCCCGGGAGAAACGAGAAACACTTGGGGAAAGAGCCAATGGAAAAATTAAACATGGTCAAGACCATCAGGCCATGCTTCCCAGCCGGGGCCTCACATTGCAGTCCTCTGTGAGCTTTTAAAAATCCCAACCCCCAGGCCACACTCTAGACATCTAAATCTCTCGAGATGGGACCTAACCATTGGTACTTAAAAAAAAAACAAAAACCCAGGTGACTAAGATGTGCAGCCAAGGTTGACATACAGTGATGTAAAGTATCTGACGTACATATAATAAGTGCACACATACATAGAAGTGACAATTATTAAAGCAAGGCCTCTGTCCTTGAAGAACTCACCTTCTAAGAGTGATTGGTTAGAATACTGGAAATTAGGCTGGGTGCAGTGGCTCATGCCTGTAATCCCAGCACTTTAGGGGGCAGAGGTGGGTGCTTGCTTACTTGAGCCCAGGAGTTTGAGACCAGCCTGGGAAACATGGTGAGATCCCATCTCTACAAAAAATACCAAATATTATCCGGCGCACATCTGTAGTTCAAGCTACTCAGGAGGCTGAGATGGGAGGACTGCCATAGCCCAGGAGGTGGAGGTTGCAGTGAGCTGTGATCGCGCCACTGCACTTCAGCCTGGGCGACAGAGCGAGACCCTGTCTCAAAAAAAAAAGTAAAATAAAAACTAGAAATTATTACCAGCTTACTATTAACGGCAAGGATCTGGGCCTTGAAATAATATGGCCCAGTACAACCTACCAGTCTTGCTTGTGTGTGGTGGGTATGGGTGTTGTTGGGGACCAGCCATGTATCTAAAGCCTGGGGTGTGTGTGTGTGTGTGTGTGCCCTGAGTGTTAAAAGTGCATATGAGGCAGGAGAATAGGGCCTGGAGGCAGGGAACCTAAAGACTTCCCAGAACTCGATCAAACTGAAACACTTTAGCTATGACAAGAAATATCCTCTTTATTTACATGGTAAATGACTTTGTAACTTTACTTCGTCCTCTTCATTTACATAGAGTGTACACCAAGTAAATAACTTTGTAACTTCAGTTTAACCTCCTCATTCTAGCCATACACCACATAACCAATGGAAACCTCTAGAGGGTATTTAAACCCCAGAAAATTCTGTAACCGGGCCCTTGAGCCGCTTGCTTGGGCCCCCTCCCACCCTGTGGAGTGAGCTTTCATTTTCAATAAATCTCTGCTTTTGTTGCTTCAATCTTTCCTTGCTTTGTGCGTTTTGTCCGATTCTTTGTTCAAAATGCCAAAAACCTGGAAACCCTCAATCAGTAACACTTACACCTCAGATATGTGTGTGGCAGTCATGTGGGTCAGATGTAGAGATCACAGACAGGTGATGCCAGCCTCAAACATGATTTGTTTGTCTGCATGGTGTTTCTTAGAAAATATTACTTAATTGCTAATGAACAATTTTAAAAGGTGATTTCGGCTGGCGTGGTGGTTCACGCCTGTAATCCCAGCACTTTGGGAGGCCGAGGCGGGTGGATCAGGTCAGGAGTTCGAGACCAGCCTAACATGGTGAAACCCCATCTCTACTAAAAAATACAAAAATTAGTTGGGCATGGTGGCGGGAACTTGTAATCCGCGGGAGCCTGTAATCCCAGCTACTCGGGAGGCTGAGGCAGGAGAAGAATCATTTGAACCGGGGAGGCGGAGGTTGCAGTGAGCCGAGATTGCACCATTGCACACCAGTCTGGGCGACAGAGTGAGACTCCATCTCAAAAAAAAAAAAAAAAGAAGCAGAAGTGATTTCTCATTAAACCGTAGATTTCCAGCTTTTTCTGAAAAATCAGACAATTTGGAAACACCAGCTTTTTTCCCCCAGGGCAACAGTTCATTGAAGCTGTCACTGAGAGACAGAAATTACCTTGCCCAAGACCACTCAGCAGAGCTAGGGTAAGTACTCAGGTTTCCAGTCTCCCAGCTCAGGGCCACACCTCTGGGCAAGATTGCAGAGCTGATAAGAGAACCACCCCCTTCTCACCTCAACAGTCTGAATCTGGAGAGCACTTAGAGGCTGGACAATGGGGAGCAGGGATTGGACTTGTCAAGCAGGCTGGGCAGGGCTAGGGAAGGCAGGCTTGGGAGCAGCATCCTCATCAGCCTCAGTCTGTGGACCCAAGATGGGAGGCTTCTGTGTAGGCAGACATCGCTTTGATTCCCAAAGATTTTCATCTCAGTAGAGCTTTTTTCTAGAGCTGTGATGATCAATGCTGGCTACACATTGGAGTCACCAGGGAGCTTGAAACCCTCCCCATGCTCAGGTTACACACCAGGGTGGGACCTATGTATTACATTTTTTAAAGTCCCTCAGAGAATTCCAATATGCTGCCGACATTGACAACCACTGTTCTAAAGGCCTCCCTAACAGTAACATGCATGCAAAGTACCTGAGATCTCACTAAAATGCAGATTATGATTCAGCAAGTCTGGAGTGGAGCCTGAGAATTTGCATTTCTAACTAGCTCCCCATGACACCAAAGCTGCTGGTCTGAGCCCCACAGTTTGAATAGCTAGGGTCCAGATTAGACTGGCTTTCTCCACCACTGGGTGGTAGGAGTGGGATACAGATAGAGTCACTATATACCCCTAAGGAAGGTGTCTGGGGAACTTTCCCCACCCCTTCTTCTTACTGAAACAAGACAGGAAGGACAGAGCCTCAGTTGTTCCTAGATTCTCTTCCTTATGCCCTATCACTCAACACTGTATGTTGATAAGGGAGGAGACCACCCCTCATATTGTCTTATGCCCAATTTCTGCCTCCAAAGAAAGAAGAAGTAAAAACTAAAAGGCAGAAATGAAATCCACAGGCAGACAGCCCAGCATGCGCCCTGGGCCTGGTAGTTAAAGATCGACCCCTGACCTAACCGGTTATGTTATCTATAGATTCCAGACATTGTATGGAAAAGCAATGTAAAAATCCCTGTCCTGTTCTGTTTCGCTCTGATTACTGGTGCATGCAGCCCCCAGTCACGTACCCCCTGCTTGCTCAATTGATCACGACCCTCCCACGTGGACTCCCTTAGAGTTGTGAGCCCTCAAAAGGGACAGGAATTGCTCACTCGGGGAGCTCGGCTCTTGAGAGAGGAGTCTTGCTGATGCTCCCGGCCAAATAAACCCCTTCCTTCTTTAACTCAGTGTCTGAGGAGTTTTGTCTGTGGGCTCATCCTGCTACATTGAGATTGGCTGATTCTGTGATGTCTGAGGACCAGTCCAAATTTAGTACCTTTTTTTTTTTTTGAGACAGAGCTATGCTCTTTCACCCAGGCTGGAGTGAAGTGGCGTGATCTCAGCTCACTGCAACCTCTGCCCCCGCCAACCCCCATTCAAGCGGTTCTCCTGCCTCAGCCTCCTGGGTAGCTGGATTACAGGCACCCACCACCACACCCAGCTAATTTTTCTATTTTTAGTACAGAAGGGGATAACAAGCGTGAGCCACCATACCCAACCCAAATTCAGTACTCTTTAATTCAGTGAAGTGTGTATCTCAGATGAGTTGCCCAAGAGAAGGTGGGTGAATCCAAGCAGGCTGACCAGAAATCTGTTCTCTAAACAGTTCTGCTCTACTCCTCCTACCTCCCCTCCTACCCTCTTCCTTTTGCCCCTCCAAAGGGGCTGCAGGATTATTTGAGTTTAGTAGGCCCTGGCTGTTTGTGCCAGCAGTTTTCCAACGAAGGGTAATCCCACCGATGTCTTGGAAGGTCCAGGCAGTACCTAAAAGAGTCTTAATTGTCTAATGCCTCCCAAGGAGGGATCGGGTTGGGTTTGGGGTGAGGGTATGAGGACCTTGTCCCTTAGGGCTTGGGACCTGGATTCCAGTACAGGGACTAGCAGTACTCTGGCACCAAATTTCAGGCAGGAGGCACCATCATCATGCATCCTTTACAGTTTCCAAAGCATTCCATTAGCCGGCTATTTCAGCAAACATTTGCCAGGCAGAGCAATACCAGTGTCCCGGGCTCTGGGATGCAAACAGAATCTGCCTATACTCAGAATACTCACTGTAATCCCGGCGCCTCACACACCGTTGACTGCAGGGATGGAAGAAACGGTTAGAATGCCTCCAACCACCTGTAGTACATCCATGCCGCCAAGAGGGGGCGGCCGCTACCCAACTCAGGCTCATTGTTGCTGGACACACGCCGGCCAGATGTGGCCAGATTTTTCAAGAGAAGCTGGAAATCCACTTTTATGTGAACTCTCCAAATATTTAATGGAGAGCAGATAATTCCGATATTTATTAAAAAAAAACTGCGTGGAACTGGATGTGGTGGTGTTTCACGCCTGTCATTCCAGCACTTTGGGAGGCGGAGGAGGGTGTATCACTTGAGGTCAGGAGTCTGAGACGAGCCTGGCCAAAATGGCAAAACCCCGTCTCTACCAAAAAGTATAAAAAATTAGCTGGGCATGGTGGCGTGCACCTGTAATCCCAGATACTCGGGAGGCTGAGGCAGAAGAATTGCTTGAACCTGGGAGGCGGACGTTGCAGTGAGCCGAGATCGTGCCACTGCACTCCAGCCTGGGCGACAGAGAGAGACTCCGCCTAAAAAAAAACAACAAAAACAAAAACAAAAAAACTCTGCGTGGATCTGCCGAACCTACAAAACTGCAGTGGGCAAACTCTGGTGAAATGTGACCCCAGAGTATGGGATCTTGGCTTCATTCAAAAATGCTAGAGCTTTACGTCATTATTCTAATGCCTTCATTTTACGTGTGGGGAGACTGAGGTCCAGAGAAGAAAAGAGATTTGCCCAGGTTTGTCAAGGCAGAGCCAAGTGTGAGACCCACGCCCCCTGCCTTCTGGTCCAGATGTTCTTGCAGTCGGGGTTCAGGGGAGACGATTCTATAGCTCGGGCAAGGGCATGCCTCAGGGCCAAGGGGGAGCCGGTCGGGCCAAGGGGGAGTCCCGATGGGGCTGAGGAGGTCGCCAGAGCCCAAGGGCAGGAGGGGGAGCGGAAGTTTTATTTTTAGCTGCTGGGAGTGTGCCTCTGCACCTTATTTAGACATCAGGCGACAGGGTGAGCTGGAGGCAGCAGGGCCCGGGGGAGGAGATCACCCCCTCCCGCTCCCTGGCTCCTCTTACAACTGCTCTTCCCAGTCCGCCCCCTTATCATCCTCTCTGGGGGCTCTGGGGCTACTGTAAATAGCAGCCCTTGCTGGCTTGGGCTCTGCCCTCCTGTGCTCTTGCTTACTTGCTTTCTCCTCCATTCCCGCCCCAGCAAACCACCCGACCCGTTCCCCCAAAGACTCTCGGATAATTAGAATCTAGGGCAGTAGGGCGTTTTCTCTTCACCCTTCTGGGGTCACAGATCTCTTTGAGAAGCTGAAGTAATTTATCATGGGGCTTTAGAGCTCCGGTTGTGGAGTCTGGTAGACCTAGGTCCAAATCCCAGAGTAGGACCCTAGGCAAGAGACTTGCCCTCCCCAAACCTGAGCTTTCTCATTAATACAGTGGAAGTGGTAGCCCGTCCGGTCTCCCTTCCGCGTTCTGATGATTAAATGTGATAAGTATACGAAGCCCTTAGCATATCATAGTAAATTCTCAATAAATGATGGTGATGGCAATTCAAGATATAGGCCTTTACCCAGAAAAAAAAAATGAAATTACTCATACATGCACAAGTGTGAATGTAAACTTCATACTCAGTCCAACTAATTCATTCATTCACCCATTTGTTCAACAAATCTTTGCAGTGCTTACTGGAAGCCAGGAATTGAGCAAAGAGTGGGGTGGGGAATGTGAATGTATGTGAATTATCCAGAGTCATGGTGCAAGTCAATAGCAAACCAAGCATCAGAATGGAAGTCTCTATTTTTCAAAAAACAGCTTCATTGGCCGGGCGCGGTGGCTCACGCCTGTAATCCCAGCACTTTGGGAGGCCGAGGCGGGCAGATCACAAGGTCAGGAGATCAAGACCATCCTGGCTAACACGGTGAAACTGTCCCTACTAAAAATACAAAAAACTTAGCCTGGTGTGGTGGCAGGTGCCTGTAGTCCCAGCTACTCGGGAGGCTGAGGCAGGAGAATGGCGTGAACCTGGGAGGCGGAGCTTGCAGTGAGCCCAGGTAGGGCCACTGCACTCCAGCCTGGGCGACAAAGCAAGACTCCGTCTCAAAAAACAAAACAAAACAAAACAAAACAAAAACAGCTTTATTGAGGTATAAGTGATATACAAAAAAACTGCACATAGTTAATGTGAATAATTTGATGAGTTTGGACATATGCATACACCCATGAAACATCACCACAATGAAGGTAATAGACATATCCATCACTTCCAAAAGTTTCCTGTGCCCCTTTGGTTTTTGTTTGTTTGTTTGTTTTCATTTGTTTTTTTTTATGGTAAGAACACTTAACATGAGATCTACCCTCTTAAATTCTTAAGTGTGTAATAAAGTATTATTAACCATAGGCACTCTGTTGTACAGCAGATGTCTAGCACTTATTCATCTTGCATAACAGAAACTTTATACCCACTGAGCAACAACTCCCCGGTACCCTCCCCCATCAGCTCCTGACAACCACCATCCAATTCTCTGCTTCTAGGAGTTTGATTATTTTAGATATTTCTTATAAATGGCATCATGACTGGCTCATTTCACTTAGCATAATGTCCTCCAGGTTCATCCATGTTGTCACAAAAGACAAGATTTCCTTCTTTTTAAGGCTGAATACTGTTTCTTTTATCTTTTTCTTTTCTTTTCTTTTCTTTTTTTTTTTTTTTGAGACAGAGTCTCGTTCTGTCACCCAGGCTGGAGTACAGTGGTGTAATCTTGGCTCACTGCAGCCTCCACCTCCCAGTTTCCAGCAATTCTCCTGCCTCAGCCTCCCGGGTAGCTGGGATTACAGGCCCATGCCACCACACCCACTAATTTTGTATTTTCAGTAGAGACGAGGTTTCACCATGTTGGCCAGGCTGGTCTCAAACTCCTGACCTCAGGTAATCCACCTGCCTTGGCCTCCCAAAGTGCTGGAATTACAGGTGTGAGCCACCGTGCCCAGCCTGAATACAATTTCGTCATATGTGTACACCACATTCTCTTTACCCATTCGTCTGTTGATGGGCATTTAGGTTGTTTTCATATCTTGGCTATAGTGAATAATGCTGTAATGAACACAGGAGAGTAGATCTCTTTTCATGGGA
Source organism: Homo sapiens (assembly GCF_000001405.40). Classification (NCBI taxonomy): domain Eukaryota; kingdom Metazoa; phylum Chordata; class Mammalia; order Primates; family Hominidae; genus Homo; species Homo sapiens. The sequence continues at coordinate 151,236,383 of NC_000005.10, read as the reverse complement.
TGGCTGGATCATACAGTTCTATTTTTAATTTTTTCAGAAATCTCCATACTGTTTTCCACGGTGGCTGCACCATTTACATTCTCACCAACACTGCACAAGAGTGAAAGTCTCTTGAATCCTACCTAATCCTGACTCCTTTAAAGAATAACTTTTGGTCAGACACGGTGGCTTATGCCTGTAATCCTAGCACTTTGGGAGGCCGAGGTGGGAGGATCACGAGGTCAGGAGATCGAGACCATCCTGGCCAACATGGTGAAACCCTGTTTCTACTAAAAATACAAAAATTAGCCTGGTGTGGTGGTGCCCACCCGTAGTCCCAGCTACTTGGGAGGCTAAGGCAGGAGAATCGCTTGAACCCAGGGGGCAGAGGTTGCAGTGAGCTGAGATCGCACCACTGCACTCCCGCCTGGCGGCAGAACAAGACTCCATCTCAGAAAAAAAAAAAAAAGAAAAGAAAAGAATAACTTTTGCCTCTGAAAAGGGACTACGACGAAGATCTCTTCCAGTCCCAATCAAATCTAAGAGTCCATTCCCTCCAGACCCCTCCTCCAGCAGACCCTTGTACACTTTCTCCAACACACTTGACCAACGTTAGCTTCTGCTTGAACACCTCCCGCAATGGGGCACTCACTCCCTGTCAAGCCAGACCCCTGAATCTTTGACCAGTTGGAAGGCCTGCCTGCCTGCCTGCCTGCCTGCCTTCCTTCCTTTTTCAGAGTCTTGCTCTGTCACCCAGGCTAGTGTGCAGTGGCGTGATCTCAGCTTACTGCAACCTCTGCCACCCAGGTTCAAGCAATTCTCCTGCCTCAACCTCCTGAGTAGTCAGGATTACAGGCACCTGCCACCGCACCCAGCTAATTTTTGTAGTTTTAGTGGAGACGGGGTTTCGCCATCTTGGCCAGGCTGGTCTTGAACTCCTGATCTTGTGATCCACCCGCCTCAGCCTCCCAAAGTTCTGGGATTACAGGTGTGAGCCACCATGCCCGGCCTGGTCTTCCTTTCTTTCGAGGAGCTGGACTCTACATTCCTGGGTGCCTCTGCCTACCACTTGTAGCTTTCCAAGACAGCTTGGAAGACAGTTCATCTTCTCCAAGTGCTCCTGAGCCAAAAGAGCCTTGAGGAAGGAAGAGGAGGAATGGGGTGAACTGGAGGCTGCGTCCAGCCTTGCCCAGCTTCCAAGCCCTGCCTGAACTTAGGGTCCCCCAGAAATCCAGGTTCCCAAGGTTCCGTCCCTCCTCTGCAGCTGCTTCTTTAAGAAGCACCATGGGGGCTGGTCCTTGCTACTGTCCTTGGACCCTGTCCAGGGCCCTGATTTAAAAGGTATCGCAACGTTTTTAAAAAACAAACATGTGTTGTAACCCAAGGCCCTGGTAACCACAACACTGCCGGCCGCTAGCTGCCGCCTCCCAGGCTAAGAGTAGAGGAAACTGCTCTCCGCCTACCCAAAGGCACCCCACACTGCTGCGCACCGTAGTTACCTTATTATATCAGTCCGGGAGCTCTGTGAGGACAGGGCCTGAGCTGGCCCTCAAGGCTGCAATCCTTTTGCACCAAAGTGCCTTTGGGATCCTCACCCACACTCTCATGAACTATTCCAGTAGATACTTGACTGCTTCAGCACAGCGCTTCCTCGCCATTCTCCACGTGAGCCCCAGAGTGACCTTGGATACCACCAATCTGACCACACCACTCCCACTCCTACGGGATAAAGGAAAAATGTCTTGGCCAGGCCTTCAAGGCCTCTGCCTATCTGTATCTTCCTCGCTCTCTGCATTCCCCCAGTATTCCAGCTGCACTGAGCCTCCGAGGCCCCCCTGAAAGTGCCACTGGGCATAAAATGTTCTTCCCACTTTGTGGACAAGCAGAACCCCTGCTTAATCTACACAGCTCAGCTCAGACATCACATCCTTGGAGAAGCTGCCCCGACCTTCACTCTCCCAGACAGAGTTAATCACTGCTTTTGCTTCCATGGTATTTTTCCATAACCCTTGTTGCATTATTTGTCTACCTGGAATACAGGCAATGTAACCTCCTGCAAATATTTTGTTTAGCTTGCATGGTGATTTGTGTGCATGTGTTTGTGTAAAAGAGAAAGAGAGATTTTACATTTAAAAAGTGGGGGGTGGGGTTGCTGGACAAAGTGGCTCACACGTGTAATTCCAGACCTTTGGGAGGCTGAGGCAGGAGGATTGTTTGAGCCCAGGGGTTCGAGACCAGCCTGGCCAACATGGCAAAACCATATCTCTACAAAAAATACAAAAATTATCTGGGTGTGGTAGCATGCACCTGTAGTTCCAGCTACTCAGGAAGCTGAGACGAGAGGATCACTTGAGCCTAGCAGGTTGAGATTACAGTGAGCCATGATTGTGCCGTGCACTCCCGCTTGGGCAACAAAGCGAGACCTTGCCAAAAATAAAAATAAAAAAATTGAGCCGGGCATAGTGGTATGCACCTATAGTCCCAGCTACTTGGGAGGCTGAGGCAGAAGATCGCTTGAGCCCTGGAGTTTGAGGCTGCAGTGCACCATGATCGTGCCTGTGAATAGCCACTGCGCTCTAGCCTGGGCAACACATCAAAACCCTATCTCTTAAAAAAAAAGAAAAAAGATTTTCAGTTTCACTTAGAAAATTAGAAGGTCAGGCCAATCAGGGCCTCCATTTCCTTCTAACACCAATCCACTGCAGTGCAGCCACCTGTGCTCCTTTTGGTTTGGTATATGGCCCCCAGTTTGCACCTGTCCCCAACTTATACTAGCCTTTTTCTAATTTAGGTACCTACCTAGCCCTATAGACATTTGGGTTTTAACCTGCAGACCTAGGTATATCTCCCATATATTCTGGGCCACTCCGATTTACAAATATTATTCTACCTCCTTGTCCCTCTAAATGTCCCAGAAATTCCAATATTTTGGCGAACAGTAATGCATGAATAGAATCAGATCAATAAAAATATACATAAGTCACAAAATTTCTTTGCTACCTCATGTGGTCCAATTTTCAGTTTGGAAAGCCCAGTTGCTGACCTCACCATCCTCCAACTCTCATTCCCATTGTTTTATGTGGGTAAGACCCTCCCACTAGGGTAGAACAAGGAAGATGCATCAGGACCCAGGACCAGGAAATGCCAGGTTTCCCAGAAGAAGGGGTCAAGGCATAGTCGTCTGTTGGAAAACGGTTGCTTAAGTTATGATTACATAGCAGGCTATACAGGTTGAAAAATATTCACTTTTCAAATCAAAGAATGAAGTGGGCTGCTGGAAATGAGGATCCACTGAACAAGGCTATACAGTTAATGTGTCTGCAGTTGGATAGAATTGAGAGCATGATGTCAGTGGGAATATGCAGAAGGTGCAGATGGTCCCTTGATGAGATGTATATTGGGGGAGGCAAGGTAGAGGGGTAGGGAGTTTACTGTCTGCTTGCAGCCGGGCAAGTGAATACCCAGCTCTGTTCTGAGCCTGGAAAGACCCAAGCTAATGCTGGAGTCCTGCTCAGTCAATTACTTATAAATCAACACGCTGCTCATCAGAAGACTGTATCCAAAAGGGAGCCTCAGAATCTCCAAAGCAAGGAAGGATTCTCCTAAGGTCTCTAGATGTGGGGTGGTTCAGGGCCTGGCTCATGTAGCCCATGGAACAGTCCACCATGTTTCACACGAAGGATGTGGGTAGGGGTGGTCTAGACACTAGACACCCAGTGTTGCCAAGGATGTCTCAAACCCAGAAAACAGTGCTTACCCATCGACTCACTGAGCCCTGGACCCTACTTTGTCCCTCATCTCTGTGTCCATTTTTTTTAAGTCTATCAGACATCTATCAGACATGAGGAGGACATGAAGGTCTAAAGCAGTGGTTCTCAAACATAAGCACACATCACAATTATGGGGAGGAGATGTTAAAACACAGATTGCTGAGGCCCACACCCAGGATGTCTGATGCTTTTCTAACAATTTCCCAAGAGATGCTGATGCTGTTAAAGCCTGGTCCACATTTTGAGAGCCACTGATGCAATGAAATGTTCACTATTGTTCATTCCTAGCGGCCTCCAGACCCCACAGCTTACTTAAGGAAAGCATGTGCAGTTTTCCCTAGAGAGTATTCCCAGGCAGCTGGACATGGTGGCTTACACCTGTAATCCCAGCACTTTGGGAGGCCAAGACGGGAGGATCACTTGAGGCCAGGAATTCAAGACAATACTGGGCAACATGGCAAAACCCTGTCTCTACAAAAAAATACAAAAATTAGCCAAGCATGGTGGCACATGCCCATAGTCCCAGCTACTCAGGAGGCTGAGGTGGGAGGATCACCTGAACCCCGGAGGTCGAGGCTGCAGTGAGCCATGATTGCATCACTGCACTCCAGCCTGGGCAACAGGGCGAGACTTTGTCTCAAAAAAAAAAAAGAGAGAGTATTTCTAGGTGATGTTCTGTGCTCCTCCTACTCTTACCATCCAAGCTCCTTAGGGATCTTTATCTGAACTTCACTGAACAGAGAAAGCACTGGCCGACCATGATTTACATGAACTGACTCTTGGTAAAGAAAGTGGTAAAGTGAATCTTTTGATGCCTCTCCCAAGGCAGCCCAAATCCCAAACTACAGCTCTCCTGGGAAAATAGGCAGGGATGACTTCTTGCTAATTAGTGTTACTCAGATTCAATTCTCCTTTCCAAGGACTTACCCTTTCATTCAATTCAACACAATCCAATCCAATCCATGTAGCAATTCAGTTCCCTGGCAAGGAGACCCACACAAGCTTTGGGGCAGTAAAGCTCAACCTTGAGTGTGAAGATTCCTCTGACTCAGTCCTCTCAGTCCTGATGCAGTGGATGGGGAAAAGAGAGAGAAGTCCAGAGAAACTGCACTTTAACCAATCCCTGATGCTTCTGAAGCAAATGAGCCTGCCCATATCTTGAGAAATACTCCAGTAGAATTCTAAGGACTCAACAATTTCAGGTGTTTTCATTCTTCAAGAGGAGCCTGTCAAAACCAACCTTTATTTTTAGGCTGGAGTGCAGTGGTGCAATCTTAGTTCACTGCAACTTCTGCCTCCTGGGTTCAAGAGATTCTCATGCCTCAGCCTCCCGAGTAGCTGGGATTACAGGCACATGCCACCATGCCTGGCTAATTTTTGTATTTTTGGTAGAGACAGGATTTGCCATGTTGGCGAGGCTGGTCTCGAACTCCTGACCTCTAGTGATCCACTTGCCTCAGCCTCACAAAGGGCTGGGATTACCAGCATGAGCCACCGTGCCTGGCCAAAACCAGCCTTTCTATCCAGAGTCCAGAAAACCCAGGGAACCTTAATCAACACAGCCTCATTTCCCATCTCCAGAACTGAAGCTGGGGCTTTACAGAGTGTCCCTACGAGTAAATTATTCTAATTAAATTCAATATAATCAAACTTAATTAGTGACCTATGTATTGGTTAGAAATGCACTCTGCTATAAGTAACAAAATCTCAACAGCACTGACTAAAACACATTTTTTAAAAATTTTGTAAGTTGATATATAATAGTTGTACATATTCAGGGCATACATGTGATACATGTGCTATTTCATACATGTACACAACGTGTAATGATCAAATCAGGGTAATTTAGATATTCATCCCCTCAAACATCTGTCTTTTCTTTGTGTTGGGAACATTACAATTCTCTTCCAGCTATTTTGAAAAATACAATTAATTATTGTTAACTATAATTTCCCTACTGGCTTAAACTATTTTGTTTATTATGTGTAAAGGTTTGGAAGTAGTTGATCAAGGCTGGTCTTGGGACACCATAAATTAATCAGAGATCAAGACTCCTTCCTTATTTTGGCGCCAGGTAATAAGATGGGTGCCAGGATTCAGCCATCCGGTCTGTATTCCAGGCAGGAAAAGGGGGAGCACAAAACAGGGGAGCCCTGCTCCCAGCTGAGTCATCCTCCCATTAAAAGTTTTCCTGGAAGCCTTAACCCATAATTTCCCCTTACATATCCCTGGCCACCCCTAGATGCAAGGAAAGCTGCGTAAGTAGCCTGTTAGCCCAGTACTTTGCTGGCTCAAAGAATGATCAGGATTCTGTAATTACGGAAGAGAGAAGAATGGAAGTTGAGTAAGGTGACTGGCAATCTCTCAGTGGGATGGGATGGGGTGAGGAGGGAGGAGACAGAGCTGTATAATCCTTCATCCATTAGGGAGGACACCCAGAGCACACCAACAAGTGAAGCTCAGAGGAAAACTGCCACGTGTGCTCAGAGAGCCAGAGAACAAGTGCTGCCAGGCTCTTGGAAGGAGAGGCATTGGAGCTGCTCCTCGATGTATGGATAGAATTATAACCCACAGAGGTGGATTGTGAAGAAAGTCACTCTGGGCAGAGGACATGTGCTTGGGGAATATTTGGGCCCAATCAGAAGAACCTATAGAGAAAAAGCTTTAGGGCTAGAAAGACCTTTAATAGTTGTACATATTTGGGGCATACGTGTGATATTTCATGCATGTACACAATGGGTAATGATCAAATCAGGGTAATTGGGACCACTGAGCTGAGAGGTTCTTCACCTGGGATCCACGCATAGCCCCACTGCATGGGCTGTGTGGGGTCCCTGAATTGCCTGAAATTCTAGGCAAAACTTTTTACATATGGGTATATTAAATTTTTGTCATGAAAGATGCTCAGAATAAGCTGGGCGTGGTGGCTCACACCTGTAATCCCAGCACTCTGGGAGGCTGAAGCAGGAGAATCACCTGAGGTTGGGAGTTCGAGACCAGCCTGACCAACATGGAGAAACCCTGTCTCTACTAAAAATACAAAAAATTAGCCGGGCGTGGTGGCACATGCCTGTAATCCCAGCTACTTGGGAGGCTGAGGCAGGAGAATCACTAGAACCCAGGAGGCGGAGGTTACGGTGAGCCGGGATTGCACCATTGCACTCCAGCCTGGGCAACAAGAGCAAAACTCCGTCTCAAAAAGAAAGAAAGAAAGATGCTCAGAATAATCCTCGTATTGTTGTTTCCAATATTTCCCCCAAAGAGCCCACAACATCAACTTTTGTTCTTTTACACACAACCTAGCTACCAACATGAATCCCTCATTGCCTAACTTGCCAGCCTCCATGCTCTAACCTGACTTGACTCATGCTGTTCTTCCCTCTTATAATCATTCCTCCTTGCTTCTCCCCTCCGGCAAGATATGAAAAGATGGGTAGTGATTTCCCCATCACTGAAAGTATTAAACACAGGCTGCATAAGCACCTAGAAAGGACATGATAACAAAGATTTATATTAGTCAGTGTTCTTCATTGCAAGCAGTGCAATGCATCAAATTCCAACCCAACCTGACGTTCTAGAATTCCTTTTGGTATGAATATCCTTTGGCTGTAGTATTCCCCCATGAAGTCCTCCTTGACTATCCCCACCCACCTTGGTATCTTATTTCTCTTTAATGCTAATACCTCCTGCATGAAGCACATGACTTGGCATTAGCTTTATAAAACCTATTTTGTATTGTTTCCCATTTTTTCTTACATATAGATCAAATGTCAAACAAAAGCACTCCAGATTATAACTAATTCAAGAACAAGAACTGAGTCTTCTCTTGCACCTTGACTATGCCTTGGCCATAGGGTGACCAACCATCCCAACATGACTGGGACTGAAGAGTCTCTGGAGATATGGGACTTCCAGGGCTAAGAGTGGGAAAATCCTAGGCAAGTCAGGATAAGTCACCCTACTTGCCGAAGAAGTAGTAGCTACTTATTGATTGCTAACTATGGTAGACATTATGCTATTTGCCAATATTTCTGATTCTCCTCTCCTTCTGCACACACATTGCACTTTCCCATCCTCTTAAAGTTGGGCATGATTGTTTGACTTGCTTTGGCCAATGAAATGTGAGTGGACCTAATGTGCGTCTCCTCCAAGTGGAAGCAGTTAAGGCCCTATGCACTATTCTCGGTACACTCCCTTCTCTTTGTGCAGCAAATCCTAAAGCCGTCATGTTGAGAAGGCTGTGTTATATGACGATGTGGAACGTCTCTGTGAAGCAGAGCCCACTGCCTGCCCGTTCTGGACACGTAGTGTGAGCAAAAACTTAGCTTCTCTTGTGTTAAGTCACAAAGTCTTGTGTTATGCTTTTTATTGTCTCAGCAAAACCTAACCTAACCTGACTGGTACACCAACCATCAAAAATCTCATTGGCAACTTTATCAAACTCATGCTGCTCAAGTTTCTCAGGCATGAACTTCAAAACACATGACCAAAAATCCAGCAGTGGGAAATTGTGAAATCTGAACCTGCTCTCCCAGGAGGCTCAAAGAGGCTGGAGGCAAGACGTCTTGAGAGCTGGGGCTCCAGGGAAAGAACTTGCCTCCTAGTTCCTACCCACCACTCCAAGCTATTCATTTTATTTTCTTCTGCTTTATTTATTTTTAGAGACAGTGTCTTCCTCTGTTACTCAGGCTGGGGTGTAGTGGCATGATAGTAGCTCACTGTAATGACAAACTCCTGGGCTCAAACAATTCTTCGGCCTCTGCCTCCTGAGTAGCTGGGACAACAGGCTCACGCTACTATGCCCAGCTAATTAAAAAAAATTTTTCTTTTTTACAAGGTCTCATTATGTTGTCCAGGCTGGTCTCAAACTCCTTGCCTCAAGTGCTCCCCCTGTCTAGGCCTCTCAAAATGTTGGGATTACAAGTGTGAGCCACCATGCCTGGCCCCAAGTTATTAATTTCAATTGTTGACATTAAAATTTGGGGTCAATTTTGGAGAGTTCAACTCTTCAACATATAGATGAGAAACTCTCAGAAAGGAGAAATTACTGGTTCAGGATCACTTTACGGGTTTGGATCTCATGCTCACAGTTTAGCCATCTTTGCCCTTTATGTTGCTTTTCTACCTAATTAATCACAGTCATTGTCCATTTCTTTAGGATTTCACAGAACTGCCCATGTCTTGATGATGAAAAACTAATGATAGTTTCATGTATGGGTTTAAAAACATATTAAAAGAAAACTTTTTCATATTAAAATAATATTGTTTATTACAATAGTAATAAGTGCATGCTCATTTTTTTTTTTTTTTTTTTTTTTTTTTTTTGAGACGCTCTGTCACCCAGGCTGGAGTGCGGTGGCGCAATCTTGGCTCACTGCAAGCTCTGCCTCCCAGGTTCACGCCATTTTCCTGCCTCAGCCTCCCAAGTAGCTGGGACTACAGGCACCCAACACCACGCCCAGGCAAATTTTCTGTATTTTTAGTAGAGAAGGGTTTCACCATGTTAGCCAGGCTGGTCTCGAACTGCTAGCCTCAAGCAATTCTCCCACCTCAGCCTCCCAAAGTGCTGGGATTACAGGCGTAAGCCAGTGTGCCCGCCCTCATTATTTAATATAAGAAAATGAAGCCAGGCTCAATGGCTCATGCCTGTAATCCCAGCATTTTGGGAGGCTGAGGTCGGAGAATTGCTTGAGGCTAGGAGTTCGAGACCAGCCTTGGCAATATAGTGAGACTCTCTATAAATTTTGTTTGTTTGTTTTTTTGAGATGGAATCTCACTCTGTTGCCCAGGCTGGAGTGCAGTGGCACGATCTCTGCTTACTGCAACCTCTGCCTCCCGAGTTCAAGTGATTCTCCTGCCTCAGCCTCCCTAGTAGCTGGAATCACAGGCATGCACCACCATGCTCGGCTAATTTTTAGTAGAGACGGCATTTCACCAAGTTGGCCAGCCTGGTCTTGAACTCCTGACCTCAGGTGATCCACCCGCCTCAGCCTCCCAAGGTGCTGGGATTACAGGCATAAGCCACTGTGTCTGGCCTACAAAAAAAAATTTTTTTTTTCTTTGAGAGGGAGTCTCGCTCTGTTGCCCAGGCTGGAGTTCAATGGCACAATCTAGGCTCATTGCAACCTCTGCCTCCCGGATTCAAGCAATTCTCCTGTCTCAGCCTCCTGAGTAGCTGAAACTACAGGCACACATCACCACATCCGGCTAATTTTTGTATTTTTAGTAAAGACAGGGTTTCACCATATTGGTCAGGCTGGTCTCGAACTCCTGACCTCAGGTGATCCATCCACCTCAGCCTCCCAAGGTGCTGGGATTACAGGCATGAGCCACTGTGCCTGGCCTACAAAATTTTTTTTTTTTAAATTAGCTAGGCTTGGTGGCAGGCACTTGTGGTCTCAGCTACTCGGGAGGCTCAGGTGGGAGGATCACTTAAGCCTGGAAGACTGAGGCTGCAGTGAGCCATGATCACTCCACCGCCCTCCAGCCTGGGTGATATTGCAAGATCCTGTCTCAAAAAAAAAAAAACTGTTTTAAAATTTCAAAATCTCACCAATACAGTGGTAGTCACTCAATTTTTTTTTTTAATGAAAATGAGTTTGTTATGTTTTGTAACACAAAAAATTCATCTTCATCAGTATTTTTGCTGGTTATGTGGCATTCTATTTTTATGGATATAGCATAATGTATTTAACCAACCTTCTTTTCTTGGCTGTTTAGGTTGTTTTGGGTTCTTTGTTTTTAATCATGAGCACTGTTCCAATAAACATTGTTAATTTTAGTATAATTTAAGTATATCCTGTTTCTTCAGTACCTGTGGAGCACGTCCTATGGCAGGGGTTCTCAAACTTTAGCCCAGGCCAGACATGAGTGGAGTGCTTATGAAGCCATAGATTCCTAAGCCCCATCCCCAGAGTTTAGGCCAGGGGTGGGGCCCGAGAATTTGCATTTCCAACAAAGGCGGCTGGTAGTGCTGACACTGCTGATTTGGGAATCACACTTTGTGAGCCACCATTCTCTATTATACTTGCTTTTGAGAACCTAATAACACGTTTCCTTAGTTTCCTTTCTTACACACTTTTGCAATTGGTTTTGTACCCTATGGAGGGAGCAATTTTTTTGAGGTCTCATATTCTTTCCCCATTCATGACTCTAAGCCGTTTTCACAGCACACCTTTCCAAGAGTTTTGGGCCTGACTTTAATATTCCAATATACACGCAAATAGGCATACACACTGATTTTCAAAATTGGTTATCTTTTTCCTGCATTGCCATTTCAGAAACCTCAGCTAATAACAAAGAGAAGATAAACAAAAGCTCCTTTTCCTAGACACTGACATTTTATGTCCCATAGTCACCATACCTGGCCTGCCTCAAGAGGTTGTTGTGATGAATAACATCTATCCAAGATGGATAGAGTCAAATATTACAGATGCTTGTGAGGTGGAAAAAACTATCAGCCCAGAAGTGAGGAGGCATTAAAATTAAACTTAGTATTATTGGCCAGGTGTGGGATCCCAGGACTTTGGGAGGCCGAAGCGGGCGGATTACCTGAGGTTGGGAGTTTGAGATCAGCCTGGTCAAAATGGTGAAACTCTGTCTCTACTAAAAATACAAAAATTAGTTGGGTGTCGTGGTGCATGCCTGTAATCCCAGCTACTGGGGAGGCTGAGGCAGGAGAATCACTTGAACCTGGGAGGCAGAGGTTGCAGTGAGCCAAGATCGTGCCACTGCACTCTAGCCTGGGCAATAGAGCGAGACTCTGTCTCAAAAATAAATAAATACAATAAACTTAGTATTATGATTTATTTGTAGGCCATTGAGTCAAAGTTTAGGTTCTGGAGTTAGAACTGTATTCTGTGCAGTGGCTCATGCCTGTAATCCCAACGCTTTGGGAGGCCAGGGTGGGAGGATCGCTTGAGGGCGGTCGTTCAAAATCAGACTGGAAAAAAGAAAAGAATTTGGTTGGGTATGGTGGTGAGCCTCTGTAGTCCCAGCTACTCAGGAGGCTGAGCTGGGAGGCTCGCTTGAGCCCAGGAGTTTGAGGCTGCAGTGAACTATGATAGCGGCAAAAAAAAAAAAAAAAAAGGAACTGGATTCTATCTGGGCTGTGGTAACTTACTAGCCATGTGACCTTAGGCAAATCATGTTGCATCTCTGAACACCATTTTCCTCACCTGTAAAATGGAGGAAGTAATACCTTTGTTGCACTGATATGGCAAGAAATAGAAATAAAATGTATAAAACAACTGGGACAAAAACAGCCCTCAATGAATGATAGTTGTTAGTTTATCAAATAATTGCTTTAATTATTTTTTCCCCCGGCCCTTTCTTAGCTGAGGGTTCGGAAAAGCATCTGTTGCTCCTTGAGGTTTTCTTTTCTTCTGCCCTGACCAGAGCTTCCTATTATTTAGAAGGATTCTGGTCACCTGCCTCTGGTGGCGGCGCCGCTGGCCCTGCGGGCTACACTGAGGCCCCGCTCTTCGGGTATTTACGGCGGGCGGCCGCCCCAGCTCAGGCTCAAGACAGCGCTTCCAGGTTCAGTTTCAGGGTCTCGCCGGCAGCCCCAGCCGGCGGGCGCGGAGCGGGCAGCGGGGCCCGGATCGCAGGCTCCTCTGGGGGCCCCGGAGTTGGGAAGCGGCGTCCGGGAGCCCCCGGAGGAGGATGGGCTGCAGACACAGCAGGCTGAGCAGCTGCAAACCCCCGAAAAAGGTAAAGGGCGCCGGCGGAGAAGTTTGCTTTCAGAGGAGAGGGGAGTGCGGAATCGCTCCGCCGCAGAGGACTCGGCGCCCCGGGCTCTCTCTGGTCGGCCCGGGATACCGGACGGAGAACCTGGAGAGGCCAGCTCAGAGACGAGGGAGGCTCTGCTGGGAGGCGCCCTTTACCCCGGCCCGAGCCGCACCAAGCAGCCGAGTTTACAAACACGGCACCCGGGCCAGGGAAAGGCAGCTGATTCCCGCTGCCTCGGGTGGGGAGATGTCGTGTGTCTGTGGCAGGTGCCCTCTGCTTTCGGTCTGGGGCTGTTCGCTGTGTGGCCATGGACAAGTGACTTGACCTCTCTGGGCCTTCGGCTTCCTCCCCCCGGGGGTTAAAGGCTGATAATCTCAGGGCTGCTCGAAGAGTGTTCCACAGACTCGCAGTATCAGCATCCCTGGGGACCTGTCAGAAATGCAGAATCTCAGGCTCAGGCCCAGTCTTGCCAAGACAGAAGCTGCCTTTTAACAATATGCCCAGGTGATGACGCTTTAAAGTTTGAGGCGCTGGTCTTAGGGCTCTTGCAGGCCCCAGAGCTGGTGAGTGTGGGCTGCCCTTGGGGTAGCTGGGAGGGGCCAAAGAGGGAGGAGATCTACTGCGTTCTGTGGCCCTCTCCTCCCTTCCTGTCCTTCCCCCAAGGGGCCTTGGAGCTGGGTCAGGGCCCAGGGGACAATTCTCAGGTTTCTTGCAGTGAGACCAGCTGCCCCTTGGGGTCTGACGAGCCCAGAAGGTCAGAGCCTGGAGCTAGAAAGATAGCCTCCTCAGGGGACACTGTGAGGCAGAGGGGAAGAAGGACCCTCAAATTCTGGCCCCTTTTCTTACCACTACCTGCCCCCTAGCCAGGTGGGACTAGGTGATCCCTTAAACTTTATCATCATTCCCCCTTGAGACCTTGAGAGGCCCCAAACTGTGACAGTGTTTAATAGTTTTGCAATGAACTTTAGTCCTCCCTCTGCTCCTGCTTTGCTTGTGCCCTGAGTACAGGTTTTTCTGCCTAACAGTAGTCCTAGCCTGGAGGATTCTACTCCCTTCTCTGACACCTCCTGGCTTTCCTTGCTCTCCCTTTATTACCAGATTGAAATTCTCACCAACTCCTGACCTAGAAACCCTCATGTCTTTACTCACTCCAACAGGGAAACTGAGGCTTGGCTCTATCAGTAGAAGGAAGGGGCTGGCTGACAGGGATGACAAGGCGGAGAGACCTGAGCCTTGGCTGAGACTTGTAACTGAGCAAGTGGTAGGCAGACATTAGCCCTGGGTGTAAGTCCTGGTGGTGCCATAAACATACTGGGTGACCCCAAGCAAGCCCTTGTGTCTCCCTGGGTCTCAGTTTCTCCCTGTATGGGGAGTGATGAGCAGGATGATCCCTAAGCATCTGAGAGTCTGTGTTCTCTGCACCTGTGTCAACCTTGTAGCTTGCAAAGTGGACCAAGGGTGAATTCCATCTACCTAGAGGTGGAGGAAACGGGGAAGAGCCTGACCCTTCCACAAGCTGGAAGAGGAGGTCACAGTAAGCACAGGTTCTTTGGCTCCTGCTCCTTCTGAGAGACTTACCAGCTGTTCCTGCCTGTCCCTGGCACAGCCAAAGCTCTGAAGGGCAAGTAAAGCTGGCACAGCCTGTCTGAGTTGGAAAGGGCCTTTGGGTACTACCTGGGCTGACGCACCCACTATACAGATAGGAGGTTAAGGCCTAGAAAAGGGAAGGAGCATGACTGAGGTCACAGAGCAACACAGAGCAGAACCCAGGTATCTAGTCCCCTAGCTCCGTGTTCTTTGTCTCCACCTCCTCCCGCTGTGCTTCCAGTGGCTTCTTGATGACTTTAGCGTAAAATCTTTTACTCCTGTTGCCTCAGAGAACAGCCTGGCATGCCTTCTTGGCCCCAGCCATGCCAGGCCCCTGCCCCTATATGGCAAGATTTATGGGCTGTTTTTGTTTAAAGTTCTCATCCCTGTAGGCTGTGCTCCTGCCCAATTTCTCACCCAGGTGCCAACCCCTTGGAAGGCATGAGCTCCCAAGTTCATCCCCAACAGGCTACCAGCCCCCTGGGAGAGAGGGGGACTCCAGGGATGGGATGGACAAAAATGAGCTCAGGCTACAGAGGGGTTAGGTTCTGATAACCATGACTCACCCTGAGTGTTTACAGCATGCTTTCACATCCCGCCCAGTCTCACAGAAGCCCTGGAAGTTAGGCTGAGCTGCAGAATCTTTCCCACTTTACCGGGGAAACTGAGGCTCAGTGAGGAACGATGGGTCCAAAGTCACACAGCCAGTTGGTGGCAAAGCTGTGCAGTTGAGCCTGGCTTTCTGCACTCCCCATCTGGTGCTCATTGCCTTATACAGATCATGGAGCAGGTGCTTAAGTAGATATTTGAGTGAATGAGGGACAAATAAGAGCCATGCTAGGGGTTGGCCCAGGGAGCAGTAGGAGCATCACATCTAGCCTTGAGAGATGCAGGAAGGGTTTTTGAGGAAGGGTGGTTTGGAAGGTATGGCAGGAGTTACCCACTCATGGCCAAGGCCTAAGCAAAGGCTGAGCCACTGAAAGCACAGCGTGAGGGGGTTCTTTGTGGAGAATGGAGGTGGCAGGCAGCAAGGAATGAGGCAGGCACTTTTAGAAAGGATTATCCTGGCTAGGGACAGGAGCTTGACCATGAGGCCTTCTCATGTCCCTCCAGGTTCAAGGATCTGGGGGTCTGCTGAGTTCTGTGGTCTATGGTGCCTGTTGGGCTTGGCCGACTAGATGTTCTAGACCACCCTGAGAGGCCTGGCCTGGGACTAGGTCACTGCCTTATTGGGACAAGTTGAAATGCTGGGAATAAATGAATAGGGTTCCTGGCAGGCTGGGGGTGGGTGCTGAGGAACCATCTGGATCGTGTGGTCCTGCCTAAACCCTTCTTCTTGGCAAAGACCATGGCTAATGTGGTCACATCCCCCAGGAGGACTCAGGAGAAGGCCAGGCAGAGTGGGTAGGGGTCAAGGAAACAAGCCTTCTGGGGAGTTGCCAGCCACAGTGGTAAGGAGGGGCCTTCCTATCCCCAACAGGTTACCAGCCTCCCTTGGGCAATAGGGTAGGA
Organism: Homo sapiens; assembly: GCF_000001405.40. Classification (NCBI taxonomy): domain Eukaryota; kingdom Metazoa; phylum Chordata; class Mammalia; order Primates; family Hominidae; genus Homo; species Homo sapiens. The sequence goes on along the minus strand of NC_000005.10, from coordinate 151,220,805 downwards.
AGCGGAGGGGGGGTGGGGACTGGTGCAGGAGGCATCTCGTGGCCAACCCCCTTTGTGTGACACTGCAGAGTACCAGGAATGATGTCTGAACTCTCCATTCCCGAAGGCTGTGGCTATAGCTCCATAGTTCCAAGCAGGACCTCTGAGAAGGGGCTCAGCACAGCTGCCAAAGCTGGGCCTCAGGTGACAGGTACTTGGTGGGTCAGTCATTCAGCAGCCCTTCATGAGCACATCCATGTAGCAAGCCAGGTGACAGAAGTGAATGATAAGGAAGAGGCTGGTGCAGGCTTGGGTAATTCTGAAATCAACCAGTAGACAACAAGGGCATGGCTAACTTGGCAAACATTTGTGGGTCGACCACACCGGGCTCTGGGTTGGATGCTGGTTCAGTCCTGACTACATGGAAGATCCATTAAGTGACCTTAAGAGTGGCTTGGCTTCTCCATGCCTCAGTTTCCTCATCTGTAAGATAGGCTTGGTATTAGCTCCTGTGCCATAGGGTTGTTCTAAAGATTAGATGAAAGACTGTATGTGACAGAGTCTCTGATACCCTGACTAGCAAGAAGGATGCCTTTGAAGGAGATAAGGAGGCACAGACTTAATGTTATGCTTTAAGGACATCACTGCCTAGATTGTACCCAAGGAAAGTACCCCGGGACGTGGGAGCTAAAGGACATTAGTGTTCTTGGAAGGTTGACGCGGGCAGGGTGGGAGGATGCAGGCTAGTGTCTGGCCTCTTCCTTCAAATCTCTGAAGTCTTGTCAAGGGGCATGGAAAGCAGTTTTTTTCTCTGTTGTTCCAGAAGGCAGCACAGTGGCCAGTAGGGGAGGCTAAATCGAGCAGATTTCTACTCATGAGGAATAAGTGGCCAAAAAAAGGCCTCAAAGGGTAGTGAGTTCCTATCACTGGAGGGTTCAAGCAGGGGTCAGGTGGCATTTTGGCAAGAATATTAGAGGGGATGCAAACCTACGACTAGCAAATATTTACGATTCCATTAAAAAATGGAATTGTTCTGATTATTATTTTGAGTCAAAATTTCAAAATGTGGGAAAGTATAAGAAATTAAAAAATCTTTTAATCTCACAATTAAGAGATAGCCACTGTGTACATTTCAGTGTCATTCTTTGTACCATTTTTTCCTATGTATATTATAGATGTGAGTATGACTATCTGTATAAAGCTAAGAGTATGTTTTATATGGTTATATTCCAGTTACTTAATATTCTTCCGGGGGCATTTTCCCATGTTAAGTAGTCCATGGAAACACGGACTTTTTAATGGCTACCTAATGTCCTGTGGCTGTTCCGTGGCTTATTTAACCGGTTTGGACGCGTGGTTCTTTGCAGTCTGCACTCCTACCCTGGTAATTGATGAACATCCCTTGTGTTTTCCTCCTACCTGGGGCCAGTGTGGCTTTGGACTCGGGGGGGTCAAGGAAGGCCCCTTAGAGAGACAGCATCTTGGCTGGGTTTAGAAGGGGGGCGGGGGTTAGGCACTTATGGGGCAGGCGAGTTACTCAGGAGGGCATGCTAGGCAGAAGGAATATGGGAGCAGCCCTTGACACCTGGTCAGGAGGAGTGGGCAAATCTGATCTTCTAGCTCGGTTGGTAAGGGCAGGACAGTTGAGGAGCGTGAAGGAAAGCTGCCTCTGCAGCACTCAGCCCCCTGCCCCAACCATCATGGAGATGTTGGCATGTACATGGCCTCCGAGCTGATGATTTTGCCCAACCTAGAAACTAATGCCCACCAATCTTCCTAGCTAAAGCCAGTACAGGCTTCCATGCACAAGGCACTCTGGAAGACCTGTGAGATTAAATACCAGATTTTTGCGTTTGGCAACCTAAAACACACTAGAATAATTCCCAATACTCTCTGCCTTTGAGATACAACCTTTGGTGATATATTTTCTGCACATGTACATGTTTTTAATTCTTTTCCTCTATTGAATTCATGGGTGGCTGATGTAGGTCCCCTGAGAGCCTGACGAGTTCCCAGATACCTAAGGGCTCCCATTTTTGCTTCAGTTGGCTGTTAGGCTTGGGACCTGTGCTTCATGTCAGCACTGTGTTTCTTTTTTGTCATAAAAAGGGAAGAAAAGATGAAATTTTAAATTAATTGCACAGAAACAGGCTGCTATATAAATCAAGACAGTGAAACTCTGGTTAGGAGGGGCTGCCCCCTGACATCTCAGGGTGCATAGATCAGCCAGTGAACAGAAGTCTGAGACCTGCCTGGAAAAGGAGCTCTAAGGGGTCTCAGTATGAAATTCATGAATGTTCATATTCAAAAAATAAACTCGAAGAGTGTAAGTACCCTCCCAACGAAAGGAAGAGCCTCTCAGATGACCCTAGTTCTGGCTCTGACACCTCAGGGTGTACTTGGGCTTCCGTCCACACGGCTGGCACTCGGTCCTCTGCATCATCCTCCCTCAGCACTGTGAGCCGTCCCCAGTGACCAGGGGAGAGGGCCAGACTGGGAGCCCCCACTGCAGCAGGACTGGCAGTGGGGAGGGAGCTCCTGCTGTCCCACCTTGGCAGAGAAAAGGAGCAAGAGAAGATCCATCCATCTTTAGCAGATCTAAACCCATCCATTACCTGAAGACAAGCCATCCTATTTGTCTTGCAAGGTGAATCTTAATCCCTAAAAATAGTTTATCTTGTGTCACCTTATTTTCAAATCTGAACCTTCCAGAACATCTAGGCCAAACACTGTACTATACCTAAAACAGCCATCCACATCCATGCATCCCCCCAAGACAAGTGATATGCAGTCTGACCTACTTCCAGATTTCCTCCTCTCTGCAATGGAGTTTTTTTTCACTGAGTGTACAATGACCTTTGTGGCTTTCCTCGCCATTTTCTACTGCCCCATGTGACCCTGCCCCTGTGCCTTCCTTAAGGAAATGGCCTGGACATCAGAAAAGCTGTTACCTTTACTGGATTCAGTAATGTCCCCTCCTACATTTACATTCACCCAGAACCTGTAAATGCGACATTATTTGAAATAGGGTCTTTGCAGGGGCCATTGAGTTAAAATGAGGTCACATTGGATGGGCCCTAATCCAGTGACTGGTGTCCCAACAAGAAGAGGGAAATTTGGACACAGACACACAGGGAGAAGAGCAGGGAATGAAGTGACACATCTCCCAAGCCAGAGAACGAAGGATTGCCAGCACCCACCAGGATCTGGGAGAGAGGGAGGTAACAGATCCTCCCTCAGAGCCTCCAGAAGAGCCAGCTCGGCTGATACCTTGAATTTACACTTCTAACTTCCAGAACTGTGAGAGAATACATTTCTGTTGTTTTCAGCCACCAAGTGCGTGGTAATTTGTTACAGCAGCTTTAGGAAACTTTCATATCGCAAGGTTAATTGCTCCTTACCCACCCTCTCACCCCCAGCCCCAAGTTGCCAGCAATCAAAAATGACAGCAAGAACCCAGTGCCTCCCTTTGGAACCCATCTTGGCAGCAGAAGAGGCAGCACTGTAAACAAGGAGGTGCCTGGACAGGGCCCATTGCTTTTGGACACCAGCAGCTGCATCTGTAGAGGAAAGAGCACTGGACTGGGAGTCAAGAATGGGGCCTACTTCTTTATATTTTTTATTGATATATAATATTTTACATACTTCTCAGGTACATATGATATTTTGTTAGGTGCATAGACTGTGTAATGATCAAGTCAGGGTATTTGGAGTTTCATCACCTCGAGTATTTATCATTTCTATGTGTTGGGAACGTTTCAAGTCCTCTCTTCTAGCTATTTTAAAGTATACAGTTCATGGTTGCTATGGAACATTAGAATGTAGTCCTTCCATCTGGCTGTATGTTTGTATCGTTTGACCAGCCTTTCTTCATTCCCCGCACCCCACACACACGTCCTTCCCAACCTCTGGTATTCATCATTCTAACAATGGGTCCACTTCTGCCTCTTTTGCTAACTATTCTCTTCCCCAGCCTTGATTTCTCTGTCTGTACCTTGACTCTGGGGGAGGCTTTCAGGTTCCAAGAGAGGTACCTTTTTCTTGTTGTTGTTAATTTCTTTGTATATAAGTAATTCTTGAATGCGTTGTTGCTTTAAAAATCCTAAGAATTGGCCAGGCGTGGTGGCTCACGCCTGTAATCCCTGCACTTTGGGAGACTGAGGCGGGCGGATCACCTGAGGTCAGGAGTTTGAGACCAGCCTGACCAACATGGTGAAACCCCGTCTCTACTAAAAATACAAAAATTAGCCGGGCGTGTGGCACGTGCCTGTAATCTCAGCTACCCAGGAGGCTGAGGCAGGAGAATCGCTGGAACCTGGGAGGCAGAGGCTGCAGCGAGCCGAGATCGCACCACTGCACACCACTCGCTCTAGGTGACAGAGCAAGACTCAGTCTCAAAAAAAAAAAAAAAAAAAAAAAATCCTAATAATTTAGGTAAAATGTAAAATGGAAGCTACCCTTCCTTGACCACAGTAATTTTAGTCCATTCTCTGGAGATGACAACTGTTATCAGTTTGTGCTTTTCTAGGTACTTTTTCCTATGCATTTTTTTATCATTAGTAATAGTTGGCCGGGCATGGTGGCTCACGCCTGTAATCCCAGCACTTTGGGAGGCTAAGGCGGGCAGATCACCTGAGGTCAGGAGTTCAAGATCAGCTTGGTCAACATGGTAAAACCCTGTCTCTACTAAAAATACAAAAATTAGCTGGGCATGGTGGCACATGCCTGTAGTCCCAGTTACTGGGGAGGCTGAGGCAGGAGAATTGCTTGAACCTGGGAGGTGGACGTTGCAGTGAGCCAAGAATACACCACTGCACTCCAGCCTGGGTGACAGAAAAGAAATAGTTTAGTTTGGATATTGGTATTTTACCAAATGCCTTTCCATCTTTGTACATAAAGGTCTACTTCACTCTCTTAAACATATGAATGAAATGACATAGTATTATGTCCCTGAGTATATCCAGCCAGTCCTCAGTTTACAGCATTTCCCTACTGCAAATGGTCCTGCCCTGAGCATCCTGTGCATCCTCCTTGTCCTCACTAATGGGTACTTATTTCTGTTCACAGTGCTACTGTAGAATTAGGAGCATGCTGCGTGCAACTTGGGAGATGGCTGAGCTCTGTCATTCTCTGCTTTCAGGCAATCCCGCCCTCTCTTTTACAACCACCCTTACACTGTCTGCTGAAGAACAGGGGATGGTGTGGAGGGCTCCAGGTTCTCACCCAGGCCTCCTGAGCAAGGGACCCTCCTTTCCTGCTCTCCAGAGAAGCCCCCTCCATGACCAGAGCTAACAGCTGAGTGTGTCAAACTGCCTCTGCCCTGCCCAGAGCAAACAAGCCGGACAGGATCGACAGAAGATGAGATAGCAAGATGACCTCACTCTGCCCCTTCTTCCCCATCCACAGCATGTCAAAACCAGAAGGGCTCTTACGTATCCCATTGCACAATTCCATGCCATGCAGAGGAGGGTACAGAAGCACAGAAAAGGAAGAGTGTCCACTCAAGGTCACACAGCAAGCAGATGGCAAGCTAGGACCTTGGCTCTGGACTCTCAATTTGCCATTGGACTGTGAGACAGGTATCCAGGCGCTCAGCCTCAGATGGCAAGCTAGGACCTTGGCTCTGGCCTTCCAGTTTGCCATTGGACTGGGAGACAGGTATCTGGGCCCTCAGCCTGTCTCTTTCCCCACCCCCATCCAGCTACTGACACCATTTTCTGTCCAGCTCCTTCAGGGTCCTGCCTGCCAGGCTGACCCAAATGCTAGAAATAATGTCTAGTGCTTTTGCCAGCTCCAGGCCCTCTGAGGCAACCAGAACTAGCAGACACCCTGGGAAGCTGATATGGGACAAGAAAACGGGAGCCCTAGGGAGGAAGAAAATAAATAAGGTGTATTAGAAAGGCTTTCTCTAGGCCTCAGTGTCATCGTCTGTGAAGTGAGGCCTTGCACTCAAGGCCCTTCTGATGCTTGTCTGCTGTGGTCTGGCTCACCAGGTGCAGGGGTATTTAAGAAGGAAGTGGTCCTTTGCTCCCCTGAGACACCTCATCAGTTGGTCAGATAGGAGCAGTGGAGACCACATCCGCCCCTGACTTGTGTGCTCTGGGGGTCCTGCAGGTGTTCAGAGCATAGGCCGTGTCCCCGGTGCAGCGGAGTGGTGCAGCCTGGCACTTCTAACTTTAAGTTGGTTGTACAATCACATTGGACTGTCCTCCAGCCAGTGAGGAAATGTTGACCACACACTATATGATATGAAGGGGATGAATTAAATCTTTAATGTCCCTGGCAGTGTTTGAGTTTCAATGACATCAAATTCAGGCATTACTTTGGCAGAATATCTCTGCCCATCTTAGAGATGGGGAGGCTAAGGCCTGTATTTATGGTGTTCTGTCTGAGCTTCTGTAATTCGGGTGTGAACACTAACATTTCTCAACAGCCCTGATCATTTAGGCCCCGCCCTTCCTCCCCGAAGGCCCTGGAGTGGGGCCCCTTGGGCCACACTCCCCGCCTCCTTCCTGCCTCTACCCTCGGCCAATAGGCTCTGACTGTGGTTACTTAGATCCCAGCACTAGTGGTGCTGGGCCAGACACCGGAAAGGCAGCTCTGATATTGAGGAGGGTGTGACCTGAGCCCCTTGAGACTTAGAATCACCTCTCCCCTACAGGCTCAGCTACTCAGATAAAGCTGACCCTGGCATCAGGGGGACGGAAAGGACTCTAGCCTCAGCTGTGAGTCTGGATTCTCCCCAGGGCTCTGCTTCCCTGCTTTGCAGCTTCTGACAAGTTATCTGCCCACCCACCTCTGGGCCTCAGCTTTTCTATCTGGAAAAAGGAGGTGGGGATTGGAGTCAGCTGCCTCCTGGGGCCCTTCCAACCCTGCTCTGGGTTCCCGTAAGCCTTCCTCAGCCAGGATAGGTGTGATAGAACTACATGCTCAGAGGAAGCCAGGCCTGTGATGTATGGGACACGGAGGAGCTGGGTGAACTCTTAAGGAGTCTTCTTTAATTACTAAATTCTCTAAGTTAAGCAGGAACAATGAGGACACAAAGCACTTAATCAGAAATACACAAGCCTTGAAGGCTGACAAACAGAATGGAGTGATGGCTCCCAAAGAGGGCTAGCTCAAGTCTCTGCAGGACAGGCTGAACCTCCCTCAGGGCTACTCTTACCTTCCATCCTACTAGGATTCCCAAGGTAGGGAATAGCTGGGCGGCTTCTATCCAAGTTGCTTCTGCCTAATTCACTCTTGCCTGGTGAGGCTCAGAATTTGAGGGTAGTTGGCCGGGCATGGTGGCTCACGCCTATAATCCCAGCACTTTGGGAGGCCGAGGCGGGTGGATCACTAGGTCAGGAGATTGAGACCATCCTGGCTAACATGGTGAAACCCCATCTTCACAAAAAATACAAAAAAAAAAAAATAGCCGGACATGGTGGTGGGCACCTGTAGTCCCAGCTACTCAGGAGGCTGAGACAGGAGAATGGCGTGAACCCAGGAGGCAGAGCTTGCAGTGAGCCGAGATCACGCCACTGCACTCTAGCCTGGGCAACTGAGCAAGACTCCGTCTCAAAAAATAAAAAATAAAAAATAATTTGAGGGAAGTTTAGGGGTCTATCCCAAAGGCTTGAGTATGTGACTACAGCCATTCACCCCAAAATGCTGCTCCCTGAATAGCATTCAACAGAGCTCCCTGAGGTTCCATTAATGCTGGTGGTCTTTACATGCCATGTAGTAGATAATTTCTTTATGCTTACCAGAGGCTTTCACTTGCCGAACATCAGTGATGCTTTTTAGAATTATAGACTGTTAGAGTTCAGGGTTCTAAAAGATCACCAGTCCAATCTACAGCATGAAGTTTGACTCTCCAACCTCTTCTTGCATGCTACTAATGATGGAGCGCTCACTTCCACCACGATTCCCCACCCTCCAATGAGGCAGCCTACCAGTTTGTGATGGTTCTGAAATTTTTCTTCATACTGAACTGAAACTTCTGGAACCTCCTCATGCTTGGCCACAATCCTGTCCTCCAAGGCTGTAGATGACACGCCAGCAGCTTCTACCCATGACATTCCTGCTGAGATTTGAAGACAATATCAGGTCTTCCTGCCTGTTCTCAAGGCTGACCAACTCTTGTTCTGTTAACAGCCCCTCCTATAATTTGGTTTTGAGCCACCTCCTACATCCTGTCGGTTTCTTTGGGACGTCTTCCAGTGTGTCAGTTTACCCTCTAAAATGAGAGTATACTCTAGAGCATCTCACCAGCCCCAATCTGAGCTCATGTGGCTCTCCATGGCTCTGGACACTGTCTTCTCATTCTACCCTGACTCTGTCTGCTTTTGACAGCTGTGTCCTACTATCTCAGGTTTGCTTCAGGTTGAACCTACTGCAGGGCTCTGGTCTGCTTGACAGCAAGGATCTAGGCCCCAAAGCTGTGAGTGTCACCTGGGTATAGGGGCTCTATTTCCAGCCTTCTTAGGAGAAGGGCTGCCCTGGAGCTCAGGAGGACTGAAGAGAGCATCTGTTCCAGCCCTGACCCTTCACAGATGGGGAAACTGAGAAGGAACATGACTTACCTAAAGGCACACAGTAAAGCTGGAATTGAGTCTCCTGGCCTCAACCCCAGGCCTGGGTTCTCCCTGCATCCTGTACTGCCGGCAGCCTCCTCTGCAGCTTTCTTGCTACCAAGTTTCCGTTGACTCAGGAAGCTGTCATCCCTCTTCCAGAGTGTAGTCCGGATACCCCACCCCAGCCCTATGCTCCCCACCCCTCTTTTGGAAGGGAAAATTCTTATGTCCCCCTCCCAACTCCCCCCCCCACCACCACCACCCACGCACACACTGCAGGTGCCGTCTGCTCCATGACCTCTGAGGAGGAAGTGGTCAGGACCCCAACCTGGGGATTTTCCACTCAGTAGTTGCTTGTTGAGACCTACCTAGCTCAGGGTCACATGTCCTCAGGCTTTTGTGTGCACTAGGATCATCTGGCTAGACTGCTAAAGATGGAGATTCCGGCCAGGCGTGGTGGCTAATGCCTGTAATCTCAGCACTTTGGGAGGCTGAGGTGGGTGGATCACTTGAAGTCAGGAGTTTGAGACCTGCCTGGCCAACATGGTGAAACCCCGTCTCTACTAAAAATACAAAAATTAGCCTGGTGTGGTGGTATGTGCCTGTAATCCCAGCTACTCTGGAGGCTGAGGCAGGAGAATTGCTTGAGCCTGGGAGGCAGAGGTTGCAATTGAGCCAAGATCGTGCCACTGCACTCCAGCCTGGGCAACAGAGCCAGACTCCATCTCAAAAAAAAAAAAAAAAAAAAAAGCAGATGCAAATTCCCAGCACACATACTGTAGGTCTAGAATGCAGCCTGGACATTCGTGTTAAGCAAGCTTTCCAGGTGGCTCTAGTACAGGAGGTCCATAGACCACATTCCTAAGAAATACTGTTCTGGGCATCATAACATACTGGGGCAAGTCCAATACAGATTTCAAAATCCTGTCCTTCAGGAGCCCTTTGGGCTAGCAGGAGAGACAGACAGCTAACCAGATGTAGATACTCTCAGGGGTGCCTGGAACATGGAGAAAACAGGAACTAACTCCGCCCCAGGGCAGGTCAGGAGAGAAGCAGAGAAATGGTGTGTGCACTGAGCCTGGGGGCCCGAGGTAGACCTAACCACGCGTCACGGTGGGATGGTCTTGAGCATGTAAGATGTCTCGAACATACAGATGCCTGTGTTGGGGGCAGGCATGTAATAGGTAGCACTAGGTTATTTTAGTTGGGTTTTGACCTAGCAAATTTGCCAACATTTTTTTAAAAAGTGATAATATTCCACATTGGCAAGGTTGCAGTGAAACTGGTCTTTTTCTTTTTTCTTGAGACAGTCTTGCTCTGTCACCCAGGGTGGAGTGCAGTGGCCCAATCTCAGTTCACTGCAACCTCCGCCTCCCAGGTTCAAACAAATCTCGTGCCTCAGCATCCCAAGTAGCTGAGATTACAGGCACGTGCCACCACACCTGGCTAATTTTTGTATTTTTAGTAGAGATGGGGTTTTGTCATGTTGGCCAGGCTGGTCTCAAACTCCTGGCTTCAAGTGATCCTCCCGCCTCGGCCTCCTAAAGTGCTAGGATTACAGGTGTGAGCTACCACACCTAGCTGAAACTGATCTTCTTGCGTGCCATTTGAAGGTGAGTAAATTGGTCGAACCTTCCAATATTAGACATGTAATATTAGATGTGTATAAAATTTTACAAATCAATATGTTTATTTTTTAATTTTAATTTTAATTTTTTATTTTTTGGGACAGGGTCTCACTCTGTCGCCCAGACTGGAGTGCAGTGGTGCGATCTTGGCTCACTGCAACCTCCACCTCCTGGGTTCAAGCAATTCTCCTGCCTCAGCTTCCCAAGTAGCTGGGGTTAGAGGCGCATGCCACTACCGCCTGGCTAATTTTTGTATTTTTAGTAGAGACGGGGTTTCACAGGTTGGCCAGGCTAGTCTCGAACTCCTGACCTCAAATGATCCACCCACCTCTGCCTCCCAAAGTGCTAGGATTATAGGCATGAGCCACCGCACCTGGCCTAAATCAATATATTTATTAAAGCAAATTAACCTGCAAATTAAAAAGTGGAAACAATTTAAACACTCAACAGTGAATGACTAAATTCATCCATAGGGATGTTCTGCTCATCATTAAAATTAACACATTTGCAGAATAGTTAATGCTGTGTAGTAAGTGCTCGTAATATATTTGAAAAAGTAAGATATGAGGAAGTATATGTAATATCATTGCATATGTATATGTAGATGAACAATATATGCCACCAGGTTATGGGGTTCTCTCTGGGTCGTGAGATTTTCTTTCTATATTTTCATGTATTTTCTGTACTTTCTACAACAAATGCCTACTAGTACTTTAACTGGAAGAAGATGTTTATAAATAATTTAAGTATTAAGAAATTGAGGCTGGGTACCTTGGCTCATGCCTGTAATCCCAGTACTTTGGAAGGCCAAGGCAGGCAAATCACTTGAGCCTAGGAGTCCGAGACCATCCTGAGCAGCATGGCAAAATTCCATCTCTACCAAAAATACAAAAATTAGCCAGGTGTGGTAGCACACGCCTGTAGTCCCAGCTACTTGGGAGGCTGAGGCAGGAGAATTGCTTGAGCCTGGGAGGCGGAGGTTGCAGTGAGCCCTGATCACACCACTGCACTCCAGCCTGGGCAACAGAGCAAGACCCCATCTCAAAAAAAAAAAGACAGAAGAAAAAGAAAGAAATTGGAATGGGGGTAGACTGGGGACAGATGGTGATAGCCTTAACTGCCATTCTGAAGGAGTTATCTTGTTTTGTCAAGAGCTGGGGACTCAAGTACAAGGCCACGTGCTGCCTGTGGTCTGAAAGCTGTTTGTGGAAAAGAGTTCTCCACCATTCTCTGGTGGTGGTTATCTGAAAGAAGGCAGCATTTCATGAGATTATGAACTTATTTCAGATGACAAAACTGAGACCCAGGGGCAGCCCAAGAGGTCTGCCAAAGCAGATGACGTGGGATCTTTGTTCTTGCCATGTTTGTGAAACATGGCAATCGTCTTATGCAATATTTGAGCTCTTAGTATGTGCAAGACACTGCAGTTGCATTATTTCATCTCATCCTAAAAGAGCCTCATGAGAAATCCGAGGCATGGAGAGGTCATACAGTCACACGGTGTTGGATTTAGTATTTGAACCCAGATCTGTGTGATTCTAGAATTCTGGAGTTCTTAACCACTCTGCTCTGCAGTCTCTGATATTCTCACACCTGGTTCTAATGCTGATTTGAACATTATGGCACAGTGTGACAGTGTCTTAAGTCTCCCTGAGCCTCAGTTTCCTCGCCTGTAGTGACCTTTACCTCACAGTGCTGTTGAGAGGAGCTGAGATGAGAGCTTAGAGTTTGAACACTATGGGATCATCCAGTTAAACCACCAGACGTCCTCATCCCCACCTCACAGAGGAGGAAGCAGAAGCCAGAGTGGGAAGGGATTTGCCCAAGTTTGTAACAGAGCTGGCACTAGAATCTAGGCCTTCTGGCTCCCATAAAAACATTGTCTGAGTTCAGCTAATCAGTCGTGGCAACAAGGAAGAGACAACCATTTATGTTTATCTCCCTTCTTCCTCCAGCCCAGGGTGGGGAGGCTGGCTGCTGTCACTTCCCCAGATTCCGGAGTTGACAGCTTCTCTGAGTCGTGCCTGGACCAGGCTTCCTCCTCTTCCCTGGAAAGGGAGGATTGAGTCTTCACCAGGGTGGTGGGGGAGCTAAATTGTCAGGTCTGCCCAGCCACTCAGCAGATTTGGGGCACGAGGACCTGGGGGAGGCCCCATGACTCCCTCAGTCCTCCAGGGGCTTACACATGCCAGGCTCTGTGCCCAGCACCATGGGGGAGAAGCAGGCTATTCTAGAAGACTTCCCTTGATACATCTTCCCTCCCCAGTGAGAAGCATGCTTTCTAGAAGTATTTCAGTGGTTCTTCAGTTTAGGACATTTTTAATAATTTTTGTCGAACATTTTCATAGCCTCTTCATAGTTTGACTTGTGTTTTTGTTTGTTTGTTTTTTGAGACAGAGTCTCACTCTATTGCACAGGCTGGAGTGCAGTGGCGAGATCTTGGCTCACTGCAACTTCCACCTCCTGGGTTCAAGCAATTCTCATGCCTCAGCCTCCTGAGTAGTTGGGATTACAGGTGTGCGCCACCACACCTGCCTAATTTTTGTATTTTTATTAGAGAGGGGTTTTTGCCATGTTGGTCAGGTTGATCTCGAACTCCTGACTGCAAATGATTTGCCCACTTCGGCCTCCCAGAGTGCCAAGATTATAGGCATGAGCCACTGTGCCCAGGCCTGACTTGTTTTTTAAAGTGTTTCTTAAAATTGAATCTAGAACATCTTCTTCCTTCCTTCCTTTTTTCCTTCCTTTCTGCCCTTTCCCTTCCTTCTCTCTTTCTTTCTCTTCTTTGTAAGAGAAGAGAAAAGCATACAAAAGGGCTTAAATTTTTTTTACCCAAATCCTGGTCTGGTGACCACCGCCAGACTTCAACCAACTTTTCACCTCTCCAGCATGAGATGAGAAAATGATGGTGTGAGCGAGTGTGTAATGTTCAGTAAGCACGTCAGTTCTCCTTTCCTGGAAGACTGTTCTTAAGCTTTTCCTTACTATATTTTGGAAGACTAAAATGTCCTTTATTTTATATAATGATAGTAATAATCTATAAATAGTTAGGCCGGGTACAGTGGCTCATGCCTGTAATCCCAGCACTTTGGGAGGCCAAGGTGGGTGGATCATGAGGTCAGGAGATCGAGACCATCCTGGCCAACACGGTGAAACTCCATCTCTACTAAAAATACAAAAAATTAGCCGGGCGTGGTGGCGGGCGCCTGTAGTCCCAGCTACTCGAGAGGCTGAGGCAGGAGAATGGCGTGAACCCAGGAGGCGGAGCTTGCAGTGAGCTGAGATTGCGCCACTGCACTCCAGCCTGGGTGACAGAGCGAGACTCCATCTAAAATAATAATAATAATAATAATCTACAAATAGTTTTTTTCAGCATCCTCATCAGCCCATATCAACTCTCCCATTAAAAAATATTACTCATTTGGCCAGGTACAGTGGCTCAGGCCTCTAATCCCAGCACTTTGGGATGCCAAGGTGGGCAGATCACTTGAGGCCAGGAGTTAAAACCAGCCTGGCCAACATGGCGAAACCCCATCTCTACTAAAAATACAAAAATTAGCCAGGTGTGGTGGCACATGCCTGTAGTCTCAGCCACTCTGGAGGCTGAGGATCACTTGAACCCAGGAGGTGGAGGTTGCAGTGAGCCAGAATCACGCAATTGCACTCCAGCCTGGGCAACAGAGCAAGACTCTGTCTCAAAAAGTAAAAAAAGGTCGAGTGCGGTGGCTCACACCTGTAATCCCAGCACTTTGGGAGGCTGAGGCGGGTAGATCACAAGGTCAGGAGATTGAGACCATCCTGGCTAACACAGTGCCACCCCATCTCTACTAAAAATACAAGAAATTAGCCGGGCATGGTGGCATGCACCTGTAGTCCCAGCTACTCAGGAGGCTGAGGCAGGAGAATCACTTGAACCCAGGAGGTGGAGGTTACAGTGAGCCGAGATCGTGCCACTGTACTCCAGGCTGAGAGGTGGAGGTTGCAGTGAGCCGAGATCACACCACCGCACTCCAGCCTGGGCGACAGAGCAAGACTCAGTCTCAAAATAAATACATTAATTAGTTAATTAATTAAATTTTTTAAAAATTACTCATTTATGAAATCTGGGAGCCACTGACACTGCTTTGTGATGCAGAAAGCCCTTTTGTATTACTTATTCCTCTTAGAGGTTTGGGACTTTCACCCCCACCCGACAACCTCTGGGGAGGGGAGAGGGACTAGAATGTCAAATTGATCACCAATGGTCAATAGTTTAATCAATCATGCCTACATAATGAAGCCTCCATGAAAAACCCGAGAGGATTGGGTTTGGAGAGCTTCCGCATAGCTGAACACATGGAGGTTCCTGGATGGTAGCCCCCAAGGAGGGCATGGAAGCTCCCTCCCTTTCTCCCATACCTTGTCCTATGCAGCTCATCATCTGCATCCTTCGTACTATCCTTTACAATAAACCAGTCATTATAAGTAAGTGTTTTCCCAAGTTCTGTGAGCCACTCCAGCAAATTAATCAAACCCAAAGAGGAGGTCAAGGAAACCTCAACTTGAAGCCCATCTGTCAAAAGTTCTGGAGGCCCAGACTTGTGACACTATCTCCAGGTAGATAGTGTCAGAATTGAATTAGAGGACACCCAGCTGATGTCTGCTGCAGCACTGATGGGGAGAGCCCCTCCCACACACACAGAAGTCTTCTTCTGTGTGGATGATTATTGTGGTGTGAGAGCAGAGAAAAAATGGTTTGAGTTTTCTCCAAGCAAAAATCATCTCCGAATTGGGGGTTGGGAGGTTTCTAGGGCACCTCAAGTGCATAGCTGGAGTGAGGGTAATAGCAGGTCCGGCCAGATCCCGGGAGAAGAAAGAGGTGGTCTGAGAGGCCCCCAGGGATGGCAGCAGGAGCCAGACTGCAAGGATCTAGGGACAGGTCAAGCAGTGTCAAACTCCCCTGAGGGTTTCCCTGACAGGGATGAGAAGTCCTGTTCTGGGGCCCCTCCCCCGGTAGAGGGTCTGCTGCCTGGGGCTGCGAGGCAGCCCAATGCGCAGGCGTGGGGCAGGGTCTGGTGTAACTGAAGGTCCTGCCTTGCCTTTGGAAGAGTCCCACTATAGCAGCCCGTCCTCGCATTGACCTCCCACCCTCTACCCACGCCTTGCTGTTGTCTCATTTCTTCCAGAAGCGCCAAGAACCAGAACCAGAACAGCCACCCAGACCAGAGCCCCATGAATTAGGTCCCCTCAATGGGGACACAGGTGAGTAGCCAGCCCCACAAAGGCCCCAACTGCCATCTGTGAGGTTCCTACCTTATAATCAACACAGATGATACAGCTGCTGAAATATCTCATGAGATCTCAGATAGGTTACCTTAATAGGAGTATCGTGTCTAAAATCAGGGAGGTAATTAATAGTCCTGACCTGTGCTTCCCTATTCTAGGCTGTTGATACCACACCTAGAGTGCTATATATGTTTCTGGAAAATACATTTTTAGAGGAATCCAGAAAAAAATTGGAGGGAGTACAATGGAACAAGATCAGACTGGTGAAGAATCTGGAAAACATGTCCTATAAGGAACAGTTAAAGGAACAGAGAATGTTCATCTGGAAAGAAGATGTCACCATAGGGAGGGAGGGAGGGAGGGAGGGATGGGAGCAAGAGTTGAAAAACTGTTGGGTACTATGCTTAGTACCTGGGTGACAGGATCATTTGTACCCAAAACTCAGCATCACCCAATATACCCAGGTAATGAATCTGCATGCGTACCCCTAAATCTAAACAAAAGTTGAAAAAGAAAAATATATACATATATATAAAATAAGTTAAAATCAATTTTAATTTGTAATGGATCATGTGGGAACCTTCTAACTTGAATATCTAATTTTCTTTTTCAAATGAGTAGAGCTAAATACAATGAAATAATATTTGTTTTCTTTTCTTTGAAATGTCCATGGTACGAAAATAAAAATTACTACATCCAGAAAAAAAATATATGTTGCCATAAAACAACAGTTTTCTCCACATGTCTGAAGTGTCCTAATGGAGAAGAAAGATGAGCCTTGTTTAGTGTGATACAGAGGTCAGTATTAAGGCCTCAGGGTAGCAGCAACATGCAGGCAGAATTCAACACAATCTCAAAGAATTTTTTGTGTGGTTGTTGATTTAAAATCATCAGAGCTACCTGGTAATAGGAGGAGCTCCCTATCTCTGAACGTGTTTAGTTACAGCCTAGAGGCTGTTGGGAATATTGTGGGTGAAGTTCAAGTACCGCATAAGTAATTGGACCACAAAATCCAATCTGATTATATATAAGAATTATCCAGGCCAGGTGCGGTGGCTCTTGCCTATAATCCCAGCACTTTGGGAGGCCAAGGTGGATGGAATGCTTGAGCCCAAGAGTTCAAGATCAGACTGGGCAATATGGTGAAACCCCGTCTCTACCAAAAATACACACACAAAAAACTAGCCTGGAGTGGCGGTGTGCCTGTAGTCCCAGCTACTTGGGAAGCTGAAGAGGGAGGATCACCTGAGCCAAGGAGGTTGAGGCTGTGGTGAGCTGTGATCACACCACTGCACTCCAACCTGGGCAACAGAGCAAGACCCTGTCTCAGAAAAAGAAAAATTACCTGGAGAACTTCAAAGATGCAGATTCTAGGGACCTACCACAGACCAACTAAATAAAAATCTCAGATTTGTATTATATATATATAGTATATATATTTTATTTATTAGTATATATACTATATATACGATATATATTTTATATATATACTATATATACGATATATATTTTATATATATACTATATATGATATATATTTTATATATATACTATATATACGATATATATTATATATACTATATATATTTTATTTATTAGTATATATATACTATATAGATTTTATTAGTATATATTATATATACTATATAGATTTTATTAGTATATATAATATATATACTATATATATTTTATTATATATACTATTTTTTATATATACTAAATATGCAGAAGCTGCATATTTAGTACATATATATAACTAAATATATATATTTACTAATATATAAATATATATATTTACTATATATTAAATATGTATATTTACTAAATATATATATATTTATTTTTTATTTTTATTTTTATTTTTTTGAGACGGAGTTTCACTCTTGTTGCCAGGCTGGAGTGTAGTGGCAGGATCTTGACTCACTGCAACCTCCGCCTCCCAGGTTCAAGCAATTCTCCTGCTTCAGCCTCCCGAGTAGCTGGGATTACAGGCGCCTGCCACCATGCCCACCTAAATTTTTTTGTATTTTTGGTAGAGACGGGGCTTCACCATGGCCAGGCTGGTCTCGAACTCCTGACCTTAAGTGATCTGCTCACCTCGGCCTCCCAAAGTGCTGGGATTACAGGTGTGAGCCATCGCGCCTGGCCTACATTTCCTTTTGTGCACAAGCAAGCAGGATAAGGTGGTAGTTAGGAGTATTTGCTGTGGAAACAGATTGTGTAGGTTCATATCCCTGCTCCCTTAATTTTGAACTGGGTGACTTTGAACAAGTTGCATGACTCCTCTGAGCCTCAGCTTCCTCGTCTGTAGCATGGGGGTAATAATATTACTCACGACTATAGGGTAGCTGTGAGGAGCAGGTGAGTCATCCCTCTGAGGCACTTGGAACAGTGCTGGACATGTTGCAGGCATGGTAAGCTCTCAGTCCTCCTATCCTGCTTTTACTATTTTTATTGCCATTGTTTCCTGATTTAATCATCTCAGCCTCACTCATGTGGTAGGTGCCATAATTATCCTGATCCCATGTATTAGGTAACTGAGGCACAGAGAGGATGGCCACTGCCTTAGGTCATACCTAGTATCTGATAGACTCAGTGTGGCATTGGCAGGTCCTGTTTTGGAGTTTCCCGAAGCAGGGGCTAGACTTCCTGTTTGTGTTTCCTTCCTGCTCTCAAGTAGCACCCTCTACTACCAGCTGAGGAGACGCTAAAGGTGAGGGGCCACAAACTCAGATGCTCATGGGCCCCAGCAGGTAAAGCAAATGACATGTGGCCCTTTGTATACATTTTTAATAACAGCAGGAGGTGAAGACTATAGCCAACTGCAGAGCCCTATCCTGGCCGGCCAAAGAGGAGGCAGCTGCTTCTGGCTCCAGCCCCTGGTTGACATGAAGGCATACATTGCCAGTTCTTCTTTGGATTCTTCAAGAAAAATTGGAAATCAGAATTATTAAGTAAAAGCTTCCCAGTTATTAAGTATCAACAACTAATTTTTAAATTATTATTATTATTTTAGAGACAGGATCTCGCTCTGTTGCGCAGACTGGAGTGCAGTGATGCAGTCATAGCTTACTGCAGCCTTGAACTCCTGTGCTCAAACCATCCTCCTGCTTTGGTCTCCCTAGTAGCTGGGACTGCAGGTGCATGCCATCATGCCCAGCTTTTTTTTTTTTTTTTTTTTTTTTAGAGATAGGGTCTCACTATGTTTCCTAGTCTGGTCTCCAACTCCTGGTCTCAAGTGCTCCTCCCACCTCAGCCTCCCAAAGTGCTGGGACTACAGGTGTGAGCCACCATGTCTGGCCAGCGACTAATTTTTTAAAAAATGGGGTAGAACAGGGAGACCAGAGGACAAAATGAGACCATTGGCTTATTCCTTGAAAGAGGATCTCCAAGTCCAAAGAGACTCGAGGGGCTGTCTCTGGAGACTGGTCCCACTCGAAATCATTCTTGAGGCAGAGACCAGAAGACAAAATGAGACCATTGGCTTATTCCTTGAAAGAGGATCTCCAAGTCCAAAGAGACTCGAGGGGCTGTCTCTGGAGACTGGTCCCACCCGAAATCATTCTTGAGGCAGAGACCAGGGTTCTCATCCCTTAGCCCCATTTCCCACACTCTCTCTGCCAGCTCTGACTGTACTTCCACTCTGTGAGTTTTTTTATTTTTATTTTTTTGCTTTTTCATCTCTAGCTATAACTGTCCAGCTCTGTGCATCAGAGGAGGCTGAGCGGCACCAGAAGGATATAACCAGAATTCTCCAGCAACATGAGGAGGAAAAGAAGAAATGGGCACAACAGGTAAGTCCAGGTGCCCCCACCCCCTGTCTTTCTCCTGCTCAGCTAACTTTGGTGAATCCCAGAGTGAGTGCCTACCTTAGGTTTTTGTTGCTGTTGTAAGAGTCCCTTACTCATTTTACCAGGAAGGGAGTCCTTTATCTGTTGAACACATATTTTTATCAGGGCACTGTGTGCTGGGCACATTGGTTAAAACAAGCAGAGCTGGCAGCTGCTTTCACGAAGCTGAGAGTCTATTTGGGAAGAGTAAAAGCTGTTGATGCCACTAGATTAATTGCCTTTCTGGGCCCACCTCATGGTTGGGTGGGACCACGGAACTCGTTCTGGCTGATGCGTTATAGAAAGAAGAACCAGTGTCACTTCTAGGGCAAGCATTTAGTTGCCAGTTCAAGACCCTCAAGGTCTTTCTGTCTAGCTAAGTGACGGGACTGTTGTAATGGCCGCTCTATCAGCCTGATCTCTGGGTGATTATCCCTGGATAATCCTGGATAATCCCTGGCAGCAGAGCTCCCTGCCACACAAAATGGGTAGGTAGTGAGGGCAAAATAAACATTTTGTCTTAAGCCACTGAGACTTTGTCATTGTTTGTTATGGCAGCATAATTTAGCTTATATGACTGAGATGGGACATCAGATGCTAAACACAATTACACAGAAATACTTACTGCAAATATAAGTGCTATGAAAAGTTTACAGTGCCGTGAAAGGACATAATAGAACCCTTAACCAAGGCTGTGGGATCAGAGAAGGCTTCTCTAAAGGGATGACACGGAGGCTTTAAAATTACCCAGAAATGAAAATTGAGGGACATTCTACAGAATTTCCAGCCTATATTAGTCAAATGTCAAGGCCATGAAACATGAGGAAAGACTGGGGAACAATTCTAGATTGAAGGACACTAAAGTGATGGGATGACTGAATGTAACCTGCAGCCCAGGATTTCCTTTTCCTCATTCTAACTTGGTCACTCACCCTTCACCTCTCTTTGCCTCCATTTCTTCCTTTACCAGAGGGAATGGGTAGAGCAGCAGGAAAGATTTGGTGGTGTACACAAGTTTTCTCTAAATTTTCTTTAGTTTAAATTATAAATATGAAATATGTTCAGGGTAAATATTCAAAATTCTGAAATTTAAAGTCACTGCTTTAAGATAGATCTGGGCCAGGCATGCCTATAATCCTAGCACTTTGGGAGGCCGAGGCAGGCAGATCACCTGACGTCAGGAGTTCGAGAACAGCCTGGGCAACATGGCGAGACCACCGTCTCTACAAAAATACAAAAATTAGCCCAGCCTGGTGGCACATGCCTGTAATCCCAGCTACTTGGGAAGCTGAGGCAGGAGAATCACTTGAACCTGGGAGGCAGAGGTTGCAGTGAGCTGAGATCTCACCACTGCACTCTTGCCTGGGTGGCAGAGCAAGAATCCATCTCAAAAAAAAAAAAAGTCTCCGTAGTTATAAACTAATCACTCTATTAAATCACATGGTTATTTATTACTGAAAGATTTTCTGCTAGATTTTATTCACCCAGTCGACTTGCTGGGGGAGATTACTATGTGCGGGGAGGGTGCGGCCTCAGCACTGCCAGGGGTACAGGGAGAAATCGGGTCCAGACCCTGCCCTCAGGTGTTCGCTGGGTGGAAGGCTGTGGCAAGTGCCCCCACACACATTAAAATGGTTTTAGCTTAGACGCATTTTTCAGAAACACACCTTTTATGAAAGGTAAGTTAACTGTATGCAGCTGCTGGTCTTTAGTTTGTTTTGGTAGAGTTACCATGGTAATGTCATTTGGCCCTGACCATTACCTGTGGAATCCTTAACCTTGAGACTTGTAAGGGCCCCAGGTATTGTCAAGTTGAGTCCCTTCATTATACAGTGGAGGGAGCTCATTACCCAGGAACTCAGTGGTATGCTGGGGCTAGAATGCCTAATTTAAGTCATGCCTTGCCTCTGGATATGCCCCATCAGCTGTACCTTACAGGTGGCAAAGGGACTGGAAAACATCTCAAGTGGGGGACAATGAGAATGGCTGGGAGGGTTCAGCCTGGGGAAGAGAAATGTTGGGAATATGGGCCACTATGCTCAGATCTCTGAGGGGCTGCCTGGGTTGAGGGAACAGTCTGGCTCTGTGTGACCCCAGAGGGCAGATCTGGGACCTGATGGTAGAAGTTGGAGGTCACTTGAAACAGTAAGCCTTACGCAAGCAGAGAAACACCATGGGAGGCTTCCTGCCTTGAGGAAGCATCAGGATTAGAATACTCCTAAATCCTTTTCCATGTGGATAATTACATGGGAACCCCCTGCTAAACCCTAAAGAAGGCAAATTCTGCCACGCTTGCTGTGTCTTGGAAGTCTTGTGTCCTTTCTGGGCGTGTCATTCCCATCCCTCAGAGGAAGGGTTAGGACTCTGGTCACCAAGTTCCACGTAGGCCCAGGTGAGGGGATAAGAGATGCTGTGCTGATCCTGCTCAATCTCAGTCCTGCCCGGGACTCTCTGCCCCCAGGTGGAGAAGGAAAGGGAGCTAGAGCTTCGAGACAGACTGGATGAGCAGCAAAGGGTCCTGGAAGGAAAGAATGAAGAGGCCCTGCAAGGTAAGGGTAGAGATGTTCCACTGGCCAAGGTGGTGGGGGGTGCTTCCTTCTGGCCCCACCTGCCCAGTTCACCTGGGCACTCCCACTGTTCCCTCCCTGTCTGTCTGATCCACAAGCAATTGACTCAAATCTACAGGATCCTTGGCCCTAGAGGGTTGATGGACTTTTCCTTTGGGGCATGGATTTAAGAGGCTGGCATCAACCTTTCTTTTTCCTTATTTGAGAGGTATTTTTTTCTTTCCATTTAAAAAGCAATCCATATTTATTAAGGGAAATTTGGAAAACCCAGACAAATAGAAGAATTTTTAAATACACATATTCCATCCCCACGATGATGGTAGCTCTTATTTATTGTTAGATTGATTATTTTGAAAAATGACTTTCTTTCCTCTTATATCACCAAAGGTGATCATCACAGAAAATTTGGAAACTGTAGATTAGACAAAAAGATCTTACAGCACAGTGGTTAACGTCTCATTCTTGGCTGGGCATTGTGGCTCACGCCTGTATTCCTGGCACTTTGAGAGTCCAAGGTGGATAGATTGCTTGAGCCCAGGAGTTCAAGACTAACCTGGGCAACATAGCAAGATGCTGTCACTATTAAAAATAAATAGATAGATAGATAGATATCAAACTTTCCAGTTTGGTAAGATAGATAGATAGATAGATAGATAGATAGATAGATAGATAGATAGATAGATAGATCAATCTCATTCTCTAGAGCTCCAGTCCCTGGGTCTAAACTTCAGCCCCACTGCTTACCAGCTCTGTAACCTTGAAGAAGTTACTTTACCTCCCTAATAGGTTGTTTGTAAGAATTAAACAATTTAATGATAGATAGACCGAGATAGAATTTAGAACAGTGCAAGTTACTTAGCAATAATTCTTAGCACTGATTTTATTATTGAGAAAATTTAAATCATAATTCCACCCAGAGTTAGCCACTGTTACCCCTTTGAAATAGATTCCTTCCATTTCTTTTTCTGTAATATACATAGAATATACATCTATACACACACACTTTGGGGTGAGGAAGTGAATTATTTTTTCCACTTTGTGTTGCATTAGCATCCTGTCATTAAACTCTTCTATACCAAGAGTTTTAGTAACTACATAGCATTCCAATATGCACCCTTGTTCATTTAACTGAGTCCCTTTGTTAGGCATTTAGGTAATTTCAAGATTTTTCTCATTGTCTATAACAGCAATGATACTTACATAATCAACCCCGGTTTTATAACATCTTTGTCACATTCATGATTTCAGCATTAGAATAACATCCTAATAGAATTGGTGTGGTAAAGTTTATGTATATCTATTTTTTATTTTGGTAAAATAGACATAAGATTTACCATTAGTGACATTTAATACATTCACAGTGCCATCACCCCAAAAGGAAACTCCCACCCACCGAGCAGGCACTTTTTTTGTTTGTTTTGTTTTTGTTTTTTTTGTTTTGTTTGT
This sequence comes from Homo sapiens, assembly GCF_000001405.40. Classification (NCBI taxonomy): domain Eukaryota; kingdom Metazoa; phylum Chordata; class Mammalia; order Primates; family Hominidae; genus Homo; species Homo sapiens. The sequence continues at coordinate 151,197,532 of NC_000005.10, read as the reverse complement.
TTGTTTGTTTGAGACAGGGTCTCGCTCTGTTGCCCAGGCTGGAGTACAGTGGCACGATCTCGGCTCACTTCAACCTCCGCCTCTTGGGCTCAAGCAGTCCTTGCCCCTCAGCCTTCTGAGTAGCTACAGGCGCGTGCCACCATGCCCAGCTAATTTTTATATTTTTTTGTAGAGATGGGGTTTTGCCATGTTTCCCAGGCAGATCTCAAACTCCTGGGCTCAAGTGATCCGCCCACCTCGGCCTCCCAAAGTGCTGGGATTACAGGCATGAGCCATTGTGCCCAGCCTAAGCAGTCACTTCTTATCTTACCACTAGCCCCTGGCAACCACCAATCCACTGTCTGTCTCTATGGCCTTGTCCATTCTGGACACGCATATAAACGGGATTGTATAACCCACATGATCACCCACATCTGACTTCTTTCACCTTGGAATGTTTTCACCTTGAAATGTTTCCAGGGCTCATCTGTGTTGCAGCATGCATCTACACTTTGTTTCTTTTTACGGCTGGGTAATTTGCCATTGCACAGACACACCACACTCTACCCATTCATCATCAGTTGATGGACACCTAGGCTGCCTCCACCATTTAGCCACTGTAAATAGTGCCACTAGTACAGGCACCTACTTGAACAGCTGTTTTCAGTTCCCCCTGGGTGTACACCCAGGAGAATTGCTGGGTCATACGATCATTCTGTGCTTAACTTTTTGAACAACTGCCAAACTGTTTTCCACAGGGGCTGTACCACTTTATGTTCCCATCAGCAACCCACAAGAGTTCCAATGGTGGCACATCCTTTTCAACACTTGTTATTTTCTGCAACACCTGTTGCTATCCTAGTGCACATAAAGTGGTTTCGCATTGTGGTTGTGATTTGCATTTCCCTAATGCCTAATTCTGTTGAGCATCTTTTCATGTGCTTCTTGGTGACTTGTGTATCTTCTCTGGAGAAGGTTATGTATATTACTGATGTTACTGAAATTGACCTTGAAAATGCTTTACTGATTTTTCCTTTCATCATGAGTATTCGCATGGCCTTTCCCCAGAATTATTTATCTTCTTAAAACATGGCTGTGGCTGGGTGCAGTGGCTCACACCTGTAATACCAGCACTTTGGGAGGCCGAGGCGGGTGTATCACAAGGTCAGGAGTTCGAGACCAGCCTGGCCAACATGATGAAACCCCGTCTCTACTAAAAAATAAAATTAGTCTGGTGTGGTGGTGTGCACCTATAATCCCAGCTACTCAGGATACTGAGGAGGCTGAGGCAGGAGAATTGCTTGAACCCGGGAGGCAGAGGTTGCAGTGAGCCAAGATCTCACCACTGTACTCCAGCCTGGGTGACAGAGCAAGACTCCATCTAAAAAACAAAACAAAACAACAAAACACATGGTTGTGATTATTTTGTACGTAAAAGTGTATATCCTGTTCTTTTCATTTAACATTGTATCAAATATGTTTCCAAGTAATTATGCTGCTACTAAAATGTTTATAAAGGCAAGACCGTAAAGTACATGGCTTTCCTTATTTCTTGTGAGTCTAGACCTCTAGATCTCAAAACAGCTTTTGCATAATGTTGCCGGTATTTCACATTATGTCCTTAGATTTACCCAGATGGAATAACTAGAACAGAGGTCTGAATGATTTTAAGAATCTTGAAACATATTGCAACATTAGCACACATTATTGCAAACATTGTGAAATGGAATTAAAGTCCTTGCCTGGAAATTGAAGAATTGTGGTTTTGTGGGTGTGGGTGTGTGTGGGTGTGTGTGTGGGTGTGAGTGTGCGTGTTTTTTTTTTTTTTTTTTTTTGAGATGGAGTCTCACTCTGTCCCCCAGGCTGGAGTGCAGTGGCATGATCTCGGTTCACTGTAACCTCCGCCTCCCGGGTTCAAGTGATTCTTCTGCCTCAGCCTCCCGAGTAGCTGGGATTACAGGCACCTGCAACCACGCCTGGCTAATTTTTGTATTTTTAGTAGAGACAGGGTTTCACCATGTTGGCCAGGCTGGTCCCGAATTCCTGACCTCATAATCCGCCTGCCTCGGCCTCCTAAAGTGCTGAGATTACAGGCGTGAGCCACCTCGCCCAGCCGAAGAATTGTGTTTTAATAATACCATACCCTGTTGAACTGGGGCTATCACTCAACCTCCTTGAATCTTGGTTCAGTTTCTCTATCTCTAAAATCTACCTTCTGTACCTCACAAGACTTTATGGGAAAACAACTTTATTCTCCAAGCATTGCTTTGATATTATTTTTAGCGTTACAAATATATTAATAAGAAGAATTTCCTACTGTAACACCCAGGGGAGAAGAGATTGCCTGTCTTGAGTTTTTCCCATTAGTCAGAATTCTTCTATAGTTATTTTTAAATTGTTTGGCACATACTAAGTGCTACATAAGTCTATAATGAATGAATGAAAGCACAGGATGGTGGAAATATATGACATTTTATATGTATGGGGAGAGGTACACAGATAACCAGGAGAGACTAGTGGTGATTTTCCACATTCGATGACCCTTTGCTGTCTTTTTTTTATTTTTTAAATTATCATATAGTAAAATTGACTCTTTTTGAGGGGATGTGCATTTTCATAAATTCTAATGCATGTATAGATTCTTTTTTTTTTTTTTTTTTTTGAGATGGAGGCTCGCCCTGTCACCCAGGCTGGAGTGCAGTGGCGTGATCTCGGCTCACTGCAACCTCCGCCTCCCGGGTTCAAGCAATTCTTTGCCTGAGCCTCCCGAGTAACTGGGATTACAGGCACGTGCCACTATGCCCAGCTAATTTTTGTATTTTTAGTAGAGACAGTGTTTCACCATCTTGGTCAGGCTGGTCTTCAACTCCTGACCTCGTGATCCACCCGCCTTGGCCTCCCAAAGTACTGGGATTACAGGTGTAAGCCACCGCGCCCTGCCGCATGTATAGATTCTTGTAACCATCGCCACAATCAGGATACACAACAGTTTTATCACTCCCAAAAAGCCGTCTCAAAATACCCTTGTATTCACATCCTTCTCCCACCCTAACCCCTGGCAATTACTGATCTGTTCTCCATCTCTGTAGCTTTGTCTTTTCTAGGCTATTACATAAATGAAATAATACAATATGATTTTTTATATTGGCTTCCTTCATGCATCACGATGCCTTTGACATTCATTCCAATTGTTGCATATCTCAATAATTCATACATTTTCATTGTGGAGTTATATTCCATTGTTTACTCATTCACTGTTGCAGGACATTTGAGGCAATTATGAATAGAGCTGTTCTAACATTCATGTGCAGGCTTTGTGTGGACATAGGTTTTCATTTATCTTGGGTGAATACACAGGAGTGGGATAGGTCATATGATAAATGTATGTTTAGCTTTATGAGAAACAGCTAAACTGTCTTCCAGAGTGACCACTATTTTATATCACCATCTGTGATGTATGAGTTATACCGTTGCTACTTCATGCCAATACTTGCTGTCACTGGTTTTTTATTTTAGCTGTTCTAATAGGTGTGCAGTAATCTTCACCATAGGTTTAATTTACATTTCAATAACAACTCATGTGCTTATTTGCTGTCTACATATCCTCTTTGGTCAAATGTGTGTTCAGGTCTTTTTCCCATTTAAATTAACTTGCTTGTCCTTACTGTGGAGTTTTGAGATATCTTTATATATTTTGGACAAGAGTTCTTTGTATTTGCACATATTTTCTCCTAGCCAGTGGGGTGATTTTTTTCATTCTGTTAATAATGTCTTTCACAAAGCCAAGCTTTTAATTTTGATAAAGTCCAATTTATTTTTTTCTTTGATTATACTTCTTATGTCATGTCTGTGAACTCTTTGCTAAACCCCAGGTAACAAAGATTTTCTTCAATGTTTTCTTCCAAAGCCTTATGGTTTTATATTTAGATCTAAGATCCATATAATCATGTGGTCTTTCTTTCTCTCTCTCTTTCTTCTTTCTTCCTCTTTTTTCCCTCTCCTCTCCTCTCCTGTCTTCTTTTTTCTTTTCTTTTCTTTCCAACAGGATGTCACTCTGATGCCCAGGCTGGAGTGCAGTGGTGCTATCTTGGTTCACTGCAGCCTCCACCTCTGGGGCTCAGGTGATCCTCCCACTACAGCCTCCCAAGTAGTTGGGACTATAGTGCACATCACCATGCCTAGCTAATTTTTTTTTTTTTTTTTTTTTTTTTGTAGAAATGAGTTTTTGCCATGTTGCCCAGCCTGGTCTCAAACTCAAATGAACCACTGGCCTTTCCCTCCCAAAGTGCTGGGATTGCAGGTGTGAGCCACCGCATCTGGCCTGGTTTTTCTTTAGATGGTTAATATAGTGGATTACATTTGTTTGAGTTTTCAAATATAGTTATCCCTAGGTATCCATGGGGAATTGATTCTCGGACCCACTTTGGATACCAAAATCTGCAAATGCTCCAGTCACTTATATAAAATGGCGTATTATTTGCATATAACCTATGTACATCCTTCCATACATTTTAAATCATCTCTAGATTCCTTATAATACCTAATACAATGTAAAAGTAAGGTGAATAGTTGTTAGACTGTATTTTTATTTGTATTATCTTTTATTGTTGTTTGGTATTTTTTATTTTTATTTTTTCAAATTTTTTTTATCCACACTTGGTTGAATCTGAGGATGGGAAACCTGCAAATACAGAAGGCTGACTGCATTGAACTAGCCTTGCATTCCTGGCATAAGCTCCACTTGGTTGTGTTATATTACTCTTTTTATGTATTGCTGAATTTGATCCTCTAATGTTTTACTGAGAATGTTTGTGTCTATGTTCATGAGGAATATTGGCCTGTAGTTTTCTTACACTATCTGGTTTTAGTATCAGGATAAAGCTTGCCCCATGTAGTAATGTCCCCTCATCTTCTCTTTCTGGGAGAGATTATATAGAATTGGTGTTATATCGTTTTTAAATGTTTAATCGAATTTTTCAATGAAATAATCTGTGCTTGGGCATGTCTTTCAAAGTGTTTAACAACAAATTCAATTTCTTTTTAATATTTAAAGGAATTTCAGGTTATATACTTCACCTTGGGTGAGTTTTGGTCATTTTTTTTTTTTGAAGAATTGTTACATTCATCTAAGTTGTTGAATCTAGGTGCATAGGATTGTTCAGCATATTTCCTTAATATCATTTCATATATCTGCTGTGTCTGTAGTGATATTTCATTCCTGATATTGGTCATGTGTATGTTCTCTCTTTTCTTTGTCAGTCTTGCTTGAGGTTATCAATTTTATTAATTATTTCAAAGAACCAGCTTTTGGTTTCATTGATTTCCCCACCCACCCCCCTTATTTTACCATTTTCCATCTCACTGGTTTCTGTTATTTTCATTTCCTTCCTTCTGTGTGCTTGCTTTATATTTGGTTAGCTTTTTTTTTTTTTTATTTCTTTTCATTCTTTTTTTTTTTTTTTTTTTCCTGAGACAGGGTTTTGCTCTGTCTCCCAGGCTGGAGTACAGTGTCATGATCATAGCTCAGGGCAGCCTCAAACTCCTGGAATCAAGCAATCTTCCCACCTCAGCCTCCTGAGTAGTTGAGACTATAGGTACCCCACCACACCTAGCCAGCTAATTTTTAAATTTTTAACAGAGGCAGGTCTCTCTATGTTACCCAGGCTGGTCTCAAATTCCTGGTCTCAGCAGTCCTCCTGACTCCGCCTCTCAAAGTGCTGGGATTACAGGTGTGAGTCACTGGGCCTGATACCTTTTCCTGATTTCTTCAGCTTAGAATATTGATTTGAGACCTTTCTCCTTTTCTAATATAAACATTTAAGCTATAAATTTTCTCCTAAACTCTGCTTTACCTGCATCCTACATATTGATGGTTTTATTTTCATTTTGTTGAGTTCAAAATATTTTCAGTCTTATTTTCCTTGAGACTTCCTCTCTGGCATTGAATATGTGGAAGTGCATTTCCAAGTGTTGGGAGATTTTCTGGTTCTCTTTCTGTTATTTGATTTCCAGTTTGATTGCATTACAGTCAGAGAACATAGTTTGTATTTTGCTGCTTTTATAGTTTGTTAAGGTTTGTTTCATGACTCAGGGTATGGTCGATCTTGTTTCATGTATACTTGAAAGGAATGTGTATTCTGCTATTGTTGGGTTGAGTATTTTAGATATAAATCAATTAGATAAAGTTTGGTTAATGTTAGTATTCAGTTCTATATTCTTGCTGATTTTCAGGCTGTTTTATGTGGAATGCTGAGGAGTGTTGAAGTCTCCAATTATAATGCATATTTGTCTATGTCTCCTTTCAGTTCTTTATCTGCAAATCATATAGCTACTATGACTTTCTTTTGATTAGTGTTTCTTTTTCCACCCTTTTACTTATTACCTACCTATAACATCTATTTACAGTGGGTTTCTTGTAAATAGCACGTAGTTAGTTGGTGGGTGGTTTTTTTTTTTAATTTCAACTTTAATTTTAGATTCAGGACACACATGCAGGTTTGTTACACGGGTATAGTACATGATGCTGAGGTTTGGGGTATGAATGATCCCATCAGGTGGGTTTTTAAAAACCCATTCTGACATACTCTGTGTTTTATTTGGTATGTTTAAGCCATTTAATTTACTGTTGTTATTGATAATGTTGATGTTCATAATGTTGGGTTGAAGTCTACCATTTTAGGATGTGTTTTCTGTTTGTTCTCGCTGATCTTTATCCTCTGTTTTCCCTTTCCTGCTTTTTTTTTGAGTATTTGAACATTTTTTAGTGTTCCATTTTAACTTATTTATTGTCTTTCTTACTGTATCTCTGTATTTTTTTTAATGGTTACTCTAAGAATTACAATATACTTAACAATCTACTTAGAGTTCCTTTTTTTTTTTTTTTTTTTTGAGACAGAGTCTTGCTCTGTCACCCAGGCTGGAGTGCAATGGCATGAGCTGGGCTCATTGCAAACTCTGCCTCCTGGGTTCAAGCGATTCTCCTACCTCAGCCTCCCAAGTAGCTGAAATTACAGGCACCCACCACCAGGCCCAGCCAATTTTTGTATTTTGGGTAGAGACCGGGTTTCACCATGTTGGCCAGTCTGGTCTGGAACTCCTGACCTCAGATGATCCACCCACCTTGGCCTCCCAAAATGCAGGGATTACAAGTGTGAGCCACCACGCCCGGCCTGAAATTGCTATTTTACCACATCTAATGGAATGTAAAAAGCTTACCGTCATGTAGGTTCCTCTGTTCTCTCCCATTTTTGTTACATTTATCTCATGTATTACATCTACATACATCTAATGCCCCATCAGACAAGGTTATAATTTTTGCATTTAATCATCAATCATATTTTAAAGAGCTCAAGGGAAGAACAGTCTATTGTATTTACTTAGGTCTTTACCAGTTCTGTTACTCTTCCTACATTCTTGAAGTTTCAAGTTTCAAGTTTCCCTCTGGTTTCATTTGAAGAATTTCCTTTAGCAATTCTTTTAGAGCAGGTTTGCTGGTGATGAATTCTAAGTGTCCTTCATCTGAGAATGTCTCGATTTAATCTTCTTTCCTGAAGGATATTTTCACTGCATATGGGATTCTGGGCTTTTTGTTATGGTTTTGTACTCCAAAAGAAAGCAGGAAAGAGAAAACAGAGGATAAAGATCAGCGAGAACAAACAGAAAACACATCCTAAAATGGTAGACCTCAACCCAACATTATGAACATCAACATTTTCCAGCAGTTTTTAAATTTTTTTCTTCTGGTCTCTAAGGTTTCTAATGAGAAACACACAGTTATTCAAGCTGTTGTTCCCTATATGTAGTGTACCATTTTTATCTGGTTCCATTCTACACCTTTTCTGTGTCATTAGCTTTTGGAAATGATGTTGTCTGGGTGTGGATTTCTTTGGGCTTACTTTGGAGTTCAGTGATCTTCTTTAATCTGTAGGTTTATGTTTTGGCAAGTTTGTGGAATATTCAATCATTCTTTCTTCAATTTTTTTTTTTTGCACTGCACCCTTTTTCCTCTAATTCTTTGACTGTGATGATAGTAATGTTAGCTATTTGGGCATTATCTTACAGGTCTCTGAAGCTCCGTTCATTTTTTTTTCTAATCTTTTTTTCTCCTCTATTGTCCAGATCAGATAATTTCTATTGATCTATCTTGAAGTTCACTGGCTCTTTCTTATCATCTCATCTCCATTCTGCTATTGATTTCACCTAGTGAGTTTTTATTTCACTTATTATACTTTTTAGTTCTAAAATTTCCTTTTGGTTCTTCTTAATAACTCTATTTATTTGCTAAGACTTTCTATTTTTCTATTATTCCTAAAAGTATATTCACTCTTACTTTCCTTTTCTCTTTTTCCTTCTTGCCGTCAGTGACAGAACACCCATACTTCTTGGAGTCTTTTTACATTGATTACCATAAAAACTCTGTTAATAATTCCTACATCTATAGGATCTCAGTTTAGGCATCTGTTGAATATCTTTCCTCAAGGGAGTTTTTCTTCTGCTTCTTTTTAGGCTGAGTGATTTTGTATTGTATGCTGAGAAATTTGGGGTTGTATCCTGGACATTTAAAATATCTAAATACGTGAGATTCTGGGTTTGTCTAAATCTGTTGGGTCAGTGGTACTTCAAATTCTGGTCTTCTTGCTCAGTCTGCTGCTACCATTTACTTTTCAGTCTGCAAATAACTGCAGAATTCATTCTGTCCAGGTTTTATAGCTACATTCAGTAGGAAAAACTGGATGGAGTGTGCTTCCTTCATCTTACCTGAAACCAGAACCTGTCTTGATAGGCAAATTAACAAATTAGGCCAATAATTTTAAAAAGTTAAGGCTGTAATTTTTATATGATAAATTGATATTATATATTTATAAATATTATATATTGATAAATTCTTATAAATTTTTTACTACTCTACCACAGTTATATTACTGAACATTATTTTTTTCTTCTTTTTTTTTTGGAGACAGAGTCTCTGTTGCCCAGGCTGGAGTGCAGTGGCGTGATCTCAGCTCACTGCAACTTCTGCCTCCCGGGTTGAAGCCATTCTCCTGCCTCAGCATCCTGAGTAGCTGGGACTACAGGCTTGCACCACCATGCCAAGCTAATTTTTGTATTTTTAGTAGAGACAGAGTTTTGCCATGTCGGCCAGGCTGGTCTCAAACTCCTGGCCTCAAGTGATCCTTCCACCTCAGCCTCCCAAAGTGCTGGGATAATAGGCATGAGCCACCGTGCCCGGCCTTGAACATTATTTTTTTCATCACTGCCAGATACCTGGCTCTTTGGCTGTATTATACTTTCCTGTCTCCTCTGTTCTATTTCCCATTCTGCCCGTTGATTGTCAGTTGCCCATTGTCTTTTTTCAGCTGAGACAAGGTTGGAATTTTCCAAAAGGAACTTTATGAAGGAGATGGGATGATACATACAACTGTATTGATTTGGGGAATGACGATAATTTCAGCTGTGTACAGCACCGCCCTGTCTGTGAAGCCCTTGCACGTCCTTCTCATGTGATCCTCAAATGACCCCTTTGAGACAATCAGATCCAGTTTATTGATCCCATTTCACAGTTGAGGTAACTGGACTTTTAGATGTCTGATATGATCTTCTCAAGGTCTCTCAGTTTCGGAAAGGCAGAGCCAGGACCAGGTGGATTTCCTAGCCACAAATCCAATGTACTTACTGCAGTTTTGTGCTTTAGTTTGACAACTAAGGATTTAATGATTTTGTGATTTCGCTAATCCAGTTTACAAAGCATTGTCCTATGCATTTTCCGTGGCCCGAGGTGGTCTTAGGTGAACATGCTTCCTGCAAGATCTTTGGATCTTAGCTTTAGTGAGGTGTGGATGGCACCCGCAATCTGGTAGCGTTCCTCCCAGGCTATAGTTTATTTCAATTTCCTTGAGGTTTTATTAAATACCTAGTACATTTCTGGCACAGCCCCCAAGCAAGCCTAGGAGACAGAAGGATGAATAAGACCGTTCCTAGACTCCTGGCCTCTATGGGCCCCAGTTAAATATCTGGACCTTCCTGGCCACCAAGGGGCCTGCAGAAGGCTTTGGGGAGAAGTGTCTTGAGCTTATGGAGTTCTCCTTTCCCTACAGTCCTCCGGGCCTCATATGAACAGGAGAAAGAAGCGCTTACCCACTCTTTCCGGGAGGCCAGTTCTACCCAGCAGGTGAGAGGGGCTGGGTCGTGTCAGTCTTGGATAAGGGTAAGTGAGGACCAATGGGAAAGCAGCATGGAGCCCCAAGGCAGCCAAAACTGATTACGTGTGCCTAGGAGTGAGGGGCTGAGGTGATTGCCTTCTGTGTATCCAGGCCCCTTGATGTAGTAACCAGGCTATTAGCTCAAGAGGACTGAGTGTGAAATTGAGTTGGGCCTATTTTTCCAGGGACTGCTGGGGAGATCTTGGAGAGGCATGGGCCAAGTGCCACAGTGTGATTAGATTCATGGGTGGATGCACAGGGACCTGTGGAAGGATGCAGGGAAGCATCTGACTCAATGTGGCTGTGCAGGAAAGATTTCCTAGAGGGAGTGAGATCTAAGCTGGAGTCTGAAGGATGGGTTGGAATTCTTTGGTAAAGAAGGGTAGGAAGGGTGCCTCAGGCAGAAAAAAAGCAATGTGTTCAAAGACATGGAGGAAAAAGGAAAAATATGGAATACCTGAGGAACCGAAAGATGTCCAGGATGCCTGGGGTATGAGTTTCAGTGGGAGAGGGGACTAAGGCTAAGAACGTGAGCAAGGGCCAGAGTGGAAGCCAGTGAGCCACCTTAAGGGGTTGTGCTCTAGCCTAACGGTAGTGGTCACGGTTCAAGTAGAGAAAGTTCTTGGCAGTGAAACAGTTTGGAGATAAGAATGTACCCTGCAGCTGGGGGACTATTGTGATGTTTGGCTGCAGGAGAGGATGTATAGAAGGAGCAGTGAGAGGTGAGCTTGGAAAAATTCATTGAGCCTGGTTTGGATGTGTTTTGAATGCCAGGCTAACAACCATCTTTTATAGCAGGACATTGTTCCCTGCAGTATGGGGAGCCGTTAAAGGCATTAAAGCAAGAGGTGGGGTTGGTATGTTCCTTTCATCTCCTCTCCTTCTCCCTCTCCTTCTCCTTCTCCCTCCCTCTCCTTCTCCTTCTCTGTCCCCCTCCCTTCCCCTCCCTATCTCCCTCCCCCTCCCGTCCCCCTCCCCTCCCCTCCCGTCTTCTTTTCTTTCCTCTTTTCTTTTCTCTTCTTTCTTTCTCTTCCCAGCATGCAATTCTGCACTGTAAGGGCTGGTAGATCTCAAGCAGTGGTCGAAGTATGTTGATGTTGCATTGTCATGTAGAGTAGCCAAAGACAGATTGAAGAACCCAAAACCGTTCTCCCTCTGGGATGTGGCGAAGTTCACCTACAGCATTTATGAGGCAGGCTTTGATTGTCTCCATCCCACTCCCTGCTCCAGGAGACCATAGACAGACTGACCTCACAGCTGGAGGCTTTCCAGGCCAAAATGAAGAGGGTGGAGGAGTCCATTCTGAGCCGAAACTATAAGAAACATATCCAGGTAGGTGGCAGCACCCTGGGCGCTTTTCCTCCTTGAATCTCCAGGGAGGTCAGGGCCGGGCAACAGGAAAGACCAGCCCCTCTTCAAGGACAAGACTCAGACCTGGCACTCTTACCTACACAAGGGCCTGGAAATAAAAGAGTTCCCATTTCACCGATGGGAAAATTAAGGCCCAGAGAGCAGCATCTGGAATAGTAAAGTGCTCACGTTCTGGATTCAGAGAGAACTAGGTGCACATAGCAAACCTGCCACTTAGCACAAGTGACTCAACCTGTCCGAACCACAGTCTCCTCATCTGTGGTGCTAGCACATGTCTCAAAAGGTGATATTCGGATACAGGGAGATAAAGCATATTAAACACTTAACATGGGCTGAGAGAGGAAGGTGGGTGACTTGTGAAAGTCCAACAATGAGTTGCTGGCAGAATGGGGAGGAGGGAGGTAGCCTACTGGCCTAATGAGGTCACTCTGTCCCTGTCTAGGATTATGGGAGCCCCAGCCAGTTCTGGGAGCAGGAGCTGGAGAGCTTACACTTTGTCATCGAGATGAAGAATGAGCGTATTCATGAGCTGGACAGGCGGCTGATCCTCATGGAAACAGTGGTCTGTGACTGGGAGTGGCTGGGGGATGCAGCCTCAGGCTCCCGCTTTCTGGGTGTTTCCTTTGTAAAGCATGCAGAGGGGAGGTGGTTTGAGGAGGTCCCAGCCTAGTTCACTCCAGCTTTGACCTGCCACCTGTGCTGACCACTGAGCATGGTCTGTGGCCAGGCTGGGTCAAGCAGTGGCTCCTTATCATCTGAGTCCTGTGCCTTTTGAGGCTACTGATGTTGCTGTAGCTTGGGTGACACTAGGGCAGGTAGCATTGAGAACACGGGAGGACAGAAGCCTCAGAAACCCTAGGGTTGAATCTAAGCAGAGATTATGTTGCTGTAGAAGTCTCCCTGGCCTCCTGTGTGCCTTACAACTTATAATTAAAAAAATAAAACTAAGGAGTTAACAAAAAGCTGCTGACTTTTAATTTTGCCACATGAGAATGTTTAAAAAAAAAGTCTTACAGGCACTACCATCTCATGTCACCATCCGTTCTTTTCTCAGGAAGGAAAGAGGGTAGGAGGGAGATGGGGAGCCAGGGTGTGTGCCCAGGGAGCCCTGGGGGCTTGAGTCACGTGACATGGAATCACCCACAGGGCTTTATTTTAATCAGATCATCTCAAACATTCCGTATAGATTTTGTTCGCTCATTTTTGTGGAAACACATAACAGACAAACTTAATTTTATTTATATAGATCATATCCTTCTGACTTTTGGAGAACAAAACATATTCTTTCTTCCATGAACTCATGGTGAAATGAGATGGTAGGGCCTGTAATTTTTTTTTACCATTCTCCTGTGGCAAAAAGCCGCAGCCCTTTGTTAACTTTTTAGTTTTACTTTTTTCTAAGTTACCTTATTGCTCCATGAAATGTAACATCTAGTCTAGAATGAATCAGTGCTTTCAGTGACCACAGATAAGAGGGAGGTGACAGCACACATCGTGCAGCGTGAGTTTGGCAGCTTTCTGAGCTCATTCTCATTGTTATAGAAAGAGAAAAATCTGATATTGGAGGAAAAAATTACGACCCTGCAACAGGAAAATGAGGACCTCCATGTCCGAAGCCGCAACCAGGTGGTCCTGTCAAGGTAGCTGTCTTCCTGCCTCCTTTACTCCCATCCCCACCCTTTTTGCCAAAATTCCCAGCTGGGAGAGTCTTAGAGGGGCCTGAGGAATGGACTGACAGGTGGGCCCAGGGCCTATTTAGGGAATGTGGCTCCTCTTTCCCTGGGAGTCAAGAAACCCAAGGGGGCAGTTCTGCTCAGAAACCAAAGTCCCAATGCCTTGATTAGTATCTGTTTGTCTCTGTCCTGGCTGAGTGTACTCTGTGGGAAAGCCCAATATAGGGAGGAGGAAACAGGAAATTTATAGTGCACCAGGCCTAAGTGGAATGAATCAGTTCTTAGGGCTTAGTAAATAAGAGCTAGTATCATGTGTCAGACATAATTTATTGAATACTGTACATATTTTCTCATCTAATCCTCATAATTACTCTAAGAGCTGGGTCCTATTCTTCTTCTTCCCATTTTACAAATGAGAAGACTGAAATTTAAGAAGAATGAATAACTTATTCAAGATTATATAGCTAAGTGGTAGAGCAGAGATTTGAAGCAGCTCAGAACTGCCTGCCTGTCTGTGAGGCCCCCGCTCCTTGGTCAACAGATTGAATTGCCTCTTGTATACAGGCCAACAAGGAGGGCAGTGGGGACCCTGCAGCAGGCTGCTGGTCCATCTAAGGAAGGCTTCCTGGGGGAATGGGTTGGTCTCTGTGGCAGCTGCTCCCAGTAGGCAACCCTGGGCTCTGTGTGCATCCACAGGCAGCTGTCAGAAGACCTGCTTCTCACGCGTGAGGCCCTGGAGAAGGAGGTGCAGCTGCGGCGACAGCTCCAGCAGGAGAAGGAGGAGCTGTTGTACCGGGTCCTTGGGGCCAATGCCTCGCCTGCCTTCCCTCTGGCCCCTGTCACTCCCACTGAGGTCTCTTTCCTCGCCACATAGGGTGCAGGGCCTGGGCCCACCACGACGCCTGAAGTCACAGCTCCTTCCAAGGTTTTTCTGGAGAAGACAGCAGGAGCCTCTCAGTTCTTTTCCAGGAAGGAACGAGGGTGGGAGCGAGATGGAGATCCTGGGTGTGTGCCCAGTGAGCCCTGGGGCCTTGAGTTACATGGAATCACCCACAGGGTTTTGGAGGCCCCGAGAAGCGTCTTCCCTTGAGTTGGCCAAGGGAATAAGCAAGAGGAGACATTTCCTCCCTGCCCCAGCACTCTGTCCCAATCCGAGAAGTTCCGAGGCTTTCCCAGGGGCAGTCTGTGTCACGCTGGCCATTTGACATAAAGGAGACAGCCCCTGGTCCCAGCTTGTCAGCTCTGCTGCCGACTTGCTGACTTATCAACTTCCTCTAGGTGTTTCCACTCCACCCTGGCCTGCTCAGAGCCTCAGTTTACCCCTGCATTAAAATGGTGGGGGGACTGGTCAAAGGACTCTTATGTCACTGCAGTGTCCCATTCTAGGATTGTCTGAAGGCCAGAGTAGGGGTTGGGGGGAGTGTGGACAAACCCCGCAAATCAGAGTGGGGAAGGTGAGTGGTAGAGAGGGGGTCTCTGAAGGCCCTTGGGGCTGACAGGGCCAGGCAGCCTCCCCAGCTGAGGCATCATTCCTGGGCCAGAGTCGTGTCCACCAAGGGACAGTAGCCAGAGCTCCTCTTCCTTTACCAGGCAAGGTGCATCCCCTCAGCCCTCCTGGCCCTTCAGTCTTGGTGCCACCTGGGCACAGGGGCAAGCTTGGTGGTTGTGAGTCCATTCATCTATCAGAGCTGGAACCTCATCCCTGCACAGATGAGGAAACCAAGGCATGGAGCAGTTCCCAGAGTCGAATCTAGATCTCATCTGTCATCCGGGTCTTATCCTTTGCTCTGTTTTTCTCTTCAGGCTCTGGAAAATCAGATCTGTGACTTAATCTTCCTCTCCCTGGCCCTCACCCACTTAGTTTCTTTTTCATTCCTGCTCCCTGCCTTAACTCCTCCTCCCACTGCCCCTGATCCCAGGCCCAGGCTTTTACAACCTGGTGCTCAGCTTCCCCATCAGTGAAAAGGGGTGGCTAGAGTAACTAACCTCAGCAGGCCGTCCAGTCCTGATAGTCTGTGGATTTCGGATCCTTCTCAGGAAGCTTCATGTCTAATGGAGACTATAATTATAACTCCTGTTCTGCATAGAGCATTTGCATCAAAGGCTTTCCATACCCCTCCCTCCCCTGGTCCTCATAAGATCCTTGAAGCAGGTTCCTATTCCTCATTGGCAACATGGCAAACAGATCACAGGAGTCAAAGGGCCTTGCTCAAGGTCCCCAGCTTCAGCCCCAGGCCCTAAGCCAGCGTCAGAACAGTCAATCTGCATTTTTCATCAGTCATTCTATAGTGACATCATCCCAGACTGCCTTCTGTATTCCCCTGTGTACAGTCTCCTTCTGTTTCTAGGTTTAGAAGTTCAGAGGTGACTGTGTTTCTCCATTTCCACAGCCAAATGGGGGAAGAGGTGAGGCTAGGGGAGTGCTGTGCTGATTCTCCAGCCATGGTCAGACAGGTCACCCAGGAGCCTCGAGGAAAGCCCTGGAGGGAATCACATGTGTACTTTTTCATGAAGCTTTTTGCAAAGCACATCTGCGATACACTAGTTTATTGAACTAATGTCCAGGAGTAGACATGATTGGTGGCCAAGTTATTTGGGGACACCTAAACAGATCAGTGACCTGAATGACTTCTCAGAACCTTTAATATGCCAATGTGTGTGGCAAACTTACAAGAAGGGAGCTAAGTATCCAGCCTCTCCCAAACCTCTTTGAACAAAGCTTCTGTCCCTCCCACACCTCTCACCTCACAGGCACATCAGGCTGCAGAATGCGCTTTAGAAAGCATTGTTTTAGTCCAGGCACAGTGGCTCACGCCTGTAATCCCAGCACTTTGGGAGGCCGAGGTGGGTGGATCACAAGGTTGGGAGATTGAGACCATCCTGGCTAACACAGTGAAACCCTGTCTCTACTAAAAAAATACAAAAAATTAGCTTGGCGTGGTGGTGGGCGCCTGTAGTCCCAGCAGCTTGGGAGGCTGAGGCTGGAGAATGGTGTGAACCCAGGAGGCGGAGCTTGCAGTGAGCCAAGATCGCGCCACTGCACTCCAGCCCGGGTGACAGAGCAAGACTCCGTCTCAAAAAAAAGAAAAGAAAAAAGAAAGCATTGTTTTAATTGAGAGGGGCAGGGCTGGAGAAGGAGCAAGTTGTGGGGAGCCAGGCTTCCCTCACGCAGCCTGTGGTGGATGTGGGAAGGAGATCAACTTCTCCTCACTCTGGGACAGACGATGTATGGAAACTAAAAAGAACATGCGGCACCTTATTTATGTGACTTTTGTGTTTTTCTGGGAGGGTGGGGAGGTGGGTCTTCACAAGGACTTCTGCCAATGGTGGGGATCTCTGAAGAGTAAATCTGGGGCCTGGGTAGCCCACTCGTGGTTCTGGGCACTCTCCTCAAGCACCAAAGCCCCACTGGCCCTTGCTTTGCCCTAATTGTGGATGTGGGGCCTGGGGCTAGGGTGAAGCCTGGATTAAAGGATGGCCTTCAAAATAGACCAAGGCTTGGAGTGAGGCTGAGGTTGAAGTAAGTGGTGAAAACAGAGGGATGGGGTGGGAGAGACTGCGAGGATGAATGAGAAGTCACCTTCTGCACTGCAGGACCCCTCTTTGGCATCAGAAACACTGATGTTCCCACAGGTACCTACCCCTGATTCTGCCTATTGCTCCACATCCAGATGCCTGTGGCCAGGGAGGGAGCTAGGAAGGGGTAGAGGAGACACGAGGACCTCGAGTCACGTGGACATGGGTGGTGGCCAAACCAGTGCCCTGAAGGTTGGTGGCCCAGCAGGTGTAGACACCAGCATCCCTAGCCCAGGTCCCCTCCACATACAGGGTGCCCTCTGCCTCCTGCTGTACCTGGCTCTCCCCGTGTACCACATGGGCCTGTTCACTGATGTAGAGTGGTTGGCCCAACGGTAGGGGATAAAAACGGACTGTCCATCAGCTGCCCCAGGTGCATCTCTGACTCACACACCAGGGTCAGGTAAGAGGCACCATTTATCTCTTTGGGGAAAGGAGAAGTGACTTGCCCAAGGTCACACTTCAGCTTGGTGTCAGAGCACCTTAAAGGCCAGGTTCTTTGTGAAAAACGTTAAGCTTCTCAAGTCTGCAGAGAAAAGCTGGGTTTCCCTCCCCTTCTCAAAGAGTGTCCAGAGGTAACTCAGTCCAGGGAAGTACTTCCCAACGTGGGTTTTGTGGCCCTCTGCTTCTGTAGGGATGCTACCTCCTCAAAGGAGAGGAAGAGGAAGAATTTTACTACCAAAAGTGTTTTGGAAACATTAAGAAAAGCAAAGTGAAATTGGGTAGACTCCGACCACTGAGTCTGTTACATGTACCTGTGTATTTTGAATCTCCAAGACAGGTAATGGTTATAAGAGGAAGTGAGGTAGGGTGGGAGGGAACTTTCTGGTATTCCACCCTTCTAAAGAACATGTTGGGGAAATCCTGGTAAAGCCAAGCCAGTGTCTCCTGACCGTCTGTATGCTCCTTTCCCCTTCTTGGGTCTCAGTTTCCTCTTCTGACAAGTGGGAGAATGATCCTTTACCCTTTCCAATGCCTAAGGCCTCTGTGGAGTTCACCTTTATCACATCCTTGCAGCCACTGCAGGGAATGGAGAGATGAACTCGGGAAGTCGCTATGTGCCAGCTCAGGCTACACAAATGACTGGAGCGAGGTGGAGCCAGAGTGTTTTAAGTTCGGGGGGAACAGGGCACCCTCACTGGGTTCCACAGGGCACCCTCACTGGGTGCCACTGGCCTCCTTTTCAGGGCTACTGAAAGTGGTGATCTTGTCAAATCACAGCTTGTAGAGCACCTTGTTTCCCTGTCCTATACTGTTCTTAAATGGCCTCCAGCTGGGTGATAGCCCCTCATGGGTCTTTCTGAGCCACTCTTTCCCTGGGACCCATACAAGATCAGCTCACTGCTCACATGTCATTGATGGCTCCTGGGAGTCTCAAGAATGATGCTTGAGTTCCTGGGCCCACATGCTCCCCTGCATTCTCCACAGGTGGCAGTGGTGGGACAGATGAGTCTCTGGGTCTCATGTGGGTGTGACATGTTCGCCCTTATTCTTTCTCCTAGTACCACAGGTCTGGATCTTCCCCCTCCCTCTCCACAAGGCTCCTGTCAAATTCCAGCTCTTCCAGGAAGTCCTCTTACAAATGCCTCAGGTCCTCCAGGTTGGTAATATACCTTTTAGCACAGCCGTTCTCCAGATGTTTGAATTTCATGGGAGTAAGTTCTTTGAGAAGAAAGAAACACTACCTCTCCAACACCACTTGGGAAGGTCTGATCTCACAGCAGATGCCAAGGAAACAGTTGCTAACGTTCATCTCCTGTTACACATACACACCCAGCCACAGAGCCTGAGCATTTGCTCCAGCACCATCTTTGTGTGGCTGAGGCCAGTCTGGTCTCGGCTTGAATGTCACCTTGGAGATGACTCCCTAACCACTATATCTTAGGTAGACCCTATCGCATTGCCCTGTTTTATGCTCATTGTATCATTTGGCATTGTCTGCATGGTCACTTTTGTCCATATTTCACTTCTCCCTGCTTAGATGATAAACTTGCAGATAGCAGAAGCCATCTCTTTTAGACTCATCCTCATAACCTTAGTACCTAGTCCAGTGTCTGGCATGTGGCAAGTGCTCATTTTTGGTTAAATTAAGAAAGGAACAAATTATGCATTCTTACGCAGTAATCTGAGAAGTTACTATTTGAAAGATGAGAAAACTGGGGCCCAGAAAAGGGAAGTGATTTGCCCTAGGTAACTCAGAGAAGCAGCATCAGAGTTGGGACCAGAATCCAGGTTTATCAGATTCCCAGTCAAGCAGTAGCTCCATCCCACCATGATTGCTCTTGGTCCTAACTAATCCTTCACTCCCACCTCCCTGCCCCAACACTCCACCACCATGTACACACATACACACAGCCTCCATTACCCGCTGCTTACCTTCTGCCCTGAATATCCCTCGCTAAGGTCCACAGCAATCTCTGGCTCGGCCCAGAACCATGCAGGTCACACTGAAGTTTTCTCCTAGTTATACTGATGTTGCTGAAGCTTGGATGGTGGGTTTTGGGGAGGAAGATGGGTCTGCCATGGTTAAGAGGGTAGAGAAGTTAGAGACAAACATGTTGACTTGATTGTTAGAATTGTTGAATTGATGGTAGATAGAGGGATGGAGAGATGGATGAATAGAATGAATGGGCAGAATGGCTAAATGGGTAGAGGGTGAATGGTTGAGGTGGTTGAATTGATAGAGGATGTGTAGATGTATGAATGGGTAAAATGAATTAATGGAGTATGGGTAGGTGATGGAATGATTGACTGATGGAGGATTCATGCATGGAACAGTTTGACTTGATTGTGAATAGGTCAATGGATAGAAAGGCTGAGCTGGTATCAGCTGGTTCCATGGCTGATCGGCTGGCTGGACAAAACGGCTGACTACATAGAGAGTCATCAAAAGCTGATGTTGTTTAGAGCTCCATAATCCACAGAGCCGAAACCAGAGGTTCCTGAAGAAGGTATATCTCCCCATATCCTCCCCTTCCCTGCCCACCCAGAGCCCTAGACCCATGTGCAATTGATATAGACCAGAATGTACTTGGTAGAGATTTGTCTCATGCCACCTAGGCTGGCCATGCATAAGAGGGAGCCAGCCAAGGAAGCCTGGGCCTGGTGAATAGTGAAGCCCTTCTTCACATCAAAGGAGATGTCTGTCTCCCACTGGGACCTCCTCAGTGGGGAGCTCCCAGTGTAGTGCCATCTGGGCCAGGGGGTTTTTAACTTGGAAGGGAAGCAAGGCTGGATGATGAGTGCGCAGCTGTACCACCTCATAGTAGTTATCTGTAGGGACAAAGAGCTCCTCAGGGTCTGGGAATGTGGGGAAAAAGATTTGTTGCTTCCCAGTGGCTCTATTACCACCCAGGAGCATGAGGTCTTTCTTGGGGACCTGAAACCTCACTATCTCTTCCCATCCCCATTCTCTATGCTCCTTCCTGTCTCATAAGGAAGGGGTCCTGGACTGAGGATGCTGAAGACAAACTTCCTAGTTCCAGATCTGTCATTAGCTTGCTGTGTGTATTAAAGAAATCTTTCCCTCTCTGCACATGCAATCATGCACAATGCAAGGATTCAGACTGCTTGATCTTTAAGGGCCCTTCAATGTAAAAAATGCAAAAAAGGTTATAGGACGGCCGGGCACGGTGGCTCATGCCTGTAATCCTAGCACTTTCAGAGGCCGAAGCAGGCGGATCATGAGGTCAGGAGTTTGAGACTAGCCTGGACAACATAGTGAAACCCCGTCTCTACTAAAGATACAAAAATTAGCCAGGCATGATGGTGCGTGCCTGTAGTCCCAGCTACTTGGGAGGCTGAAGCAGGAGAATTGCTTGAACCCGGGAGACGGAGGTTGTGACGAGCTGAGATCACGCCACTGCACTCCAGCCTAGGCAACAGAGTGAGACTCTGTCTTAAAGAAAAAAAAAAAAAAAAGAAAAAAAGATTACAGGAAATACTGAACTTCTTGAAGTCAAAGTTTGGTTCCCAATCCTACCACCTGCTAGCTGTAGGACCTTGGTTCTCAAATGTCAATTGGGAGCAATAATCCCACCCCAGCTTACTTCATAGAACTGATAAGAAGCAAATGAGATATTGGCTATGAGCATGAGGCCCATGGGACAAAAACATTCATCAAACTCTATCAAGAGACTTTTTATTTTATTTTTTTGAGAAAGAGTCTTGCTCTGTCACCCAGGCTGGAGTGCAGTGGTGCCATCTTGGCTCACTGCAACCTCTGCCTCTCAGGTTCAAGCAATTCTTGTTCCTCAGCCACCTGAGCAGCTGGGATTACAGGCGTACACCACCATGCCTAGCTAATTTTGTATTTTTAGTAGAGACGAGGTTTCACCATGTTGGCCAGCCTGGTCTCGAAATCTTGACCTCAGGTGATCCGCCTGCCTCAGCCTCCCAGAGTGCTGAGATTACAGGCATAAGCCACCACGCCTGGCCTTCAAAGTACTTTTTAACACCACAATCTCAGGTCAGATTCTTGGGTGCACTATGATGTAACGAGCAGGAATGGTCTGGGGACCAGCTTTTAAGAGCGGTGCTGTCCAATGGAACTTTATGTGTTGATGAAAATGTTCTGTATTTATGTTGCCCAATATGTAACCACTCAGCATATGTGGCTCCTGGACACTTGAAATACAGTTAGTGCAGCTGGAGAACTGAATAATTAACTTTCTTTAACGCTAATTAACTTAAATAGCCACATCTGTTTTGTGGCTTATGTATTAGGTGAAGTTGGAATCACCTGAGGTGCTTTTAAAATGACCAATTCCTGACCCCCAGACCAAGTGAATTAGAACTTGCCTTGCGGAAAAGGGGATTGGTGTCTGTGCTTTAAAGTTCTACAGGTGACCCTAATTTGCAGCCAGAGTTGAGAAGCGCTGACTGTGGGTTCCCACCTCTGTCTGAAGATTGGAATCACCTGTAGGGTTTGTTGACATGGCAGGTGCCCAGACTCCACACAGTCTTAATGGGAGTGAGGCCCAGGAATCTGTTTTCAACAGGCTCCCAGGTGATGCTTGGTAGTAGGGGTCATGAACCTCTAGATAGGGCTGGGCGCAGTGGCTCATGCCTGTAATCCTAGCACTTTGGGAGGCCAAGGCAGGAAGATAGGTTGAGTCCAGGAGTTCAAGACCAGCCTGGGCAACATAGTGAAATCCCATCTCTACAAAAAATACAAAAATTAACTAGGTATAGTGGTATATACCTGTAGTCCCAGTTACTTGGGAGGCTGAGGTGGGAGAATCACCTGTGCCCAGGAGGTCGAGGCTGCAGTGAGCTGTGATCATGCCACTGCACTCCAGCCTAGGCAAGACCGTAAGACCCAGTCTCATAAAACAAAACAAAAGCAATAACCTCTCGATTGGATAATTGTTACTGTTTTGGTTGCATTTGAGTAAGAGACATTGCTGACTATGAAGAGTCCTGTGTTTCCTCTGTTGGACAAAGCTGGACTCTGTGACTACTCAGTTCTCCATGGAACTAGCCATAGAATCTTTGAATGTCCGTGAAGGATCTTGGAGGACTAGTACACTCCCCTCATCTTACAGGTGAGTCTAAAGAGAAAGCCCAAAGAAGGTTATGTTTGGAGGACTTTCCTGGACGCAGGTTCTTGGAGACCCTGACTCCAGGGCACCTGTGAAGAAGATGAAAGTCTTTCTCTGGTAGGCCAGGCATTCAGCGCATGCGCCGTCCTGACAGTGCGGAGCCCAACAGCTATATTCCCCGGTGTCTGCGCCAGAGGAGTTCACCAGCAGCAGCTGGCTGCACTGGCTGAAGTGCTTGATTCTGAAAGACAGATGGTAGGGGCGGGACGGGCAGGCGATGGGGATGGCCCGATACTCCTAGTGGGCAGCATTTGGTCTACTGACAGTCCTCCCTCCCATCACCAACTTTCATCACCCACCCACCCACCCAATCTTTCCCCCTTTCTCAATGGATCTGTTAGGATTTGCATTGGCCCCACCCGTAGTTTCTGATTGGCTCGCCTAACCCTCCTTCCCTTTGACTTTGCACTTCACGAATGGAATGCCACAAGCGTCTTTGTGCTCCTCGGCACCTTCCTGATGTCTCTTGGTGCAAGCCTGCAAATGCTTTCCATGCACTTCCACCCACAAAGGAGGCAGAGTCCCAGAGCCATCTTAAGAGGCTGAAGTGAGAGAGGATAGGCGAATCTTTGGAACCCAGTTTTCTATCCCAGCCTCTGCCTGATTTCCTTCTGGACTGGCAGAGGGAAATACTGGTGGGTCAACTTTGCTTTCATTTTTGGCCTCCCTATTATGGTGTCCTTGGCAGAAGAGTGGTATTCAGCCTGCCATCCGCCACAGATAGGTCAGACAGGCAGGCAGCCTCTTGCTTTTCCATTGCCACGTCCCTCCCTAGAGGCACTATTTGTGGTCCACCCCCTACCCTCATTTAAGCAGCCCAGGATTGTGGGAAGGTTGCTTGTCTCCTACTCTGTTCAATCACTATGCATCTGATGGGGCTCGCGGGCCCATCTTACTGTTTCTTTTAGGTGCCTATGGTTGTACATAACAGGATGCCCAGTGTGGGTCCTGAGCCATCTTAATCCCTGTAAACTGTTGTCACTGTGCTTGTGAACTGCTGCCCAACATCCTCTGACACACTCCTAGACCCATTAAAATTTTGCCAGAGTTCTTCCACCCCATACCTCAGGCGTCCTTCGCCCCTCCTCCTCCAGATATACAGGCACCCTCCAGTGGACCACCTTCCCCCTGCAGTGCTGTTCCAGGGGCTCAAAGAGTCCCCAACCTTCGGGAATCGGGCCTTCCCTACACCTGGGTCAGGTGGGGGGCTTGGGGTTGCAGAGGCTATAGCCTCCATGGGGGTCTTCATCTGCATGGGCTTCTGGCTCCCGTCTGCTTTGGGTTTTCTCTGGCAGGGGGCTCCTGAAAGCTGCACCTCACTGGGGCCAGCTGCTTTGGAGCCCCTCATTTTCTGAGCCTTTGGAGTTCTGCCATGCTCCGGGATTTCACCTGCAGAGAAAACAGGGTGGGTCTGGGATCACCAGCCTTCATTCACCTCAGTGGAACCTCAGAGTTCTGTCAATTTTTACATTTATTACTACCACAAATAATTCTTACTCAGAGAAAAAATTATACAGCTGGCCAGGCGCAGTGACTCACGCCTGTAATCCCAGCACTTTGGGAGGCCGAGGTGGGCGGATCATGAGGTCAGGAGTTCGAGACCAGTCTGGCCAACATGGTGAAACCCCGTTTCTACTAAAAATACAAAAATTAGCCGGGTGTGTTGGCTCATGCCTGTAATCCCAGCTACTCGGGAGGCTGAGGCAGGAGAATCGTTTGAACCCAGGAGGCGGAGGTTGCAGTGAGCTGAGATCCTACCACTGCATGATCTAGCCTGAGTGACAGAGAAAGACTCCATCTCAGAAAAAAATAAATAAATAAAAAATAAATTATACAGCCAAACCAAGACAAAGGATTAAATTTGCTCTGAAGCTTATCATCTAGAGATAACCACTGTTAATATTTTGAAGCATATTTTTCCAAGGCTTTTAAATGCAAATATTTTAAATATTTTGTTAAAAAATAAAATGGAAAATGTAAGACATATTGTTAATCTGCATTTTCACTTAGGAATATGTTATTATCATTCTATGTCAAGAAATACATGTGCACCAACATTTTATTTTATTTTTTGAGACAGAGTCTCACTCTGTTGCCTAGGCTGGAGTGCAGTGGCACGATCTTGGCTCACTGCAACCTCCGCCTCCTGTTCAAGTGAGTCTCATACCTCAGCCTCCCAAGTAGCTGGAATTACAGGCTCATGCCACCACACCCAGCTAATTTTTGTATTTTTTGTAGAGACGGGATTTCACCAGGCTGGTCTCAAACTCCTGACCTCAAGTGGTCCGCCCACCTCAGCCTTCCAAAGTGCTGGGATTACAGGTGTGAGCCACCGCACCCTGCCTACACCAACTTTTTTTTTTTTTTTTTTGAGACAGAGTTTCACTCTGTCACCCAGGCTGGAGTGCAGTGGCACCATCTCGGCTCACTGCAACCCCTGCCTTTCAGGTTCAAACAATTCTCATGCCTCAATCTCCCAAGTAGCTGGGACTATAGGTGTGCACTACCGTACCCAGCTAATTTTTGTATTTTTAGTAGAAACGTGGTTTCGCCATGTTGGTCAGGCTGATCTCAAACTCCTGACCTCAGGTGATCCGCCCACCTCAGCCTCCCAAAGTGCTGGGATTACAGGCATGAGCCACCACGCCTGGCCCTGCAACAACATTTTAAATGACCTGCATGGTATTTTATGGTAGGGATGTATCATGATTTATTTCTTCATTGTTGAGTATTTAGGTTATTTCATATTCTTAACCGAAATAAACAATTCTGGAATAAACATCTTGTGCATGCACCTTTGAATAGATCACTTCCTTAGAATGAATTCCTTAGAAGGAGAACTGCTGGTGGGCCCTGGAAGGGATTCTACACATTGTTTTTTCCAAGCTTGTACCAAGATTTCAAAACCTTCTAGAATATGCTACAAAAGAGGTCATTCAACATGAGGTTAAATATGCCTAATGATAGGGAACTCAGCACTTAACAGTACCAATAGCTACCACTGGCAAAGCCTACAGTATTTCTGGAACAGTACTAGCCCCTTAAAATACATTTTCTTATTTCACTCTCTTAATGACTGCAAAGAAGGTATTCTGATTTTACAGGTGAGGCATGTGAGGCTTATAGAGACTAACTTTTCCACATTCTCTTGTACTGTGCCAAGAAGGAGACCCAGACTCAAACCCAGGCCAGCCTAACTCCAGAGCCCATTGTAGTCCCACCTGTGGCCTTAGTGCAGAATGGATCCAACTGCTAGGAAGCCCTTTTAGATATCGACCTACTGATCTCATTTTTCTTCCTTGTGGAAGAGGAAGAAAAATTGTCTTTAACTTTTACCAACTGATCTCATTTTTCTTCCTCATGGAGGAGGAAGCAATACTGTTCCATGTGCCTCTCTGCCACCCAGCCCCAAATCATCTCTGCATACAGAGAAGGTTGCACAATTTGTGCCAAGTCCTGAGGCTCTTTTTTTTCCTTCCTAATAGTTCACAGAGGCATCCTTTTCTCTCCATCATTACTGCTAACACCATCTGTGCAAGCCCTGGTCAGATCACATCTGGACTATTATGTTAGCCCCCTGTTTGTCACCTGGCCTCTAACCTGCCTTACACACAATATCACATACATCTTCTTTTTTTTTTTTTTTTTTTGAGATGGAGTTTCACTCTTGTCGCCCAGGCTAGAGTGAAATGGTGAGATCTCAGCTCACTGCAACTTCCCCATCCCTGGTTCAAGTGTTTCTCCTGCCTCAGTCTCCCGAGTAGCTGGGATTACAGGGACCCGCCATCTCGCCCAGCTAATTTTTGTATTTTTAATAGAGACAGCGTTTCACCACATTGGCCAGGCTGGTCTCAAACTTCTGGCCTCAGACAATCCGCCTGCCTTGGCCTCCCAAGGTGTTGGGATTACAGGTGTGAGCTACTGCGCCTGGCCTTTTTTTTTTTTTTTAAAATAGAGACAGAGTCTTACTTTTTTGTCTAGGCTGGTCTCAAACTCCTGGCCTCAAATGATCCTCCCGCCTTGGCCTCCCAAAGCACTAGGACTACAGGCATGAACCACCATACCCAGCCCTCATCTTTGAGATAAAGAGATAAGACTAAACCTGAGGTTTTCAGGTTTAAAAACAAACCAATCGATAGGTTGATTATAGATAACAGAACAATTCCTTGAAATACTGAAAGGTCAATGTTAAAAAACAAATAATCGGGTTACTCTGATTGGAGAGGATGGGAGCTGGAGACCTACCCATCAGCTTCTCAATCACCACCCACCCTTACTCTAAGGCAGGCAGTAAGGCAGCAGAATTCCTCAGAACATGGTTTTAAATCCTTGGACTACATGAACTCTCAGGGCTCCTTCTCACTGCTCATGACCTATCTATCTGAGCTCACCTCACTCCCAGCACCCCCATTCTCCAGTTCCTTCTCCTTCCAACAAACCCACCAACCCCAACCATCAGCCCTTTGATAA
Organism: Homo sapiens; assembly: GCF_000001405.40. Classification (NCBI taxonomy): domain Eukaryota; kingdom Metazoa; phylum Chordata; class Mammalia; order Primates; family Hominidae; genus Homo; species Homo sapiens. The sequence goes on along the minus strand of NC_000005.10, from coordinate 151,170,661 downwards.
ACTGCTACTTTCTTACCATGAAGGTGCCTGCCCCTTTCCTTCCATATGAGGCTCCTTGAGGAGAATCCAACAGCCAAGCAGTATCTGGAAGAGGAAATCTGGGATGACAACATCCCTCTAAATCCTGTTCTGAGCACAGCCACGATTTTGCAGGGATTATTATGTCCCCAACCTCTTCCTAGAATGTCTGGAAGCTGAGAGACAGAGGTGATAGCTCTCTGGGGCCTCAGCCTCTCCTGGGGATCTATCTGCTATCAAGTTCTGGGCTATAAATTCTTCAGGCCCTGCCCTCGATAAAGCCCTAAAACTGTTGATCTTTGTGAACAAAATTATAGATGCTTAGATTCAAAGAAGCTAGGAGTAAACACTTAGGATCGTAGGATTATATAATCTTAGTATGATGAACTCAGGGTGTTTTCTGTTTTTTGTTTCACTTGTTTGCTTGTTTTTTTTTTGTTTGTTTTTTAGCGACAGGGTCTCTCTCTGTCACCCAAGCTGGAGTGCAGTAGCACAATCATAGCTCACTGCAGCCTCGAACCTCTGGGCTCAAGTGATCTTCCTGCCTCAACCTCCTGAGTAGCTAGGACTACAGGTGCACACCACCATGCCTGGCTAGACTCAGGGTATTTAAAATTAAAATAATATTGCTATTATTTATTGAGTGTTTATGTACTAGGCTGTAGGCTAAGCATTTATATACACCGTTTAACTTTAAAACCACCCTGTAATTTTGAGGTTATTGTTATTCCCATTATATTCCTAAGTAAACTGAGTCTTAGAGACTCAGTCTCATTAAATCTTGCCAGTTAGTGGAGGAGCCAGAATTAGTTCCATCAGATTCCAGAGTTCCATGCTCTCCAAACCATGACATGAGTCCCAGACTGCTAGACTAAAAATGATCTTTCAGATCAGAGGGGACCATTAGGTCTGGAAAAGACCTGGAAGAGCACACAGTTCAACCTTGTCATTGCATAGATGAAGAAGCTGAGCTCAGAGAGGTGATTTGGCCAAAGCAGCACAGTGAGCAAAGGAGCTGAGCGGGGAACTCAGCCTCCTGACATCAAGGTTCCGGTGCTCATCACCCTTCCTTCTGCTCCTGCAGGGAAATGTGATTGCACCACTGCACTCCAGCCTGGAGTGCTCCCGGGAAATGAAGAGACAGGGGCCTCAGGACACTGCAGGGGAATAAAAAGATTTGCTGAGATGGAAGATGCCCATACCTGAAATGACCTAGATGAGCAGGCAACAGGCCAAGAAGCAGAGAACTCTGGGGTCCATGGCGGAGCAACCAGAAGCCAAGACGCAAATGTTGGTAGCAGGGAATGCAGGAGAGAGACTGTTGGGGCATGCTCAGGGAAGTGGCCAGGGACCCCTGTCCATGGGAGGGGAGGGGACCTAATTTCAAAAGCAAATCAAAGTGGTGAGTCCTGGCTTCTCATGACTCCAAACAAAATTCCTTTCTCTGGATTCCCCCTGCCAAGGCGAATGGAGCTATTTAGAGACCTGCTCAGGAAAAAACAGTCCTGCAGCCAGGAGGAGAGGGTCCCCAAGGGCAGACAGACAGGGCTGGACGGCAGCTGGAGGGGCCATTGAAGGTCACAGGAAGGTCATGGGGGTGCTGAAGGACAGGAAGATGAGAGGACAAAATAGGTGAGTGGGGCTAGGAAGGTGGTGAGGCTTAAACTGGCCTTAAAGCCGTGGGCCGAATCTGGCTGGTTGTCTGCTTTCGCATAGCCTGTGAGCTAAGAATGGTTTTAACATTTTTAAATAGTTGAAAAAAAATTAAAATTTGGTAACGTGAAAATTGTATGAAATTCAGGTTTCAATGTGTGTAAATAAAGTTTTATTGGAACACAGCCACACTCATTCCTGCACGTCCCATCTATGGCTGTTTTTGCACTACAACAGCAGAATGGAAGAGTTGGGGCGGAGACAGTGCGGCCCACCAAGTCTAAAATATTCATTGTCTACATTGTTACAGAAAGTGTTTGTTGGCACTTGCGCTGAAGTATGGTATTTCTAGAAAACAATCTCACTTAAATAATACAGAAATAAAATTCACTCTCAGAAAAATACAGATAAAGTTTAAGTTCCATTTGACCAACCCATCAGCCCCCTCCCAACACACATGGCCATCCCCACCTTTCCTCAGAGGTTAGCGCCTTGGTGTGTTTCCTTTCAGACCTTTCTCTGCATTTATGTACCTATATGTGTATCTATAGAAAAATACAGTATTTTCATGAGTTCTTTTTTCTGTAAATGGCTTTATATTATATATATGTTTTTTAAAATTTGCATTTTTTTACTCAATAATGTGCTTTAGTGCCCTATACAGACCTACCTTTGTTCCCCCCGATCACCTGCCTTTTTTTTTCTTTTTGAACAGGGTTTCACCATGCTACCCAGGCTGGAGTACAGTGGTGCAATCCCAGCTCACTGCAGCCCCAATCTCCTGGGTTCAAGCAATCCTCCCACTTCAGCTTCCTGAGTATTGGGACCATAAGTGCACACCACCAGACCTGGATTTTTTTTTTTTTTTTTTTTTTTTGGAGCAACTGAGTCTCACTATGTTGCCCAGGCTGTTGCCCATGCTGGTCTCAAGCTCCTGGTCTCAACCTTCATTATTTTTTAAATGCTGCATTGTACTCTAAGGTTGAGCTTTACCACAGTTTATCCATTCCTTTGCCAAAGGAAATTTAGATTGTTTCAGTTTTTTGCTACTGGAAACAACACTGCAAAATGCAAGAACTAGCATTTCAAGGCTCAAATAGCTACATTTTCCTTCAAGAAAATGAAAGAATGCTATTCAATCCAAACATGTCACCTGATGTATTTTCCCTCATGTGTGTTTGTGTCCTAAGTAACCACCACAGGGCAAACCTCTCCAAATGTAGCTGTAAGATTCTTGCTCTCCTGCAGAATTTTGTCTATGTCCTAACTATTGCTTGTAGCCAGTGGAAACCCTCCCAGGTTCTGGTTGAAACAGTATTCCCTCTATAAAATCAATGACCATTCTTGGAACTAGGGAGGTAGGGTAGAAAGCAGCAGAGAATGGGACGCTGGGGAGCTTGGGTTCTCGTTATCGCTTTGCTCCTTGCTGTGTGACCTTGCACAGCCTCTTCTCATTAGGCCCCAGTTTCCCGGCCTGTTCAAGGAGGGTGTCGGGCGCCTAGAGTTCTGGCCTTCCAGGGCTTTACCATTCTCTTTTCAGTGACCAAGTCCACTGAAAAGGAGGGGAAGGGCTTTGAGAGGTGATTGCTTAGCTTCCAGCCTCACAGGCTTATGAATCTCAAGGAAAGTGCTGGGAGCTTGGCAGGCCACCACCTTGAACCCAAGTTCTAGCTGATGGTTTCCCAGGGCAGAGATTCCACAAAAAGAGTATCCACGTGTCCCAGATAACGCTCATGCAGGACCCGCCCAAGGCCCCGTTGTGCCCTTGAGCCCAAGGTCCTGGGTCTAGACTGTGAACTGTTGTACGCTCTCAGAGCGCCCTGTTCCTCTCCGTCCCCCAGCACTTATCATGGTTTGTAATTTTATGGAATTTGTGTAATTGAGTCGTGAATGTCTGTCTCTGGGCTCGTAGGCTCTGAGCTCTCCAAAAGCTGGGACCAGGTCTGCTTTGCTCATGCTTTGTCCCCAGTACCTTAGCACAGCACCTGGCACTTTGTGGGCACTAGACAAATACATGCTGTGAATGAATAGCTGATACAGGCTGGTTTCAATAGCAGAGACATGGCTCAGCCTTCTCTTCTAATCCAAGGCATCCCAAAGAGGCCAATAACGGAGGGGTAGGAAACCAAGCGGGCAGGGCACACACGGTCCAGGCAACATTATGAAATTGGAAAGGTCACTCCCTTCTCAGGTGTCAACCTTGAGGTGGGGCAGGTGGTATGGAGTGTTTGAAATAGAAGACCTTGGGAATAAACACTCATGGAAACTTTGAATTGTAGAATTCATTCATTCATTTAATTTTCATTCATCTAATAGTTATTATCTACTTTACCAAGCAATGGGAACGTAAAGAAGACAAGCATTAACCAAAATCATATAAATAAAAATATAATTACCAATTAAGATCTGTATGATCATGGAAAAAAACAGAATTTTAGGACAGACGATGGGAAGGGATGCGTAAAGGAACATCGAGATGCCGAGCGCGGTGGCTCATGCCTGTAATCCTAACACTTTGGGAGGACGAGGCGGGCAGGTAGCTTGAGCTCAGGAGTTCAAGACCAGCCTGGGCAACATGGCAAAACCCCATCTCTACCAATAAATAAAGAAACAAAAATTAAATAAATAAATAAAAAGGACAGTGGAGGGCTGGGCACAGTGACTCACACCTATAATCCCAGCACTTTGTGAGGCAAGCAGATTATTTGAGCCCCTGAGGTCAAGACCATCCTGGGCAACATGGCAAAACCTCATCTCTACAAAAAATACAAAAATTAGTTGGGTGTGGTGGCATATGCCTATAGTCCCAGCTCCTCAGGAGGCTGAGGTAGGAGGATGGTTTGAGCCCAGGAGATGGAGGTTGATCATGCCACTGCTCTCCAGACTGGGCAACAGAATGAGACTCTGTCTCACAAAAAATGAAACAGAATAAAATAAAAATAAAAAACATTGGAGGATGAATTAAAAAGGAATTTTTGAGAAGTGCTGTTTAAGGCGAAATATGCAGTAAGAGCTAGTGAGGCAACCTCTTCCAGGCTTGGAAGAACTTTCATTCCAGGCAGAGGGAATAACTTGTGCAAATGGAAGCTTTCGGTAGAATTCTGAGTGAGTTATAGAATTCTGGAATTCCAGAAAGAGGGTCTCAGAGTCATAGAATCTTGAAACAGACCCTTCAACCGGGAAATGGACTCTTAGATGGTTAGAGACTCAGAATCATCATGTATGAACACAAAAAGAATCTTAAGACATAATTCATTCTCATTCCCCTCTCTGTACATATAGAAACAAACAAAACTCAAGAGCAAGGTAATAGAACCCAGCTAGAACTAGCTCTCACCTCTTATGATGAACAGGCCAGGACTTCATCCATTAAATTAATAGTAGTAGTAATGCTTATATTTATTCTCATTATTATGTGCTAGTTGCTACTAAATGATCTGTTGTCATATCAGTGCATTCCATAACAATCTTGCAAGGTGGATACTTTTATAATACTCATTATTATAACTAAGCTAACAGAAACTCAGACAAAAAAATAAATAAATGGTTCACAGTCACTGAGCTAGAATACGGTGGACCCCAGAAGCCCAGGGACTTTTTCGTTCATTTTCTTTTAAATGTAAAGGCTGTACTGGAAAGCACTGTACTACCCTGCTTTTTCTAATTCAGCTGTTTTCGGGCCTATGCTTCTCACAGGGGCCCCTGCCATCCTACAACTCGGCCTCCCATTGCTGAGACCTCATAGTAGAAAATAATCTGTTTCATGCCAAGTCGTTAGAATCTCCTTATTTTCTCTCGTATAAAAACAAACAATCCTCAACCGTTATAGAGGAATTCCAGACACTGAGAGAGGTCTTAAGGGGACTTTTTGTGGAGGAAGGGGGTGTTCCAGGTAGTCATTTGAACAGTATCCCTTGGGGCCCCTTCCTCTAGTGAGCTTGAAGTAAGACCTGTCTCTGGGAACATACACCCTCTTCTGATGGAAGCCAGGCAGAGCTGGAACTTGCCAGCAGGTGGCAATATTTGACCATTTCCAGCTTCCTCAGAGGGCAACTGGGAGATCTTGAACTTTCTTCTCCTATAATCAGAGAAACTACAGCCCTGACAAGGGACATGAGAAAATCTGGAATCTCAGTCCATTGTTCCAGCCCATATCACAGCATCATGCCGTCTCTTTTACAGACACCTGTAGACAGGCCACTCCACAGAGGAAGGGGCCTGGGAAGTGCCAAAAAGATGATGTCATCTTCACGTGTTTCCAACCCATGTATGCTTCCTTCCAGGGTTTGTTTCCACCTGGAAGCAAGGCTGCGTGACCCCGGCTTGCTTGCAATTCCACAGCTCCTGGATGTGTAGGTTGTTTCCCTTTTGCACTTGAAAAATACAGTGTTGCTGCTGGTGGGGGAAGGTAAACTAGTACAACCACTATGGAAAACAGTATGGAGATTCCTTAAAGAACTAAAAATAGAACTACCACTTGATCCAGCAATCCCACTATGGGTATCTACTTAGAGGAAAACAAGTCATTATATGTAAAAGACACTTGCACACACGTTTCTAGCAGCACAATTCGCAATTGCAAAAATATGGAACCAGTCTAAATGTCCATCGATCAACGAGTAAATAAAGAAAATGTGGGCCAGGAATGGTGGCTCACGCCTGTAATCCCAGCACTTTGGGAGGCCAAGGCAGGCGGATCACCTGAGGTCAGGAGTTCGAGACCAGCCTGGCCAACAGGTGAAACCCTGCCTCTAATTAAAAAATACAAAAATTAGCTGGGAGTGGTGGCAGGTGCCTGTTCCCAGCTACTCAGAGGCTGAGGCAAGAGAATCACTTGAACCCGGGAGGCGGAGGTTGCAGTGAGCCAAGATTGTGCCACCGCACTCCAGCCTGGGCAACACAGCAAGACTCCATCTCAAAGAAAAAAAAAAGAAAATGTGGTATATATACACCGTGGAATACTACTCAGCCATAAAAAGGAATGAAATAATGGCATTCACAACAACCTGCATTGGAGTTGGAGACCATTATTCTAAGTGAAGCAACTCAGGAATGGAAAACCAAATATCATATGTTCTCACTTACAAGTGGGAGCTAAGCTATGAGGACATGAATACATAATAATGATATGTAATGGACTTTGGGGACTCTGGGGTGAGTGGGGAGAGATAAAAGACTACACATTAGGTACAGTGTACACTGCTTGGGTGACAGGTGCACTAAAATCTCAGAAATTACCACTAAAGAACTTATCCATGTAATGAAAAACTACTTATTCCCCAAAAACCATTGAAATAAAAAACAATTTTAAAAATACAGTGTTGGACAGTGAAACCTCGTCTCTACCAAAAAATGAAAAAAATTAGCTGGACGTGGTGGTGCACACCTGTAGTCCCAGCTACTCCGTAGGCTGAAGCATCAGGATAGCTTGAGCCCAGGAGGTTGAGGCCGAAGTGAGCTGAGATTGTGCTACTGCTCCAGCCTGGGGGACAGAATGAGACCCTGTCTCAAAAAAAAAAAAAGAATGAAAAAAAAAAAGTTGGGCATGGTGGCTCACATTATACCAATGCTGGTGTAATCCCAGCATTTTGGGAGGCTGAGGCAGGAGGATGGCTTGAGCATAGGAGACCAGCCTAGGCAAGATGGTGACACGCCATCTCTACAAAAAATACAAAAATTAGCTGGGCAGGTGGCATACACCTGTAGTCTCAGCTACTTGGGAGGCTGAGGTGAGGGGATCACCTGATCCTGGGGAGGTCAAGGCTGCAGTTGAGCCATGATCACACCACTGCAGTCCAGCCTGAGTGACAGAGTGAGACCCTGTCTCCAACAACAACAATAAAACAGTGTTGGGCCTACAGCTTCCTCTGTATTTTAGATTATTTTCTTAGGATTGATTCCTGTAAGTGATGATTAGCTCAAAGAGAATGAGCAGTATATTAGTGTTTACTCCTACTTGCTGCTGTAGCTCAGGAATTAAGGCCCTGGGCTCTGCAGTCAAGGGAATCTGGCTTTCAATCCTGCCTCAGTCACGTGGGCTGAATTTGGGCAAAGATCAAAAATTTCAGTTACTTTTATTGCAAATTAAGAATACAAATAGCCCTGACATTTGTACACTACAGCCCATTCTGTCTCCAAACATTGCTGCAGGAATTCTCCCTTCTCTCTCCTCCATCAATTTTTTTACCTTCTATATGATAACTCCCACCAGCATACAAATATGCTGTTATGTCTTCAATCTTTAAAAAAATCAAACAAAAGCCCTTCTCTTGACACCAATTCCCTTGCCAGACACTGCCTCATTCCCTTGCTGGCCTTCGCAGCAAAACTCCCAGAATAAGTAGTTTAGGCTTTTTATCTTACACCGTTCCCATCAGGCCTTTACCCCCAACATTCTGCAATTCACAGCAAGAGATAAGTTGGCTTTCACATTGCTAAACCCAATGATAGATTTGTAGACCTTGTCCTACTTTACCTAAAAGCAGCATTTGACACACCTGATCACTCCCTTATTTTTCACTTTGCTGCCACATTCTCCTGGGGTAGTTTCCTCCCATCTTACTACAATCTCCTTCCCAGTCACCTTTGCTGAATTCTTTTCTTCTCCCCAACTCTTTTATTTTATTTTTTGAGAGTCTCACTCTGTCTCTCAGGCTGGAGTGCAATGGTGCCATCTCACTGCAATCTCCACCTCCTGGGAGTGATTCTCCTGCCTCAGCCTCCCAAGTAGCTGGGATTACAGCATGCACCACCACGTCCAGCTAACTTTTTGTATTTTTAGTAGAGATGGGGTTTAACTATGTTGGTCAGGCTGGTCTTGAACTCCTGGCCTCAAGTGATCCACCCACCTCAGCCTCCCAAAGTGCTGGAATTACAGGCATGAGCCACCGGGTCCGGCCTCTCCCCAAATGGTAACATAAGAGTGTCTCAGACTCGGTCCTTAGCATCGTGGGTGATCAGCAACTATTTGGGGCTGGCGGTACAGGCAGTAAGAAGAATTTACCAAGGCAGTTGTAGGTAAAGAAAGGCAGATTTATTAGAGAAAGTATGAAAATACATTGCTGCCAGACGTGGTGGCTCATGCCTATAATCCCAGCACTTTGGGAAGCCGAGGTGGATCACGAGGTCAGGAGTTTGAGACCAGCCTGATCAACATGGTGAAAACCCATCTCTACTAAAAATACAAATATTAGCCAGGTGTGGTGGCACGCACCTGTAATCCCAGCTACTCAGGAGCCTAAGGCAGAAGAATCGCTTGAACCCGGGAGGCGGAGGTTGTGGTGAGTCGAGATAGTGCCACTGCACTACAGTCTGGGCGACAGAGTGAGACTTCATCTCAAAAGAAAAACAGAAAAGAAAAGAAAATACGTTGCAAGGGTGCAACGGGCAAGTTAGCAAAACAGAAGCTAACTGCAAGAAAACAAAATCTGGCTAAGGATTTTATAGGATGGTGCTTGTGCTGTGTGCTGAAGAGGGCTTTGTGCAGTACTGATAACATCAAGGGTGCAGGGAGCTTGCGTGCATTTTTCTATCAGGTGAGGGTCTGGCAATAGCTGGGCGCAGATAAGATTGTGAGTTATTCGCACAGGAGGGCTATGCATCCTGGGCCATGAAGAAAGGCAGACTTATAGCTTATCTGCTTTCTCTTTTTGCTTTCCCTTGGTCCTGCCAGCCTGACTCCTTTTGCCGAACTAGGACTCCATATTTAGTTCTCTTCTCCCTTAAGGATCTCATCTCTTGAACTCCAGACTTGACTAGCCAACTGCGTACTTGACATCTCCTGTTGGGTGTCTAATAGAAATGTTCAACAAACTGGTCAAAAACTGAACTCCTGATCTTTTCCCCACTTCTAATTCCCAAAATTGCTTTCCCTGCAGTCTTGCTCATTTCAGTTGATGGTAACTCCATCCTTCCAGTGGCTCAGGCCAGGATCCCTGAAGCCATTCTTGACTCTTTCTCATCTCCCACCTGATCCTTCGGAAATCATGTTCAACCTTCAAATACATCCCATCTCCAACCACTTCCCCCACCTGCATTTATACCAGCCTGTCTCTTGCCTGGATTACTGCAAAATCTCCTAGCAGATCCCCTTCTTCTACTCTTCCCCCAACAGTATTCAGTATTTCCAACACAGGAGACTTCAGTGACCCTTTAAAAAATATGTCTTGGCCAGGTGCGGTGGCTCACACCTGTAATCCCAGCACTTTGGGAGGCCAAGGCAGGTGGATCACCTGAGGTCAGGAGTTCAAGACCAACCTGGCCAACATGATGAATCCCCGTCTCTACTAAAAAAATACAAAAATTAACTGGGCATGGTAGCAGGTGCCTGTAATCCCAGCTATTTGGGAGGCTGAGGCGGAAAGAATTGCTTGAACCCACGAGGTGAAGGTTGCAGTGAGCCGACATGGCACCACTGCACTCCAGCCTGGGCAACAGAACGAGCCTCTGTCTCAAACAAACACAAAAGTCTTATCCAGAATATAAAAAGAACTCATATAACTTAACAACAAAAAAGACAAAAAATCCAATTTAAAAATGAGCAAAAAGCATGATTAGATATTTTTCCAAAGAAGATGTACAAATAGTGGCCAATGAGCACACAAAAAAGATACTCCACATCATTAGTCAGAAGGGAAATGCAAATCAAAAACACAATTATAGATGCCATTTCATAATGACTAGAGCACAAGTTTTTTGTACTTTTGTTTTTTTGAGACAAGTTCTCACTCTGTCGCCCAGGCTGGAGTGCAGTGGTGCAATCACGGCTCACTGCAGCCTCTACCTTCCAGCTTCAAGGGATCATCCCACCTCAGCCTCTCCAGTAGCTGGGATTGCAGGCATGTGCCACTACCCCTGGTTAATTTTTTGTAGAGATGCGGTTTCGTCATGTTGTCCAGGCTGGTCTCAAACTCGTGGGCTCAAGCAATTCACCCACCTCGGCCCTCCCAAAGTACTGGCATTACAGGCATGAGCCACTGTGCCTGGCCGGGTACAAATTTTTAAAAAATAAAATACAAGTGTTGGCAAGGACATGGAGAAATTAAAAGCCTCATACATGACATGGCTGATGGGAATATAAAATGTTGCAGCCACTCTGAAAAAATGTTTGGCAGTTCCTCAAAAACTTAAATGTAGAATTACTATATGACCCAGCAGTTTCATTCCTAGGTAAATACACAACGACAATTGAAAACAGGTACTCAAATAAGTATTTGTATGCAAATGTTCATTAGCAGCACTATTCACAATCAGCAAAAGGGGGAAACAATGCACTATCCATCAACAGATGGATGGATAAACAAATTATAGTGTACTTATACAACGGAAAATTATTCAGCCATTAAAAGGAATGGAGTGCTGGACCGGACACGGTGGCGCATGCCTGTAATCCCAGCACTTTGGGAGGCAAAGGCGGGTGGATCACCTGAGGTCAGGAGTTCGAGACCAGCCTAACTAACATGGTAAAACCCCATCTCTACTAAATACAAAAATAAATTAGCCACACGTGGTGGTGCATGCCTGTAATCCCAGCTGCTCGGAAGGCTGAGGCAGGAGAATTCCTTGAATCTGAGAGGTGGAGGTTGCAGTGAGCCGAGATCACGCCATTGCACTCCAGCCTTGGCAACAAGAGCAAAACTCCAACTGAAACTAAAAAAAAAAAGGAATGGAGTGCTGATACATGCTACAGTGTGGATGAACTTCAAAAACATGCCACATGAGGCCAGGCACGGTGGCTCACGCCTGTAATCCCAGCACTTTGGGAGGCCGAGGCAGGTGGATCACCTGAGGTCGGGAGTTCAAGACCAACCTGACCAACATGGAAAAACCCCGTCTCTACTAAAAATACAGAATTAGCTGGGTGTGGTGGCGCATGCCTGTAATCCCAACTACTCGGGAGGCTGAGGCAGGAGAATTGCTTGAACCCAGGAGGCAGAAGTTGTGGTGAGCAGAGATCACGCCACTGCACTCCAGCCTGGGCGACAAGAGTGAAAAAACAACAACAAAAACAAACAAACAAAATGCCACATGAAAGAAGTCAGACAAGAAGGGTTGCATCTCATGTGATTCCATGTATATGAAATATCCAGAATAGGCACATCCGCAGAAGCAGAAAGCAAATTGGTGGTTGCCAGAGACGAGGGGTAAGGGAAAGTTAGGAGTGACTGCTCAGTGGGTATACTGTTTTATTTTTCCGTGAAGAGAATATTTTGGAACTAGATAGAGGTGGTGGATACACAACATTGTGTCTGTACAAAATGCCACTGAATTGTTGACTTTAAAATGGTTAATTTTATGTTGTGTGGATTTCATCTACCCAAAAATAATACCCTTTCTTTGCTCAATATCCTGCAATGGATCCCCAGTTGACTCAGAGTAAAAGACAGCGTGCCTTCAAGGGCCCCGGAGGTCCCACCTGATTGGGTCCCTCTTATCTCTCCTCTCCCTCCCACTCACTCCATTCCAGCCACACTGGCCCCCCTGCTGATCCTCGGAGGCGCCAGGTGGCCTCCTGCTAGGAGCATTTGCTCCAGCAGTTTCCTCTGCCTGGAACACTTTCCGCAGGTATCTGTCCAATTCTTCTAACTTCCTCATCTTCTCCTTACCAATCCCCTGGGGACAATAATTCTCAGTTTCCTCTGTATTCTCAGTTTATCAATTTTTCCTGTTCTAGCGCTGGATTACAACTGCTGGTCTCCCTGCCTGCCTTCCCTGCTTCCCAGAGCACGAAGAAGCTTGCCTCCGCAACCCACTATTTGTGTGACCTTGGTCCAGGAACTGGACTGGGCTCTCCTCCTGAAAGTGGGTAAATAATGTCACCGACCTAATGAGGCTGTTGAGGCATGGAATCTGATCAGGCAGATAAAGTGCCCCTGGCAAACCTCAATTTTCTGTTTCTCAACAAAGCTTTGGCGACTTATAAGAATTTGCGGGAAAGTGTCCAGAACCCGGAGTCAGGAGCCCTGACTTCTAGCCCTGAAGGGCCGCGTGACCTTGGCCAAAGCCCCTAATCCTTCTCAGTCTCAGATCCGGGGGCTGGAAACTGAGGAGGTTCTCCCGGCAAGCCCCTCGGGCTAGTGACATTCTAAGATTCCAAGAGCTAAGGAGCTAGAGGGGTGGGGTGGAGGAGGGAGGCGGGCGCGCCGGATTGGCCTCTGCGCGCCACGTGTCCGGCTCGGAGCCCACGGCTGTCCTCCCGGTCCGCCCCGCGCTGCGGTTGCTGCTGGGCTAACGGGCTCCGATCCAGCGAGCGCTGCGTCCTCGAGTCCCTGCGCCCGTGCGTCCGTCTGCGACCCGAGGCCTCCGCTGCGCGGTGAGTGGGCTGAGGCTGGAGAGGGGAGTCGCTCTGGGAACCCCTTCCCGGGGGCTGCAGGGACACAAGAAATAAGCGCCCAGTCATCGGCTGATGGGTACCCCCCGCCAGGAGCAGGGACGGGAGGGCGCGGTAACCCGAGAGTGTCGCAGACTGGGTGTGTCTGGGGAGCGCAGCGGAGCAAATCTGGGGTCGGGGCGGAGAGGCGCGGGCGGAGGGCGCCCTGGCTAGGGGGAGGGGAGGGAGTCCCGTTGCTGCAGAGGGTCTGGTTGAGGGTCCTGGGCGCCGGAGCTGAGCCAGGGGCTGGTCCTGCCGGCCTTAATTTGGGGGGGCTCAAGAGACTTTGAAGGTCCGGGGTTGGGGTCAGCTGGACGCCAGTCAAAGGACCCGCAGAGAAGGGTGTGGCTGAGGCCCAAGACTGAGAGCAAGAGCGTTGGACCCTCCAGCTGCTTATAAAATGGCTTGTGTGTGGTGTCGGGGGAGGGCTGCCTGCGTGCAGAGAGCTGAACGTCCGGTCGTACATACCTCAGGGCCTCATTGGACCCCATCCCCTTTGGGCCACTGCTTGTCTATGAATGCAGTCTCCCAACGGGGCTCCGAGGCCTCCTATGGTGAGGCAGGGGCACTACCCTTCTTTCTGCATCCCCTAAGCGGTCTAGGCCTTCCCAAAGTTTGGGGGCTTCAAATAATTCCCCATATACCAGCATGGGAGCAAAATACCCTGAATCGGAATCCCAGCCCCTGTTGCAGTGTGACTTTGGGCGGTGGCTTTCCCTCTCTGAGCCTGGATTTCCTTCTCCAAGTCCATAGTTGAGAAACCCAGTCTCTTTCAAAGGAAACAATGGCTTTGAAAACTGATTTATTTGTCAGCTGTATGGAATGATTGCAGGTTTGGGAGTCTTGATTATAGATTTGGGAAGCCTGGCACAACCCTTGTAGGCCCTACAAGGGGAAAGGGCAGGAGGTCCTTTGGGACAACTAATCTGGCCACGGCTTCCTGCCTCCTCCTTCCTTTCCCTAGATTCTAGTGGGTCTTCTCTGACAATTCCAAATTTGGACATATGGCTCCCGGGTTTGTGAAAGGACTCTGGTTTCCCCCCAAGAGTCCGCCCTTTTCCCTCCATTATTCCTTCCCCCTTGCCCAAAACATGCTTGGGATTGCTTCCACTGACCCAGATGGCATATCCTGACCTGCGTAGCCCTTCATGGTGAAGTGAATGACCGCCCCAGTTTCAGCCCCTGTGGACCCTGACCTCCTAGCAGGCAGGCCCTGAGCCACGCCGAGGGCACTGGCCTGGGGTCAGAGGAAAGCCCGGTTACAGTCCGGATGTGCTGGGACTTCTTGAGCAAGCCCTTTCTCTAAGGCTTTGTGCCCCATCTGGAGCAAAGTCTGCTGAACTGGCTGCCACTGCCAGTGCAGACATTCTAGGATTCAACTGTTCTAAGATTTAGGATTCTGGGAGTTGGATGGGACTGGGGAGGGCAGGAGGCAGAGGCTTTCATCCCCCTCTGCAGCTGTGACAATCACTCATCCATCTTTCTTTGCCTTATCTACCCTTTGTTCCTAAGGCAGCATCTGCTGAGATACAGAAAATACTTGCAGTTTCTGGATAAGGGCCACAGCTGTTGCTGGGGCAAAATGTAGATGTGAGTGTGCAGAGGAGGGGCCAGGGAAGCCCAAGGCCTGGCCTCTTGAGACTGACTCCTGGGATGAAGTGGGGGAGACTGCAGTGCTGGATAGCTGCCAGTGACTGGCACATCCGCACTGCAGCATCCAGAGGGAGCCCTGGGCCACCAGGATCCAGCCTCGGACCCAGCCCCTGCCCTGCCACTAATCAGCTAGGCGCCCTGGGCACACCTACTACCCCTCTGGGGCTTAGCCCCTTCCTCTCTACAGGGATAGGACATATACCCAGGACACCCCACTGGTATTAATAAAATGGGTTGGGTCTGAATGGCTTTTGCTCTACCATTCTAGGATTTTCTGGGGAGGCCCAGTGGAATCACCAGCCTCACCCCACCCAGCCTCTCCGATATACTTCCTGGGTGGCGACAAAGCACAGGATGTGGTCTCTACCGTGATTCCTGAGCATGCATGCACCCCTTCTCCTGCCAATAGAGGGGAGGAAGTCGGAGGGGTGTCTTTATGCCTATAAACTTGCCTTGGAATCCAGCCTCACTCCCTTTCCTCCTGGAGTTGAGAAGCCCCCACAGAGACTGGCTATGGGGGAGTGACTGTCTATAGGTTCCTTGGATGTCCTGCCTATCTGCAAAATGAGAATGAGATCGATACCTTCATGAGGCTGTAAGATGGCAGATATAAAAGTGCTGTGTTATCTCAAAAGGGTGTGGTGCTTGAGAAGGCAGGCGACCTGAGCCTCAAGTTCCTCTTCTGAAAAATCCATGTCCTGGTGGTCCTTAAATAATAGCAATAAAATGGTAACCACTATTACCTCTCGAACCCTTAAATTTGCCAGGCCCCGGCTGAAGCCTTGCTATGTTAGACGCTGTTATTAATGCCTATTTTGCAGACATGGAAACTCCAGCCCTTAACAGTTTAAGGAAGAAATAATAATGACAAATGCTTATAAAATATAGTGCTTCCTGTGTGCCAGGTCCTCTTCTAAGCTCTAGACTTGTCTTAATTTTTTTTATCCTCATCATAACTCCTATGAGGGAGGTGCTATTTTTATCCCTTTTTTTTTTTTTTAATATGAAACAGGCACAGAGAGGCTCAATACTTGCACAACACCACACAGCTACTAAATATCACCCTCAGGCTTCAATCTCAGGCAGTCTGGCTCCAGCATCTATACTGTGAGACACTACTTTGCTGCCTCTCACAAAAGTGACCCAAGCTGGGGTTCAAACCTAGGCTAGACTAGTTCCAATCCTGAGGCAGAGAGATGATCTCCTGAGGCCTTGTCCAGTCCTAGGATCAATGGTTCTGGGTCAGGAGAGGAAAAGACACTGCTCCCTAAGAAACCCCAGTCGTCAAGCTGGGGGGTGTGCCCACGCACAGAGCCAGGGAAGGCATTTACCCCAGCTTCATCAGAATCAAGGCTCCTGGAGGGTTATGGAGCGGGTCCTGGGTGTCTTCCTGCAGACCGGGGGAGAAGCCAGCAAGAAAGGGCAAAGAGGGAAGGATCTAGATTTTATAGGCCAGGGGCCTTCTAAGTGGGATGGATATACCCCAGGACGCACTGAAGATGATCTTTTGGGGGTACAGGAAGAAACTATTGGACTCCTTATTAAATGTACTTTTAATGTCATATTTTAAAGGTATATTTCTGTTTATCATGGTAAATACTCAATTTTTCTTTGGTTATGGGTTGTGTATGGGATCAATATATATATATATATATATATATATATATATATATACTGCAAACTGCCATATGACATCACCTTATCACCAGCTTTGTGGGGCCAGGAGCCTTGTCTGTCTCATTTTCTGTTCAACCCCCAACTTCTACCAGTGGGCCTGGTTTGTAGGAGGTGCTCAAATAAATGTTTATGGAAAAACACGCCCCTGCTTGATGACTGATTTTCTTCTGATGTTGGGTAAGTGACTTAACCTCTCTAGTTTATCTCCTGGCTATAGAAAGAGGAGTAAAGCACAGTTTGAAAACCAATAGTAGATGGTTCCATTTGCTGAGGTCACTAAAGAAAGCATGAAAGCCACTTAGTGCATTTTACCCCCAACCATCCATAGGAGCCACGCCCTATGGGAGGGGGTGCAGGAAAGAGGCATATGCAGTAATTTTCTAAAAAGTGTAAAATTATGACTCATGCAGATACAAAAATGATCATGTGCTGTTCTACTTATTAATCAATGACCACACCAGGCCGATGTTATAACCAGCTCAAAAGACACATTTGTATTGAAAGAAATGTGCAATTAGAGACAAAACTCTTTTTTTACCTGAGGGGGTGGGAAATCAATTGGACCTTTACAAAATAGGGCAAGGAGTATGTATTAGAATTACTTTGTGTTACCATCAATTATTTGCAACTTACTGACCTGTAAAATCACTCAAAGACAATGAAAGTCTCGAGTCAGACAACCTGGAGGGTTTTCCTTTGAAGTACAGATTCTTTCCCATAATACCTTGGAGGCTGGCAGCCCTTATCTAATGGAGAAATGATAAATCCACAGTGGTTGACCAAAGCCAGTCAAATCAAGGTGGTTTCAGAGCACCCTAGCGGGGGAATACCTTCTGGCTTGTTAGAAAAGGCGGCATTTGAATCCAGCAGATAACAGTGGTTCTCAGCCTCCTTGGCTGCCATTAAAATCACCTAGGAAAGTTTTTAGAAATTACCAAAGGCCAGGCCTCACCCCAGCAGTTGAGTCAGAATCTCTAAGGGCTGACCTTAAATCTTTGGTAGTTTTGAAAAATTCCCCAGGTTCTGTTAGTGAAGCTAGAATTGAAAAGCACTGGTATAGATTCTGGAAAGCTGGATTAAAAATGTTGGTGGAAGGCGTTCCTGGTTTAGCAGGGAAGACAGGGCAAAGAGGAAAGTGGTGATGGCAAAGAAGTCAGTAAGGAGAACCAATGGCCTCGACTGCTGAGCTTAGAGGCCCAGTATTAAGGGGCACCATTGGAGACTTGTGAGCAGAGGAGTGCTGTGGCTCAGGCTGTAGCCCCTCAGGCACTCCCCTGAGGCAGAGGTCTGGGTGGGTTTTTTTGCATGATTTTCCATATTATTTCTTTTTTCTCAAATCACCCTCCCACCACACCTGGTTTCACCCCCTTACGCTCAACATCTCCTTTCCCTCAAAAGTGTACTCTGTTCCTCCACAGCCCAAGCTACCTTTCGATGACAGAAATGCTTTTTCTTACCCTGGTGTTACTATTCTTCCTGGCATGCCCCTGCCTCCATTCCATTGAATCCAGATTTTGACTGTGCACCTCTATCAGCCTGCACCCCTAATATTTTCTTTAACTTTATACATGTATAACAAATAAAAATGGGACATAAAAGGGCAAGATTAAAACATTTGGAAAGTGGTGATACTCTTGTCCTGCACCCCAGTGGATTGTCATACCCATTACCCCTTTTTGGAGACTACTGCTGTAATAATGATGATTGTGGCAACAGAAGTCACCGTTTGTTAAACATTTAATCTGTACCTGGCCATGCTAAGTGTTTTACCTGCCTTATTTCATTGAATCTTCACAAAAACCTTACAAGAGGGTCATTTCAGGATGAAGAAACTGAGGCAGAGAAATTCCATAACTTGCCCAAGTTACTGAGCTCGGAATTTGCATGGTCAGGATTTGAACTTGGGCATCGACCACAAATCCTGCATTGATTCTAATGCCACATTGCCTCCATTGTAAATGTTTGGGCTTATTATAATAAAAGCCACCATTTATTGAGCCTTTACTGTGTGCCACGCACTGTGCTAAGTGTTTTCCCCCCGTTACTTCATTTATTTCTCAGTACCTATAGGTATTTCTATCTGCATTTTGCGGATGTGGAAATTGAGATTCAGTTTAAGTAACTTACTTACATCACAAACTGCTGGGCAACATCTGTGCCTGAAGGCCCATGCCTTCACATGACTTGGATAAAACCCTTCCCCTATCCACATCTCTGTGGTTGGGCAGTGGTGAGCCGTTCCTTCTAGAGTCAGCCTGGAACTCTCGAAGGGGAAGGAGGAAAACGTGATTGATTGCAGGCAAAAGGATGAGGCAAGGGGTGGCCACAGCAGCACAAAGCCACCCAGGCCATTCATTCTGCTCCTGTGTGGGTTTCACGAATGATCAGTCATGATAAGTCGTCACAGTATATCTCATCTAGATCTGAGAGAATCAGGGTTCCTGGGAGGAAAGAGGCACAGGTCTGGAATGACCCTGTTTACTAGTCTTGAACAGCTCTTTCAACCAAGGTGATGAATGTTGCATATTGGCGGGTGGAGATGGGGAGGAATCCTGTGGCCTGGGAGATGACCCTCCTAGGACTGATATTCTGCTGTGAAAATCCTGAGTTGAAGTCTCTAAAAGCCTCTAACTATAGATCCTACCAAAGAGGGAGTGATGTATTGTCCCACTTTAGAGATGAAGAAACTAAGGCTGAGAGAGGGATCTGGCTTGCCTGAGGTTACATGGGGGCAGACTGGGAACCAGAACCAGGGTCTTATTCTTTGGACTCTTCCTGGTGTCCCATTGCAGCCAAGACCCACAGTTGTGTGGGGACTTGTTATGATCGAGGGCTGCTAGGCAGAGATGTTGGCTGCTTCCTGGGCCCTGGCAAGTCACTTTCTCTTTCTGAGATGCCTTTACCCCGTCTAGAAAATGAGGGACTTGGAGTCATGGATTATTAAGGGCCCTTGTGGGATTCAGAAACACTAGATGTAAAATATTCAGCCAATTTGAGCAGTATGGTCTAGGTTGCTCTGGGAGGGATCAGAAGCCATCTTAAAGCCAGGGTAAATGGTGTGTTTATGATTAGCTCAGGAGCTTCCCAGAACCCTCAGAGGCGGGGCTGTGGAATCAGCAGGGGGACTGGCCCTCAGAACTGCAGTCTGAACATCTAGTTCTGGAAGGAGCTTGCTTTTTACATATGAACTGTGCACTCACACAAGGCACACAGAAACTGCTCTCAGAGCTGAGAATATTTTCCCAAACAGTAAGAGGCCCCTCCTTGAAGCCATCTCTCCTTGGAAAGGGGAGCTCCTCCAGATGGGCCTGGGCTGCAGCCAGCAGCTGAAATTGCCAGCAACAAGCCCAGAGGAAAGTGCTTCAAGGCTGGAGATGCAGGTGACAGGCCTCAGCCCTCCCTCTGTCTGTGTCAACTAACTTCCTGGGTCTCATTCAGTCCCTGGTTCTCTGCTAGCCTTGGGCTTCCTTCACTGTCTCCCCCTACTATCCCCCAGGTCAGAGGAAACCGAGAGCTGGCCTCCAGCCTCATCCCGGGGTAGATGTGGGCCCCCTCCTCCCCCCACCACACACTGGAAAGGGGGTACAGTTTCCATTTCCTGGTGAGAGCTGCACAGTTGTACCAAGGGGCCCCTGGTTGCCAGGGAAACAGCAAGGTTTCCTGAAGCTGAGCTGAGCTGAGCTGCATTTGCAGGCAGATCCGTCCTCTGCCTTCCACTCCCAACCCCATATGATGACTGTCCTCAGCTGACTGCAGCTTGGGGAACTCATAATCAGCCAGTGAAGACACAGAGGCAAACACGACAGAGGCCCTGTCCTCAACTTCCCACCAGCACAGTAAATATCACCATTTACTAAGAACAGGTCTTGTGCCTGGCCTCTTATGTGCTGCCTTTGACATAACTTAGGTCTTATCCTCCAACAACCCTACAAAGCAGAAAAGGGAAAGCTTCAGTTTTGTGCTTGAGATCACCTTGAACTCAAAAATGAGCAATAAGCCCACGGTCACATGGCTAAGATTTTCCCTAAGTCTTGGGGGAACAGGGAATATGTGGAGAACTGGAAGGCATTGAGCTGAAATGTCTCCATGATTTCTACTCTCCTAGTTCTGTTCCTTTTAGGTCTTACTGGGTAAATCTGATTGACTTTGTTATGTTTACTTTTTTTTTTTTTTTTGAGTCAGAGTCTCACTCTGTTGCCTAGCCTGGAGTGCAGTGGTGCCATCTCTGCTCACTGCAACCTCTGCCTCCCAGCTCAAGCGATTCACCTGCCTCGGCCTCCTGACTAGCTGGGACTACAGGCACACACCATCACACCTGGCTAATTTTTGTATTTTTTCGTAGAGACGGGGTTTCGCATGTTGGCCAGGCTGGTCTCAAACTTCTGGCCCCAGGTGGTCCTTGCCGCTTGGCCTCCCAAAGTGCTGGGATTACAGGCATGAGCCACTGCTCCTGGCCTCTGTTATGTTCACTTTTAAAAAGCAATACATAGACATTGTTAAAAGAGATCAGGCCAGGCTTGGTGGCTCACGCCTATAATCCCAGCACTTTGAGAGACTGAGGAGGGCAGATCACAAGGGCAGGAGTTCGAGACCAGCCTGGCCAACATGGTGAAACCCATCTCTACTAAAAATACGAAAATTAGCCAGGTGTGGTGCCGTGCACCTGTAATCCCAGCTACTCAGGAGGCTGAGGCAGGAGAATCGCTTGAACCCGGGAGGTGGAGGTTGCAGGGAGCTGAGATTGCGCCACTGCACTCCAGCCTGGGTAACAGAGCGAGACTCCATCTCAAAAAAAAGAGATCAAATTGCCCAGACCTGCTTAAAGTGGAAAGTAGTGGTCCTTTGTTTCTCTTCTCCTTCTCTTAAGAAGATTGTTAAACTTTCATCTGTTGCCCTCCTGAGTGCTCATTAGCCAGCTCCCTACCTGCTTCTCTTATACTTCCCAAATCAGTTACATCTCTTTTTGCATTTATTTTTACGTATCATATCTTTGTTCCTTCACTGTAGACCCTGTCTCCTGATATCCTCCACCCGCATTCCTTATCCATTTTCAATGAGATATGTGTCCTGTTTTCCTGTGTGTTCCTGTCTTTTTTTTTTTTTTTTTTTTTTTGAGACAGGGCTTGCCCTGTCACCCAGGCTGGAGTGCAGTGGTGCAACCTTGGCTCACTGCAGCCTCCACCTCCTGAGTTCAAGCAATCCTCTCGCCTCAGCCTCCCAAGTAGCTGGGACTATAGGCATGTGCCACCATGTCCAGCTATTTTTTTTTTATTTTTTTTTAATAGAGATCGGGTCTCACTATGTTACCTAGGCTGGTCTCGAACTCCTGGGCTCAAATTATCCTCCCACCTCAGCTTCCCAAAGTGCCAGAATTATAGGCATGAGCTACCACGACCAGCCTGAAAAATCCAGTCTTTACAGTGGCCTCAGGCACCGGTCTCAGATCCTACATCCTACCACACCACTCCCTGCTACCACACCAGCCACACTGAGCTCGTGGTGGTTCCTCACTTGCACCACCCCGCGGTGTGCCCCAGTCACACTCGTGAGATCCTCTGACCCCTCCACCTGGGACTACACCCCTTGTCACTTTCCTGACCAAGCCTTGTCTTTTCTCTGTAGTTCTTATCTCAGCCTGATGAGTGCATTTGTTATTCATTCCCATTACAGCATAAGCTCTAGAGAAACAGAATTTAAAAAATTGCTCATATTTCTGCATGCACAGTGCCCAGAGCAATGCCTGACTAGGATAGGCGCTAAATGAGTGCATACTCACTTGTTCAGGAATGACAGTCCTTCAGATATTGCAGCAGGTGGTTGGAAGCACTTTGAGTCCTATCTGCAGGCGGTCAAGCTCTGGGTTCTGAAGCCATCCTTGTTGACTTGAAAAGGGGGCATGCATGGTGCAGATAGTATAGACTCTGGGATCTAGAAATTGTTGAATTCAGTTCTAAGCTGTGTGATCTTGGCTCATTTATTGCGATGCTCCAGCCTCAGTTTCCTCTCTATAAAAAAGGAGAATCTGATGTGTGGAAGGATTTCTGAGAGTAGTAACTGAGACGGTGCTGAGACAGGTACCCTGCCTAGTGTGGAGGAGTCAAGGGGTCAGTGGTGGGTCAGTGCCATGCCCGCCCTCCCTTGGGGATCCGCGTCCCTTTCCCATACTGCTGTGAATGTCTGGACACCATCTAGTCTGTCCATTGTCTTCTGAAAAAAATGTGATTGGCCTTGAGCTGGGTCATTGGGTCTGATTTAACCTGAAGGGCTGGGGGCAGCTGGAAAACAGCAGAGGGAGGAAATGTAAGGGAAAGAAAGGGGATGGTTAGAGTTGGGGGGAATCTCACATGCTGTCTTTCTTCTCTACAGTGGATTCTGCTGCGAACCGGAGACCATGGCCAAACCAGCACAGGTAAGGGGCCTCTCTTTCCTGAAGGTGGTACTCAGCCTTCTCTGGGCCTGGGATCCTCCTGGAGCCACTAGGCCTGCTACAGAGACCCCTGGTACCTTCAGCTTGAAAAAAGGAGGAAAGGTTCTTAGGCTTTGCTTGCTCCTGTTACAAGTCATGGCTCTTCAGATGCAGGTCACCATAATGTAATATAACCCACAATATCCTAAGCAGAAAAGGATGTGTATTGGCTTATCTGACAGAGAGGCCCAGGGCTTCAGGTCTGGTTGAATCCAGGGGTTTCCAAATGATAGTGTCAAGATTCTGCCTGTGTGAGCTGGGCTTCTTCCGGTGGCTTCATTCTTGGGTAGGTTCTTCCTTGCATTGGCATGGTAGTCATCAGCAGCTCCAGGCTTCCATTCTGCTGTCTTGGCAGCCCAGGGAGAAAACAACATAACTCATGCCCAGTGATTCCAGGGGAAGGCCCAGGTCTGGTTCTCATTGGCTGTGCCTGAGTAACCTGTTCTTTCTTGGAGCAAGGAGGTGGAGTTGGTCCCACCTGAACTGTTTGGCCTGACGAAGGGAAATGGATACTTGACAGGTAGAAAGACATCCTTGTTGACTTCTCTGCTCTGGATATAGAAATGTTCTCTGTCACACCCATTTGGGATTGAATTTCCTTGGCTTGGGAGACTCTAACCTCAGTCTCTCATGTCTGACTGTTCTGCCGGGCAATAGAATTGGAGGCACCTGAGAACTTTTACTCCCATGTGGCTGAGACTAGGTTCTGGCCATGGTCAGAGGTAGGATTCTGACCTCGACTGTGCTCTGTTGAGGCTGGGCACGGTGACTCTCACCTATAATCCCAGCACTTTGGGAGGCTGAAGTGAGCAGATCACTTGAGCGCAGGATTTCGACACCAGCCTGGACAATATGGCAGAACCCTGTCTCTAGAAAAAATACAAAGGTGGCATGTACTTGTAGTCCCAGCTGCTTAGGAGGCTAAGGTGGGAAACTCACCTGATCCCAGGAGATTGAGGCTGTGATGAGCTGAGATCATGCCACTGCACTCCAGCCTGGGCTACAGAGCAAGTCTCAAAAAACAAAAAACCCCACTCTACTCTGTTGGGGTTTGCCTGAGGGTGCTGTCTGTTGGCTGGCGTTGGAGAAAGCCATGCAGTCAGTGTGACGATGGGATTGGCAGGGAGAAGAAACTTGGGGATCTTGAAGAAAATCATGGGACTGGGCCCCGTTGTCCCTTACTCCAACCCAGAACTACTGGCCACAGAATGCACAGACAGAAGCTGTCTGTGAGGTCTTTGGGCCTCATGTTCCCCTTACGGAATGGTTGAATTCAGTAATAATAAAACTCCATCCATCCTTGACATCATGACTGCCCCCAGTGAACCTGGGCTTATAGGATATTCACAGTTTCTGAAGAGCACAGGATGTTATAGGATCAGTACCCTCAGAGAAGTCCTAGCTGTGGCCTTCCTCACAGCCACTGAGGAGTATACTGTGTGTACAAGTGGCCTCTCTGACCAGGAGGAGAAAATGTTACTGATTATGGGCAAAAATCCAAGGTGGAACTTTCACTGTTCCCCATTTCCTATGTGTAGTCATACTAGAGCTACTTCCTGAAAGGCATTTGAACTGCAGGATTCTAGATGATCCAAGTGGACAGGCCAGGCCCTGGAAGATCAGAGAGGCCAGGACCTAGGGTGCAGATCTTTGGACCTTGGTCCAGTGCTCCTGGGCCATGCCTTCTGCCTGGCTGATCTGTGGTTTCTTGTTGCCATGGACTAGGGTTCAGTAGACCTCCTGCAAGTGAGTCCCAGGGTGGCAGGGCCTTAGGGAACCCTCCTCCTATGGGATGAGTTGGCACCCTCCATGCACAGTGTTCTGGTGGGGCAGTAAAGGAGCTCTGGGGCATGCAGGAGGGCACCCCACCTAGGTTGAGGAGAGAGGGGAGGCTGCCTAGGGAGAGCTACTCAGGGGAGGAACAAGGGGGCTCAGAGTGGTCTAGGCAGGGACAACTGGGACAGAGGCTAGAAGGAGAGCAAATGCAGCGTGCTCAGGGGAGTAAAAGTAATTTGGTATGCTTGGGGTGCAGTGGTTTGGGGGAGAGGTGAGGGTTGCAGAAGACAATAACAGAGAAATGTGAAAAAAGCCTCCCTGCCGTTGAGCTGCAGTTGTTCCTTCCAGTTATTAGCTCGGCTTTCAATTATTAGCTTGAATCTGGTGTCCTCCAAAACTCCAACACACGCACACATGCATGCATGTATACACACGTGTGCATGCACACAGCAAACTGCTCCGTCTTCTCTGGCCTAGACACCCCCCAGTTCCTTCCACTGTGGTTATTGTGCTGTTCTCCCTATCTCTCCTTTTGGAAGAGGAGAACTTGAGGCCCAAAGACATGAAGAAGTAGGATGGTGCCATGGAAGACCCAGGAGGCATGGCGCTGTGGCCTCCATTTCACAGGGACGTTCTGGGTTTGAATGCAATAATGAACATAAAAACACCTTGAGGACAGGGCAGGATAGGCAGGTGCTTGTGCCTGGGACTTCTAGGAGCTGTGGAGGTGAGACCTAGGTCAGCACCGGCCAAGGCAGCTCTCAGCTGGAGTCCTGGCCATGTACCTGTCTCTCTGGGGACATCATCTCTGCTCCCAAGAGGCCACTAGGACTCCTGCTCCAGCAGCAGCCTGGGTGGGGCCCAGCCCCACAGAGCCCCAGGGCCCGGCTGCTCACCAGCTGGCACCAGGACCTGCTGAATATTTCAGGGTGGAAAGTCCCTTCTCTGCTGTCCCCTGCCTTGATCCTGGGTTCCCGCAGCCGGGAACCTGTCTGCCGGAGGTGTGACAGGCAGTCAGGGTGGGGTGGGTGAGGAGAAGCCTGTGTGGTTGCACAGGTGGCGCTTAGAGATGCAGAATTCATGAAGTTGGTGTGAGAATGACACGGTGGGAAGCCTGGGCCTGGATGATTTGAGGGGCTGTCTCTGTATCTCCAAATGTGACTAGTGCTAAGCCCCCCACCTTTGCTTCTAGTGGCTATGATCCTGTGGGGTCCCAGGACAACTAATCTAGTAGGTCATCACTTGGAAGGTCTTATTAGTCCCGTGCAAAGAACTGTGCAGGAGCCCGAGCTTGCTGCTCAAGAAGCTTGTCTCTAAGTGAGCGTTTGGATCAAGGCTTGTGTAGGTCATTAAGCACCCTTCCCCCAGCATGGCACTTCAGCCCCTTCTCCAGACACTGCTGTGACCACCCACATTGTATGAGGGGGAGAACAGTGGAGGGGGAGGAGCAGCAATAGGAAATTGGGGTCTGCGTGCTGCCTCATCCTCCGCCCTTCATCCTGGGGACATGCTTCCCTCTTCTCCGCATCCCTTCCCGGCAGCTTACAATCCCATGACTTTAGCGACTTTGGGCATCTAACTGTGAGCTCTGAAGAATCAGACTCTATCTTAAGTACTTGTCACCGCCCACACACCCCTGCCCCAGCAGACAAGTTAAAATAGTTTCTAGATCCCACATATCAACCAGACAGGTATTTGTATGAAATACCTGTCACATGAACCATATGAAATCTGCTGCTATTTGACTGTTTTTAATCTACATACAAGGCAAGTTACATGGCTCAACGTAGTAAAGAATGCCAGATACTAGGGACAGGGTTGTGAGTGGTCAGCTGAGTTTAATGGGTAAGGAAAACCACACTAGGATGTTAGAGTCTTGCCCTTACCCAGGTCCTGACTTAGGTGTTGTGCCCAGGCCAGCCCAGCAGGGCTAGAGCTGCCCTTACAAGAGTCTGAATTGTTTATCCCCATCATCTTCTCCAGCCTCATCTCTTTGCCTTCCCCGCTTCTAGTGGATGATCTTAGTGACAGCCAGCATCTGCTCTGAGCCCTGCAGACTCTGGGCTGGCTTTCCCGAATGCCCCTTGCTTCCCTCCAGGTCTTTGTCATGTGTCTCCTCTGTGTGATGCCTTCTTCCTCTTCGCCTTCCCCTCCCTACTCTACTCCTTGGGGCCAGCCTGTTGCTCATCCCTCAGGACTCAGCTTAGACGTCACCTCCAGAAAGCCTTCTCTGATCTGCTTGGAATATATTCGCAGTCATTCATCCATCCATTTATGAAACATATTCAGTGAGTGCTTGATTGCTCCAGGCCCTGTACTTGGTGCTAGAAATGCGTCAGTGAGCAAGAGAGACACAGTCCCTGCCCTCCCGGAACTTCGAAAGGAAATATTTCCTGGGTCCCATGCTGCCCTTAGCATCGTATCTGCCACACTGTCTTGTAGTTGAAGCTGTCATGTATCTCTACCAGATTCTGAGTTCTTAGTGGTCCCTGGTCCTAAGCATCTACTTAGTAGACTCTCAGTAAATGTTGCTTGCTTGCTTGATTGAATGAATGAATGGTAGGGTAGCCCTAGCTGCCCTGGAATTGTGAGTATCTGAATGTGAGAAGCACTTAGGATGCTGTGGATTGGACAGCATTGCTGCCTTTTTATAGCCTTGAATATAGGGTCGAAATGGCATAGAGGCAAACAGCACAGGGCAATAACTCAAATGCTTCAGTATTCAAGGAGAGGGGCAGGCTGGCATGGTTGACCAGGAGGAAGCAGTGGGCTATGTGGTGGTTGTCCCTTCTTATCTCCAGCTCCCACCCAGATGGAATCTGAGGGGAAGGGAGAGATGGTCTGTTAGAAAGAGCCTTGGATTCCCTTCCCAGCTGGGCCTCTGACTTGCTGTGTGGTCTTGACATGTCACCTGCCCTCTCTGTTCTGGGTCTTCTGGGACACAAGTGGTAATAGACCTACCTTCCTCATTTAGTTCTCAGCTTGTGGTTCTCAAAGTCCTTTCCCTCTCTTATTCCAAGTGAGCCGTGGGAGGGACATCCTATGACTGAAGTGGATTGGAGACTGGTGCTGCTGTGGATTAGGACAGGTTGGTCAGACAGGTGGAAGGAAAAACAGCCATGAATCATGGCAACAGGCTAGCCTGCAGAGGGCCCGGACAGACCCTGGAGGACCTGCCCCTGGTGGCATCTTTCAAAGCTTAATATTTCCACACTGGTCCCAGGAGGTCCTGACATTGGAGACAGCATTGCTAGGGATCCAGTGCCAGGGAGGTCTCCCTTCACTGTCTTCCCCTTCGGCGTCCTCCATCTCAGAGCTTGGGCCGTCATGGGTGTCTCCATCCATTCATTTAGCCCAGTCACAGTTACTTCCAGCCTGTATGCCAAGCCTGTGCTAGAGCTGGGGCTCCACGGTTCTTCTTAGGCAGAATGATTTGTCTTATTCACGACAGTCTCCATTCTCCATGGACTCAATAACTGAGTGGGAAGCTGAACTAAAAGGTCTTTAAGGATCGTTGCAAAGAAATAATTTTGAGCCTCTGAACCTTCTTGTTTCCTTTTTTTTTTTTTGAGACAGAGTCAGTCTCATTCTGTCGCCCAGGCTGGAATGCAGTGATGCGATCTGAGCTCACTACAACCTCTGCCTCCCAGGTTCAAGTGATTCTCCTGACCCAGCCTCCTGAGTAGCTGAGATTACAGGTGCCTGCCACCATGCCTGGCTAATTTTTGTATTTTTAGCTGAAACAGGGTTTCATTACATTGGCCAGGCTGGTCTCTGACTCCCTACCTCAAGTGGTCTCCCGTCTAGCCTCCCAAAGTGCTGGGATTACAGGCATGAGCCACTGTGCCCAGGCACCTCTTGTTTCTCCATCCATCCTAGTAGCTAATATTGCCTGCTGTGCTTTTTTGATATCGCTGGACTGGAGGTGTCCAGAAAGAAAGAGAAAAGGATTTAGAAGTGAAATTCCTGGAGGACCCCAGTTGTTTCGTGTTCTTGTTCATTTTATTCATGTGGCAAATACTTGAGTATTTGGTCAATCTCTGTGCAGTGGGCAGATGGATCTGGTATCTGCTCTCAGAGGTTTCTGGATCAAACTGCCCACCGGGGTGGAGAAGGCAGCAGGAATTTCTCAAGCTCCGGCCGTGAGGTCTGAAGTAAGGCCAAGGGGAGCGCTGGCAGTAAAGCCCCCATCCTGCGCTCACTGAGCTCCTTGCAAGGCGCCCTGCTCTGGGTATTCGGCATGTGTTACTCTTTAAGTCTCTGCCCAGGGGCGTGATCAGGTTGCAGGGGATTCCCAGGTGGCAGGAAGAGAGCTGTGTTCCTTTCTGGTCAGAACTTTAAATAGTAACTCCACGCCGACGCATGCATACCTCAGAGGAGCCAGCCTCTGCAGACAGAGACCAGAGAGCATCCAGAGGCCTGGCCGGGGTCCTGCAGTGCAGACGTTGGGAGGCACGGAGACGGGGAGAGGGGGAGGCGGTCCAGGACTCACTCTGCTCCACCTCTGACTCCTTGAAGGCAAGATCTGTGTGGCCCACCCTCCATTCCCTCTTTTTTGGATTCTTTCCTGATTTCCCGCAGCTGGATCAGCCTCTGCTGTTTTCCCACATTACCTTATTTTTGTCTTAATGTATTTACTACAAGCTTTATAGTAATTGATGTGCTTGTCTGTCTCTGCCACTGGGCCAGGAGCTCGTGAAAGACAGGAATTGGGTCCCCTTTCTCCCCAATTCCTCAGCCATTAGTGTAGGGCCTAGCACAAATGAAGTGCCTTGTCACTGTGCTGTGTGCTCGGTGACAGGCTCTGGCATCCTCCACTCTGCCAGCTCTCAGCTGCTCTCCCAGACCCCCCACTTTTCAGTGCCATGTAACTGACCCACATCTGACTTCTCTGTGAACCAGTCCCATTGTGCATTCAGGTTCAGGTTCGATGTCTAAGATCCCCTGGCTCTCTGCCGCTTCTCTCCTTCCCCTCAAAGACCAAGCCAGCTTGTCCTCAGATGCCAGTTCACAGCGCAGTTTACTGGGCCCAGAGGGGCAGTGCCTTGTCTTGGCATTGAAATGAGAGTGTCTCTGGGCCCCCTGTGCCCAGGACCCCACCCTCAGTAGCTGGCACCTGCAAGGTTCCTGGAGCTGGAGAGCAGAGCGGGGCTGGAGAGCAGAGGGAAAAGGTCTGAGTTCTGTGTGACCTCCCACAAGTGGCTCTTCTTTGGGCTTGGCTTCTGTGATAGAAATAATCTTAAGAGCGTCTACAAATGGCTACACTAATGACATTCACAGAGGTGAAAGTGTAAACATAAAATGCCATAAAAATATGAGGGGCTGGCTGGGTGCACTGGTTCATGCCTGTAATCCCAGCACTTTGGGAGGCCAATGTGGGAGGACTGCTTGAGGCCAGGCATTCAAAACTAGCCAGGGCAATAGAGTGAGACCCCATCTCTTAAAATATATATATATATATATATATATATATTTGACTCTTGCTATTCTTGCAGGGATCATTTTCATCTCCTATACTCAGCCAGGCTTTTTTACCCTCTCCTGGATGCTTTGGAAGGTGGTGCAGGGCTGCAGGCCTTGGCCAAGCCCCCCTCCCTTGGGGAAATGGCACTGTCCTTTGGGCGGGTTGCAGCAGGTGGTATGGGAAAGTCATCCACACCGCTCCCCAGGGTGTATGTGGCCAGCACTGGATTTTGCAGGGAAAGCAGCTCAGCCTGGACCAGGGTAGGCATCTGACCTGAGGTTGGGGCTGGGAGCTTGGTCTCAGTCCGGGGTTGGCAGCTCACCCTCTACTTTTTTCTCCACAGGGTGCCAAGTACCGGGGCTCCATCCATGACTTCCCAGGCTTTGACCCCAACCAGGATGCCGAGGCTCTGTACACTGCCATGAAGGGCTTTGGTGGGTGCCAGGCTTCATGGGAGCTTGAGGGGTATCCCCCAAAAGTAGACACAGCCCAGAGCCCTTCTGGTGGTGGTGGTAGGGTCTGTGAAATGGTGAAGTGCACTTATTCATTTTTTTGGTCTCCTCTTTTTATTAATTTTCATGATGTTATAATAAAATGTTTCAGAAAAAAAGTATAAAGAATAATAGAAATTTCACCCATAGATTTACCACCAAATTTAAGAACTAGTGCTTCATTAGCATAGTTGAAGTTTCCTTGGTAGATCCCCCTCCTGATAATGCCGCCCGCTGCCTTTGCCCAGAGGCAGCCACAATCCGAAGGTGGTGCTTATGTTCTTCTTTGTCTTGTGGTGGAAAGAACCCTGTACTGGGTGTTAGGATACCTGGGTTTTCTAAGCCAGGTTCATTGTGAGACCTTGGACAAGTTCTTGCCCCTCTCTGGGCCTTAATTTCCTGATTTGTGCAGTGAGGAGCTGGATCAGGGGCCTTCTGAGCACAGATATTGTGTGTGCTGTGTCCACTTTCAGTCGTGACTTAATAAATCCCCATGACCCTCTGCCCTGACACCAGCACCTGATGAGTGGAAGGCTCATGCTGAGGCCTGCAGGGAGCTACTAGGCCTGTGTCCAGGGAAGGAAGTGGCCCTGGTGGGCTTCCTGGAGGCAGGGTGGGTAGGATGATGATTGCTCTCCCCTATTCCAGGCAGTGACAAGGAGGCCATACTGGACATAATCACCTCACGGAGCAACAGGCAGAGGCAGGAGGTCTGCCAGAGCTACAAGTCCCTCTACGGCAAGGTAACCACAGCAACCGGAGGGCCCATGGGGTGCGGGTGGAAGAATGATTTCATTCACCTGTGTGCTCGTTCAGGTTATTTCCTGGATATGGCACTCCAGGTTAGCCTGTGGGCTGACACCTTACCCTGCTCTTTTTCTTCTCATCAGCTGGGCGTCTTTCAGCCTTTAATACACCCACAGCACCTGCTGTATGCTGGGCTCGTGCTAGGTGTTAGGGCTGCACTAGTGAATAAGATGGGTGAGGTGTCAACTCTGTGGACTGCCAGATAGTGAGAGAGATACACAGTAAACGAGGAAACAGACAGTGGTGGGGAAGTGGCACAGGGCTGTGGACCTGACCCTGCATAGCCGTTTGCTAGCAGCATGACATGGAGTAAGACCTCTGTTGTTTCTGAGCCTGTCTCTTAGGGTTGGTAACAGTACATACCTCCAAGGGTGATGATTTAATGAGATTACTTAGCCCAGCACCTGCCAGAGTAAGTGCTCATTAAGTGTAATTCTTACCGTTGTAACTACTCTTCCTCTTTCCTCTTCTATCTCCTCTTCTTCCCCACCTGCCAGGACCTCATTGCTGATTTAAAGTATGAATTGACGGGCAAGTTTGAACGGTTGATTGTGGGCCTGATGAGGCCACCTGCCTATTGTGATGCCAAAGAAATTAAAGATGCCATCTCGGTAAGAAGTGGGGGTGTATGTGGTGTTGGGGTGGGGATGTGGTTAATGGGAAGATTCTGGGCTCTTCCAAAAGCAACTGGTGAGCCCCATACCCACCCAGCACATGTGTCCTGCTTCAAAGACACATCTAAATTTATCCCAGAGGAGCATCCCGATCCGCACACAGAGAGATGCAGACAGATGTCAACATGATGCAGACCCCCTTACCAGGAGCTTGTAGTCCAAGGATACAGGTTATAGGGACATGGAGACAAATTGTGTCCAACACTCCTGAGGCCAAGGGCACACTAAAGGTAATCAACATGACCCTGGGCCAAGGGTTGTTTGAGAGGGCATCTTAAAGGATAATAGGATCAAGTTAAGCCCCAAAGCCCAGAGAGGATTTGGTGGATAGCAGTGTCAAGGTCATTGCAGGGTGTAAAAATGGCAGGAGAAGTTGTGGATCTGTGTTTAGGGTATGAAGAGTAGTTCAGCCCGGTTGAGGTAGAGGTAGAGAATTGCCCCCTAGGAAAAAGAGAGGCAAAGCCCTTTAAGTGTATCTAGCACTTTACAGTCTATAAAGTGCTATGATCTTTGTCTTCTATGAGCTATTAAGCATGAATTCATTTTATAAACTGATGCACTTAGCAATGTGAGATTATTATCTTCTCAATCTCCCTGTGAGTTTGGCAGAGCAACTAATATCATCTACATTTTACAGATGAGAAAACTGAGGCCCAAAAAGATAGTTTCTGAAGAGAATTCACAAAGCTGGAGGAGGCAGAACTAGAACCTTTGTGTTTTAGTCCATTCTCACATCGCTATAAAGAAACACCTGAGATTGGGTAATTTATAAAGAAAAGAGGTTGAATTGGCTCATGGTTCTGCAGGCTGAACAGGAAGCATTGTGGCTTCTGCTTCCGGGGAGGCCTCAAGAAGCTTCCAGTCTTGGCAGAAGGCAAAGAGGGAGCAGGCATCTCACATGGTGGGAGCAGGAGCAAGGCGGGAGGTGGGGAAGTGCTACATACTTTTAAACAACCAGATCTCACAAGAACTTACGATCGTGAGAACAGTAGCAAGGAGATGGTGCTAACTATTCATGAGAAACCGCCCCCATGATCCAACCACCTCCCACCAGGCCCCACTTCCAACATTCAGGTCTACGATTCGACATGAGATTTGGTGGGGAAACACATCCAAATCATATGACCATGTCTTATGAGTCTCAAGGCAGGAGTTCCCAATCAGTGCCTAAGAGCTGGGTAGGAACCTCCTGAGTCCTGGGGTGTCATAGCTCTGGCCACTCCCTGATCCCAACCTGTGTCCAGTGACCTCCCATCCCTGCCCTTAATTCATGCGCTCTTTTTCTACCCCCAGGGCATTGGCACTGATGAGAAGTGCCTCATTGAGATCTTGGCTTCCCGGACCAATGAGCAGATGCACCAGCTGGTGGCAGCATACAAAGATGGTGAGATGGGCAGGAGGGGCCGCTTAGGATCTTCAGATACAAAATGAGGATGATTGCAACAGTGGGGACACTAAGATTCTAGCCATCTACCTTCTCTCCTCCTTTCCTCTGATCCATTTGTCCACCCATTTATCTACCCAATAAGTACTTGCTCTGTGCTGGGTGATGTGCTAGGTTCTCGGGATAAAACCAAAGGGGTCCCTCTCTCTTAGGCCAATGAGATAATGAGATAATGAAGGAGACACACAATAAACAGGTGAACAGATAAACACAGTGATGATGGATTTTAGCTAAGTGTTGTACAGGAAATAAGGTAACAAGAATCAAACTTTTACCAGTGAGGTCTTGGGAGGAAATGAGGAACCAATCGTATAAAGAATGGAGAGAAGATCCTTCCAACAGAGGTCACGGCAAGTGCAAAGGCCCTGAAATAGAAATGAGCCTGGTAGCCGGTACAAGGCTAGACAGGTAGAGGACAGGGCAGGATCACACAGGGCCTGCAGGCCAAGAGAGAGATGGTGTTTTATTCTGAGTCTAATGAGAAGTTGGGGAGTATGATGATCAGATATGGGTTTTAAGACAGCCATCCTTGTTGCCGTGGGTTGGAAAGGAATTGAGAATAGAGGAGGAGAGAACCATCGGAAAGCTGTAGCCACTGTCCAGGTGGGCCGTCATGGTATAGGTGGGCTAGAGAGAATGAACAGATTCCATTTCATCATATCATGGTCAGTACGAAGAGCTGTGAAAATATACCCTGGGTCTTGCCATGATGGACGTGTAGACTGGGTTTTGGAATTCTTAAAAATATCTGATCATTTTGGGGGCAGCAGGGCCCTTTATCCTAGATCCCTGAGGTCTCTGGGGATGAGACTAGAGCTTGCGTTCCTTTCTGCAGCCTACGAGCGGGACCTGGAGGCTGACATCATCGGCGACACCTCTGGCCACTTCCAGAAGATGCTTGTGGTCCTGCTCCAGGTTGGTTCACAGCCTATTTTTTTCCTCTGGAGCTTGGGATAGCTTTTGTCTGGCTCATCTGGGTGTAGATCTGAATGTCCAGGGTCTGGTCAGCTTCCCCTGGTTTGCACAGGCAGGTGTATTTGGCTAATCCTCTTTCTCTTTGGCACACAGTCCTCTCGTGCCCAGGAGTGTCTTCTGCTGTGATTTTCTTCCTCTCTCCACACTCGCTCCTCCCGCTCCTCTCTGGGCCTCCTTCCTGCCATTGCTTCTGCAGCTGCACATGCAGCATTTCTGGACCCCAGCATTCCTGTGGCTACTGTGTGGAGTCTCCCACATCCGAGCCTTATTGCCTCCTCACCGCCCGCCCAAAGTATATCACAAAGAGACTATTAGGAGGCTACAAATTGGTGTCTGTGGCTGAATTCAACCTGCCAAGTTGGATTTTTTGTTTGTTTTCCCATAAAATGTGTTTTAAGAAAGAAAGCAAAACAAGTTTGAGTTAGTTGCTAACATTTAAAAATTGTGAGATTTTGCTCAAAAACCAGATTTCTGGATTATTTTAATGTATTGAAAGTTGCGGTAGCAGCAGACCTGCATTCTGCACGACTGCAGTGGGCTGGAGAGCATATGCGTCCTGCCCGTTTCACCGTGAATGTTATCTACCTGGCTCTGTAGGTATCTCTGTGACCACAGGCACGATGGGAACAGGCATTGAGATGTCTCAAGCTCAGCTCCAAGGACCAAATGGTTATGAAACTTTATATATAAATTAAGCCACCACTATGTTTCCTCGTTCCCCCATTTCCCTTTTATACCAGCTCCTCCCAACTCTGTTCCTCTCATTGCCATAACAATCCCATATTAACCAGCTGGGGAATGATCAGGAGAAACCTCAGGAGTGGGACAGTGTGACCTGTGCCCCATTTTCAAAGCTGCTTGTTCTGGAGAGGAGTGTCCTATCCCTGTATCTTGGAGTCAAGCGTTTTGTATCCTCAAGGTTTGACACCAAGCAGCAGCGCGGCACACATTGTAAGCTTGCCAGCTCTGTCTTCTGCTCAGTCCCAAAGAGAACCCTGGGGGTTTGAGATCCTGGAATGCACAATCCAGGGGGAAGAGGGGATGGCCATAGACCTCTCCAGGCCACCTGCAGACCTCTGCCCACGTAAGAAGGAGTTGAGTACTGCTCGCCCCTCTTCCCTTTGTGCATCCTCCTATGTGTAAGCTTCCTCTATCAGATGAGGCAAAGGGCATGGGCAGAACAACAGAAGCACCATTAGGATTTGGTGACTTTGTAGCTTGTGAGCTCAGATCTTGGGACCTGAGTCCCAAATCCTTATTGGTGAATTCTTTAAGTTAAGGTATAAGAGCTCCTAATAGAATGCAAATGTTCAGATCCTTTGCCCCTGTGGAATCGTTGCTGGAGGAGTGTCATGGGCCATGCAGGATCTGTGGCAGGGACCCTCGAGAACCTGGGGCCCTGTCCTCAGAGAGGTCCTCAGGGCAAGGCTCTGCCTACCTCTGGGCTGGGGACACCTGGAAGAACCTTGGTTGTTCTTGGGACTCTCCTGTGTGGACCCAGCCCTGACGAGGAAGGGAAAGGCCAGAGGGAGGGTCCCTTTTGATTGGCTCACAAAATAGATACTGTGGTCTTCATGCAATAGCAGTCACTGCTTCTGGACACATCTGGGCCACCAGGGTTTTCCTGCTTTCCCTGTCTCCACCACTGGCATCCAGGCCTCCCTCCTGACTTTGCAGTGTTTGAAACACATGTTCTTTGTCTTTCTGCCCAGGGAACCAGGGAGGAGGATGACGTAGTGAGCGAGGACCTGGTACAACAGGATGTCCAGGTAAACAAGCACCACTGAAAGTCCCTGAGGCACAGCAGAAGAGCCTTGGGAGGGGAGAGGTTGGGGCCCTGGGAAGGGCTGGAGGTGAAGTCATTTGCATCAAATACCAGAAATAACCCAGCCACAGCTGTCATGTATACCGGTGCTTTGTTGAAGAAAAGATATAAGTTATCTTTCAAAGGTATATCCCATATGTAATATTGGTATATTGGTGAGGTGTACTTTGGAGCTTTCTTTATTCATTCAGTTTTTAGATATTATTGAAGTAAAATACCTAGCATGTGCTAGGCACTCTGCCAAGCATTTAGAAATCACTAATGAACAAAATCAAGTGGTACCGGGAGAGACAGGCATACATTAATCACACAAACACCTTCTCTATCAATATACTGTACATTGCAGGTGTTTTGAGTACCCAGTACATGCCAGCAGCACTACAGGGGCTGATACAGAGAATGCTATGACATAGTCCCTGTTGTTGAGGAGCTCATGCAATAGTGTGGAGATAGACAGGTGAAGAAATCATTATCATATACAGTAGATCAAAGTGATAAAGAAGTAGAAAGCTATGGGAGCCTAGGAGAGGGAGGAAAGGAGGGAAATAGAACTGTGCCTGGGGGCATCGGGAAGTACTTTGAGAAAAAAATGGAATACTTAATCTGGGCCTTGAAGGTTGAGTAGGAGTTTCTCCAGAAAGAAAGGAAGAAAGGCATATAGGTATAGTCATGTACCACATAATGGTGTTTTGGTTAATGATGGACCACATATATGATGCTAGTCCCATAAGATTATGGACCAGATATGTGATGCTAGTCCTATAAGATTATAACCCCATATTTTCACTGTGCCTTTTCTATGATTATTTATGTTTGGATACACAAATTCTTGCCATTGTGTTGCAGTTGCCTACAGTATTCGGTAAGATAACACGCTGAACAGGTAGGTGTGCCGCCTAGGAGCAATAGGCTATACCACGGAGTCTGGGTGTGTAGTAGGCTATGCCATCTAGGTGTGTGCGAGTGCTCTATGATCACACAATGGCAAAGTCGCCTAACAATGGCAGTTCTCAGAATGTATCCCCATCATTAAATGATGCATGACTGTTTTATTTGCAAAGGTCTTCAGGCTACCAATTACTCGTGTGTTCAGGGATCAGGCAGCAGTTCTGAGTGGCTTGGTCAGTGTGTCCTGTCTCCTGAGGTTTCCTCTTTCAGTCAAGTGCCACCTCTTCCCCTTCAGGACCTATACGAGGCAGGGGAACTGAAATGGGGAACAGATGAAGCCCAGTTCATTTACATCTTGGGAAATCGCAGCAAGCAGCATCTTCGGTTGGGTAAGCTCCAGAGAAGACCTGAAGCTGCTCCCTTGGGTTGATGCCAATAATGCCTTTCTTTATCTCTTTTCTTTTCTTTACCACTAATGGAACATGATACCTACTTCATTCCCAACCCAAACTTTAGTCCTGAGTTTATTAGGTTGGTGCAAAAGTAACTGCGGTTTTTGCCGTTTTTAAAGGAATGGCAAAAACCGCAATTACTTTTGCACCAACCTAATATCAGACAGCAGTTTGTATAGTCCCTCAGCAAAGTCATTAACAGGATGCTTGGCCTTCCATCTCAGTGCCAGTCCTGTCTCCATGTTAGGGGATGAGACACAGTCTCTCACCAGCTATGAAGCTCATCTGCACAGCGCTGGTGATGTGCGTGACCTCCCAGTCGCCTCCATCATAGCACCAGCCCTAGCTTCATGGTGGACAGTCGTCCTGGCCACTGTGCCCCCCTGCTCTTGAAGTCCTCATTTCTTCTCGGGGGTACAGAGGCACTCTCAAACCTCCCTGTCTCTCTGTCTGACGCAGTGTTCGATGAGTATCTGAAGACCACAGGGAAGCCGATTGAAGCCAGCATCCGAGGGGAGCTGTCTGGGGACTTTGAGAAGCTAATGCTGGCCGTAGGTATGTCCTGACGTTGCATTCCTGGGGGCTTTAGGGGATTCTGGAACACTGGCCTAGGAACAAGGGGCTGAGAATGGAAAGGGGAATTACATGGTATAGAATTGGGAAGGAGAAAACCATGTGGGCCGTGAATTCTAAAGGTTTCTCCAGGGCAGCATGGCTGAGGCTGGGGACGGGAAGGGGGTTTGAGCCTCAGGTACTGACTTCCTCCAGCTCCCTTCTCCACCACTGGCAGGGGGACAAAGAGCTCTGAACTTGGGTTGAGGATAATGATGATCATAATAGTTGACTTTTGTTGAGCATCTAGTGCATGCCAGGCACTGTGCTGAGTGTGTAATCTTTAAAAAAGACCCAGCAGTGGCCACTGCCATGATCTCTATTTCACAGATGAGGAAACTGAGTCTCACCAGGCTGATCATTTCCTGAGGGGTAGTTTTGTAATGAGTTGGGGGTACTGAGAACGTGAGGATGTGAGGAACTGGCTAGTCAGTGGTGGAGCCAAGATTCAAACCAGGGCTTCTCCCACATGGGCTTGGAGCAAGTCACTTCTGCTTGCTGGACCTCAGTTTCCTCATCTGTTAAGTGGGGTGCAGGGTGTGGGGGCAGGAAGGATGGACTGCCTTAATTGCCTCCCCAGAAGCCCTTCCAATTCTGGCATTCCAGCAGTTAGCATGTCTGAGTCAGGGATATGTTGTGTGTTTGTATTTCTTGGGGGAAACCTGCAGCTCCTTTATCGTCCCTCCCAGAGCCATCCCCTGCCCTCCCTGTTTGAAGTAGTCAGCCAGTGGGACTCACGGTGATTCAGTGGGATTCACAATGATTCAGCTGCCAGTACCTTTCTGGTGTAGCAGGTCTAAAAAACACCTTTTCCTCCTTCGCCCCAGACCCTACCCCCACCCCAGCTCAATTCCCTGTTAAAACCAAAAGGACTAGAAAGATAAAGGCGGTCTTTGTGATGGACTTCAAAAGGATTATTTCAACAAGATTATTTCCTGTTTATTCCCTGGGTGTGCGGTAAAAGTGGGTTGGTCTGGGGTGATCTGGGGCTGTGAGCTATCAGGAACGGTGGTTCTTCCTGTATTGAGCTAGGTGGCCCTCAAGGAATAGAAACAAAGAGGGAGTCAGGCCATCCCATCCCCCTTCTGAGGCAGCCAGAATAACTCTACCTCTTCCTCCCTCTTCACAGTGAAGTGTATCCGGAGCACCCCGGAATATTTTGCTGAAAGGCTCTTCAAGGCTATGAAGGTGCGTGGTGGGGCTGATGTGAATGGGGTTTGGGGAGAGGACTATTGGGAGTCTTTGACAAGTCCTTGGGATCCAGTGGCCAAAGAGAGCCCTTCAGGGATGGCCACAG
Source organism: Homo sapiens (assembly GCF_000001405.40). Classification (NCBI taxonomy): domain Eukaryota; kingdom Metazoa; phylum Chordata; class Mammalia; order Primates; family Hominidae; genus Homo; species Homo sapiens. Next base: position 151,131,121 of record NC_000005.10, on the reverse strand, counting down.
GACTGACCCTGGTGAAGGTGCTCTGTCGCAGGTGAGCTGTAGAGCCAGGAATGCTGCTGGTCACATGTCCTGCCACCTGCATACCTGCCTGACGTCATGAGTCAACAGATGAACTTAGGGTGGCAGCCTGCACCTGATCCCTCCAGCCAAATGGGTTGGCGGCTCGGACTTTGAAGAAGTATTAACCAGAATGTTTTTATACAGCGTATGTAGGCAAGACCACTTTGGCCTTGCCTGCTAAGACTCATGATGCTCACCCTGTGACAGTTCCACTCTGGGTGTGTTTCTGAGAAAGCTTCCCAGGCTTTTACACATATGACGCACAAAGAAACTGGTATTTTTGTGATGCACTGGAGGAAATGAATGCAGTTATTTGCTGCCAGAGGCCTGAGGCCCGAGACACAGGAGCTTGGGCCTTTCTGGCCCTGGTTGGCCATTCCGAAAGGACAAAGTAGACTGTCGGCCATTCTCTGCCCACCAGTGTGCCATAATGAGGTTGGGCAGCTCAGCCCTAGAGAGATGTTTGCCTGTATGCATGAATTCATTAAGAATGCCCATCACAAGGCTGAGTGCATGCAGTGGCTCACACCTATGATCCCAGCACTCTGGGAGGCCAAAGTGGGAGGATCACTTGAGGCCCAAAGTTCAAGACCAGCCTGGGCAACATAGTAAGACCCTTGTCTCTACAAAAATAACAAATAGAACTAGCCAGGGACTGTGGCACATACCTGTAGTCCTAACTACTCGGGAGGCTGAGGCAGGAGGATTTCTTGAGCACAGGGCCCCTGGGTTTGAGGCTTCAGTGAACGCAGTGCTATGTGATCACGCCACTGTACTCTAGCCTGGACAACAGAGTGAGACCCTGCCTCTTCAAAAAAAAAAGAAAAAGAAAAAAAAAACTTATAACAGTATTGCTTATATTAGGAAAAAGCTAGAAACAACCCAGTGACCATCAGGAATAGTACAGCAAAAACCTAAATGCACAGTGGTATATTTGCAGAGTTCCAAAATGTGTAAATCTAAGTGTATTGCTTAGAGTTACAAAGCTATGGTAAAATTATAAGGAAAATCAAGTGTGGAAATTATACATGAAGAGAGAAGAGGTTTATAACAGTGAGAGGGCCGGGCATGGTGGCTCATGTGTGTAATCGTAGCATTTTGGGAGGCCAAGGCAGCCCTTGAGGCCAGTTCAAGACCAGCCTGGCCAACATGGCAAAACCCCATCTCTACTAAAAATACAAAAATTAGCCAGGCGTAGTGGTGGGTACCTGTACTCCCAGCTGCTCAGGAAGCTGAGGCAGGAGAATTGCTTGAGTCTGGAAGGCAGAGGTTGTAGTGAGCTGAGATCGTACCACTGCACTCCAGCCTGGACAAGAGTGAGACACTGTCTCAGAAACAAACAAACAAACAAACAAACAAACAAAACAGTAAGAGGAGCATAGAGAGAGCTTCAATGGGAATGGCAATGTCTGCTTCTTTTGCTCTAAATTTTAACTTTTTATTATGAAAATAGGATTTTCAACTAAGCTGGGAGCTATCAGCACTCTAGCCTCCTCTCAAGTCCATGTTCCCCAAACCCACTTGTCTTGCAGGGCCTGGGGACTCGGGACAACACCCTGATCCGCATCATGGTCTCCCGTAGTGAGTTGGACATGCTCGACATTCGGGAGATCTTCCGGACCAAGTATGAGAAGTCCCTCTACAGCATGATCAAGGTCAGCAGAGCTCATGGGGGCAGAGAAGGGAGCAAAGAGCTTTTTGCCAAGACAGAGGGCTTGGGGACTATTCCCAGGAAAAGGAAATGTCCTAGGAAGTGGGAGTCTCTTGGACATTCCAGGAGCTCCTGCCTTGTGGCTCATTCAAGGAATTTAAGGATATTCAACAGAAAAGCAAGTGTTAGGGGTGTTTGTGAGTGGTAAGGCTACAGAAGGAGGCAGGGGCTGGGTCATGAAGGACACGCAAGCTGAATTAAGTGCGAGGACTCTGCCCCAAGGGCAGTGATAGTTCAGTCTCCTGGAAGAAGGCTGGGAAACACTGAAGAACACAAATGAGGGTTAAAGGGGAACCTTTGGCCTGGGCCGGGTGATTGGTGATGACTCTGGGACATCCGGCCCCTGAGGCTTTATCAGGAGACATATGTAAAGCTAGGGGTTTTCCCTTTTTTTTTTTTTTTTTGGATGACTGAAATAAAACTTTATGGGGTGACAGAGAAAGAGATCCAAGTTGTATTCTCCAAAGTATGTTTCCAAAGGGTAATTTTTTTAGGTGTTATGTGCAAAATGTTCTATGGGAAAATAAGTTTGTAACAAACCACAATAAGCAAAGATAAATAAGCCAGTTTCTTTACCTCAGAACTTCTCACAGCCTTTCACATTTTGAAGTCCATTATGAAGCCCCAAGAGGGATATGGAATATGCATCTATACGGATATGTGCATCTGTGTAATATATATTTGTTTGATTTTTTTGCATTTCCCAATATTTTTGCTCATGGAACCCCATTTCCATGCATATTTCATGTGGAAGGACTGGGCTGGGGACTGTCTGGTGGCAGTGCTGTGCTGGGGCACTGGCTTGAAAGGGCAGCGAGCATCTCTTCTCAACTCCGCATATTGGTAGCAAAGTCATATTGGTAACTTGAAATTGTCCATTGCTAGAAGTATTTACACCACAGAAATAGGCAAATGCTATAAATTAGGGCTTCCTCCAACCTGCCCGCTGAGAACCAGTTATTCAATATTAACCAGCACAGGAGGGCCAGGGCTGCTATGAATAAGTGTTCATTCAGCCTTCCCCTCTTTCAGGCTGTGCAGAACCTTCACCTCCTTGTCTGAGAGGAGCCCAGGGCTGGGTGAGAGGTAACCTTTCTTTCTTTCTCTTCAGAATGACACCTCTGGCGAGTACAAGAAGACTCTGCTGAAGCTGTCTGGGGGAGATGATGAGTAAGTGGCTTCTTGGCCCCTGGCTGGAGGGCATGGCCTTGGGGTGCCAGGCGGGGACTCTCCTGGCTCGCATCCTGATGGGTGGATTGGATGAGCTGGGGATTCCCCTGAGCCAGGAGCGTCGCACAAGTGAAAGGCGGCTTTTGCTGGTAGCTGCTGTGCTTGTGGGTCTGTGTGTCTGAGAGTGTGGGGGTCTGAACGTGAGCGTGGTCTCCTGTATATGGAGATGTCTGCTCTTGTGAACTTGGAAAGTCAGTCTGGGGTTGTGGACTAGGAACCAGAATATGAGCATCCAATCCCTGCTATTTCATAGCCATTTCTCGGTTTCATCACCTGTTAAATGGGAAAAGGACACATTCCTGCTCTGCCTACTCATTTATGCAGCATATTTGTGTTAAGTGCCTTCTGGGTGCAGACCCTGTGAGGAAGCCCCTGATGAAGGCCACAGCGCAGAAGGGTATAGACCAGTTTCCAGAAGGGAGCAGTCCTGTGCTGGGGAGAACTGGCTGTGCCACATAGAAAGCATATATAAAAGCACACAGAGATGCCCTAGCCCAGACCAAGGGGAGACTCTTTGGAGATACACGGTGAGACCCAAGGAGGAAGGGGAAGAGCCAGGTGAAGAGGGTCTGGGGACAGTGTTTGGGTGGAGGAAATCACCTATAGAAAAGCCGAGGAGTGAGAAGGAGTGGCCTGATTCATTCATATGTCCGAAGTCATGCATTTATGGAGTACTAGAGAGAGAAATAAGGCAGAGAAGTGGGAGGGCCTGGGGGCCTCTTCCCAGAATGTTAAATTGGGACATTACTTGACCAGATTTGTGTTTGAGAAAGGGAACAGGCTGCGCTCTGATTTCCTTTCTCTGGATCTTATAAAGATCCAATTACAGAAGGGATGCAAGAATTTCCTGTGAACCTTTGGTAAGGACCATAGGGGTTGATGCAGTTCAGCAGATATTACTGAGCTCCTGATGCATCCAGGCACTTTGCAGGAGGAGATGCAGGGCTGGCATGGCCATAGCTTGCTCAATGGCCTCTTTGAGAGGGGAGAGTTGGATAGAAGCCATTCAAATTCTAAGGAAGAAAGGGGAGGCTGAAGGATTGGAAAAATCCTATCCTGCTTGGACTCTGCAGCCAGGAAGGCTGCCCTTAAAAGCCAGCATTGGCCGGACACAGTGGCTCAGCGCCTGTAATCCCAGCACTTTGGGAGGCTGAGGCGGGCGGATCACCTGAGGTCAGGAGTTCAAGACCAGCCTGGCCAACATGGCGAAACCCCATCTCTACTAAAAATACAAGAATTAGCCAGGCGTGATGGCGGGTGCCTGTAATCCTAGCTACTTGGGAGACTGAGGCAGGAGAATCGCTTGAACCTGGGAGGCAGAGGTTGCAGTGAGCTGAGATCGAGCCACTGCACCCCAGCCTGGGTGACAAGAGCAAAACTCCGTCTCAAATAAAAATAAAAAATAAAAAAGGCAGCATTGCAGGGGGTCTCAAGAGATGGAAGGTTCTCAGAAATGGAGGGAGGACTCTGGCGAATGGAGGAGGCATAGGCTGGAGAGAAAGAAAGCTTAATGTGTGTGTGGTGTGTGCACGTGTGTGTATGTGTTGGGGTGTGTGTGTGTGTGTGTGTGTGTGTGTTGGTGTGAGTGTTGCCCATGATGACATTCCTTCCTGTCCTCTCCCTAAACCCCTCCATTCCAGTGCTGCTGGCCAGTTCTTCCCGGAGGCAGCGCAGGTGGCCTATCAGATGTGGGAACTTAGTGCAGTGGCCCGAGTAGAGGTCAGACCTTCCCCTCCTCCTGCTTGACCTCTTGACCACAGCTTCTCTGCTTGCACCTTCCTGCTGCTCTGGTTGGCACCCAGCTGCCCCCTGGCGGCCAACCCGACACGTTGATTCTCACATCTGAAGCTTCCTTTTCTCCCTTGGAGTGGTGAACTGGTGGAGGGGCGCACCTGGTTTCTGCATTAGCTTCTGACACGCTGGAAAGGGTTCTGGCCCACTTACTAACAGGGCTTGCTGAAATGGAGACCTGGCTGGTTCCATGGAGGGGCCTGTCCCGTCTGGAGTCGAAACAGTTGGCCTCAGAGACATGAAAGCTGAGAACAGATGGGCATCCCTGGGTGCACTGGAGGATTTCAGGTTGTCCTCCTGAGCATCCTCAGACTGGGGGTCCACAAAGGACAGGAATGAAAGGTTTCACTAAAGTACTTTAGGCAAACCATTCCAGAGACTGCAACACTTGGTCCACACAAAAAAGCATGGGACCTTGGAGCTCTCTGTTACTTATTCGCTATGTAACCTTTGGAAGGTGCCCCCTCCCTCTGGGCCTCTATGTCTCCATCTTTAAAGTGAGGGGTTAACATGGCAATCTCGGTGATCTCTTAGGGCTCTTGAGCTCTGATGTTCTAGGACAGTGTTCCCCAAATGATAAGGCAAGAGATCTTTGCAGATGATTGTAGGTGATGTGAGAAGTGAATTTAGTTTGGCAGGGTTGAATAACGCTGAACTCCACAGAGTGAATGAGAAAGGCACTCCTTTCCAATTTCATCAGCGTTTCTGATTACGTCAAAGAGGAAGTCTTGGTTTGGTGCCGCCGTCTCTGCAACACTTGCTGATTTTCCTTTTTCACAAAGAGAAAGCTGAGAGAGCTCGCTTTAAGTTTCAGAGCTTCTGGCAAGTAGAGGCATCATGTTAAATTTCATGGTATATCACCTCTTTTGTTTTTATTATGTTGATTTTTGTGGTAAATTGTCAGTTTATGATACATGGTATCAACTTCCTAATTCATGGTAGTTATATAAAATTAATTTCATCCATTCCTTTTTTTTTTTTTTTTTTTGAGACAGGGTCTCACTCTGTTATCCAGGCTGGAGTACAGTGGCATGATCATGGCTCACTGCCACCTCCCCAGGCTCAGGTGATCCTTCCACTTAGCTTCCCAAGTAGCTGGGACCTCAGGTGGACACCACCACACCTGGCTAATTTGTGTAGAGACAGGGTTTCACCATGTTGCCTGGGCTCATCTTGAACCAATGGGCTCAAGCGATCCTCCTGCCTTGGCCTCCCAAAGTGCTGAGATTACAGGCATGAGCCATTGTGCCAAGCCTCATTAATCCACTTAACAATTATTTTTTGAGTGTGCCTATTATGTCAGACACTGTTGTAGGCACCTGGGATATGTAACAGGATAAAACGGATACAATTCCTTGCCTTTTGGGAGTAATTTTAAATGCACTTCAAAAATTGATGCATTTAAGTAGACAGAAAAGAAGTTGAATTACATAAAACCATTAAGAGATGGCATAGTGTGTGTGCTAATTTGGAATAGTGAAAGTCCTTTAGGAGTGACTGAAATTTGGGAAACTCTGTTCTGGTATTTCAGAACTTTTCTGCTGCCTTTTCAGGGGGAATGACTCTTTAAGAGGCAGAGGGGGCCTCGGGGGCAGGGTAGGATTCAGAAGAATTGGGGATGCCCCGGTGGAATAAGCAGCCAAGGGGCACTAGAACCGAGGCAGATCCCGTGGCAGGCGGGAGCCTAGCCAATTTCTCTTGATCAGGACTTGCCCTGCTCCCAGCCCTGAGTCCCTCTCTCCCTCTCTCTATATCTTTCTGTCTCTTTCTCTCTCTCTCTCTCTCTCTCTCTCAGCTCTCGTGCAGGGTCTGTCTGCTGTGGCTTCACCTCTGCCTCTTTCCCCACCCACGCCGCTTGGTTTGGGCTCATGGGGTGAGCTTCCCACCCTCGCATGCTGTCTTTCAGCCTGGTCCCCAGGGGGGCCTTCAGACACCTGCTGAGTCTCTTTCTGCTTCTCACAGCTGAAGGGAACTGTGCGCCCAGCCAATGACTTCAACCCTGACGCAGATGCCAAAGCGCTGCGGAAAGCCATGAAGGGACTCGGTATGGGGGATGGGAAGGGAGCAGGGTTGGTCTCCAGGGCAGCAGGTGTGGTGGGTTTGGCCGTGGGCTGGCAGGGGATGGAGTGAGGTTTCAAATTAGAGTCTGCAGGATGAGGAAGGCTTGATCTCAAGTTTCCACCCTCCTAGCTCCCAGAGTATAGAGAGGAGGGGCAGGAGAGGGTTCATAAGGAACTTGGCAGAAGCCCTTTCCAGGGACCAAGGTGTCCCCCAGCCTCCTGGAAGCAGTATCCTGGCACTGAAGAAAGTACCAGGTCACAAAATTGGCATGGTGCCCTGGCTCTGCTGCTGACTCACCGTGTGACTCTGGGTGAGCCTCTCCGCCACTCTGGGTCTGAATTTCCCTATGTGTAAAATCAGGGCTGTGGACCCTGGAACCCAAGAGCCCTCCCTCATTCTGTGGTGGGAGTGTGCCCTGCTGGGCAGGTCTTTCAGACCTATATTTGGCACCAGTGGGAAGAGTACTGCACCCACAGGTTCAGATCAGCTGGGCCTGTGCTCAGAAAGTCCAGCCTGGGACAGGCCATCTAGGGTTTGGCTTTCTTTGCCTTTCTGCCCCATCTGTCTGACAGCAACTCCCAGGAGGCTTTAGGTTAAGTCCATCACCCTCCTGAGCCTCCTTTCCATGTGTCTCATGGGAATGATGATACCTGCCAAGCTCGCCTGGGACTGTAGGATGCTAGAGGTAAAAATGCCATGAAAGACCCCTGTGCTGGGTCTGTGGTTGATGGCATTAATCTGAGAAGCAGGAAGTGATATTCTAATGCCTTCCAGAGTCAACCTGCTGTGGTTAGAGGGACTCAGGGTCCAGCTTCCAGAGAGCTGAAGAGAAAGGACATAGAGTTGCTAACAGGACTTGGACTGTCAGGGTTGGAAGGATCCCTTGGTGACTACTCCAGCCTCTTCATGTTACAGATGTGGAAACCAAGTCCCATCAAGGGAAGGGGACTTGCCCAGGGTGGGCAGCCATTGCCAGAGCCAGAACTAGAACTCAGAGGCACTGACTCCCAACCCAGTGCTCTCTACCTCCCAGCTGTCCTTTTTCCTCAGCGTGTCAAAAGGAAAGGGAGGGAGGAGTCCAGCAGAAATCAGTGGCCTGAGCCATAGGCAAGCGGACTGCAGGGACTCAGGAGCACATGGCCGCTTAGCCAGGCTTCTACCCTGACAAAGATCGATGAGGGGCCATCAGTGGGCGGTGCATGGGGAAAGCCGAGAGCCACAGGCCTTCTTCTGAGGCATGTGGCTTTGGTGACTCAGGGACTGACGAAGACACAATCATCGATATCATCACGCACCGCAGCAATGTCCAGCGGCAGCAGATCCGGCAGACCTTCAAGTCTCACTTTGGCCGGGTAAGGACCTCCTCCTGGGCTCTCTGTGCAACATGCATGCACCTTGCCTGATTGAGCTCAGCCTGTCCCCATCGGTTCTGCACAGTTGGGCACCAGGGTCTTCATGGCAGAGGGACCCTGTGTGGTCATATGATCTCAGAGTGTCTCCAGCACTGGGTTTGGGCAGACATATCTTTCCATGCCCCCAGTTCCTTGTGATGGGCAACACTTGTGTGAGTTGCTCAGTGGACTCAGAGGCACAGCATGGGGCCAAGATCAGGGCTATGAGTTGTTTTCAGTGTGCTTTGGGCATCTTGCAATTCCTCTGCACAGACAGAGCTGGCTTCAAGGCCCCAACTGAGTGTCAGGGATTATTGCACATTGGTGGCATCTGGCTTAGGTTGATGCATTTCCCCCTGAGTGGAAACAGTGTCCTTCAGCTCTGCTGCCTTCCCGTTCCTGTCTCCTGTGTCAAGGAGAGTGGGTCTTCCTCCTGGTTGTTTTTTCCCTACCCTCTTTGGCTTCATCTAAATAATAAGTACAACATCAGCAAAGACAGACACAAGCTTCCATGATCCCTCATGTGGAACCCCTGTTTTCTCTTTCCATCTCTCCCATCCTGAGTCATGTGTGGGCAAGTGCTGATGTTGGCATGACTGTGGCTCTGCCCTTTGCAGGACTTAATGACTGACCTGAAGTCTGAGATCTCTGGAGACCTGGCAAGGCTGATTCTGGGGCTCATGATGCCACCGGCCCATTACGATGCCAAGCAGTTGAAGAAGGCCATGGAGGTACAGTGTGGCACCAGGGGGTCTAGTGTCTGCGGGTGCCAATAGGGATACAGGTGATCCTCATAAGCCCAGGTGGATTAGCTGTAACTTCTTGGTAGAACTCCTCCCATACTCAGTTCAAACTGGCATAAACACAAAAGGAGATGTTGGCTCCTATAACTGAAAACTACAGGACTAGCTCTGAGTCCAGAGACTCAAATGATGTTCTGTGGACCCTTGGCTCACCCCTGTCTTGGCTCTGCTGTCCTCCCTTCTGGCTTCACTCTCAGGCAGCCTTTCTCCTCATGGTGGCATATGTCCATCCCGCCAGCTAGCGGCTCCAGCAGAAAGAGTTCCTTCTTCCTAGGAGCTCCAACAACAGGCTTGGCATTTACTCCAAGTTGATTCAGCTTAAGTCACATGCCCACTGGTGTCAGAAGGGTCTCATGGAGCCGCTGGAGGAAGTGGGGTGGGTCTCGAACGAAAGCACCAGCAGTTGGAGTCTGTACTCCAGCCTAGACCTGCCACTCACTCACAGTGTGACTGGGCCATTCCTTACACTTCCCAATCCTCTGTGCCTTCATCTGGGAAATGGAAATGGTCACCTCTGCCCTTCAAACTAGGACAGGTCAATCAAGGTCACAGGTATGAAGGGCATTGTTAACTCCGAAGACCTGACCCTACATTAAACAAGAAAGCATTATGTCCTGGCCCAGAAGTTGCTAGAACTGCTTTGCTTCCCAAGGTACCAATTGTACTAATGGCTACTGTTTATAAAGAGCATATGGTAACTCTCCCAGGTTAGGTACATTAGTTCAATTAGTTGCCTCCTCAAGCCACAAGGCAGGGCTCTTATTTTGTCCCCATTTTACAGATGAGGAAACTGAGACTTGGAGGTTAAGTTGCTTGGTCATGGTCATAGAGCTATGAAGTAGCAAAGCTGAGGTTCAGACCAGTCTTTCTGACTCTAGAGCCTGTCTTGACAACCGCATAAAACCAGTAGTGCTTTTGGCCCCTTGCGCATTAAGAGGAGGGCAGCAATGGGGAGCTAGAGGACTTTATAAAAACATTGCCTAGGCTAAGCAGATTGAGATGATTGTTTCTTAAAATACCTAAGCCAAAAAGCAAACGATCTAAAGACACAGGGTTCAGAAATAGAAGAGATCGATGAGGTAACCCAACTGAATCCTTTCCATTTTCAAAGTTTCCAAGTGGGAAACAGAGAGGCTCAGAGAGTCAGTGAGTTAGGGGGAGACGAGGGCTAGACCCAGTCTCAGGACTTTCTTGATTGCCTCACCACACACCTGCTTCTAACAAAGAAATGATTGAAGATCTCAATCAGGATGAATCTCCTAGGATCTGAGAAGGCAGGACCATTAGAGCACTAGGCAGTAACCTCTTTGAGGACAGAGAACATGTCTTGCCTCTTGCCTTTCTCTTTTTTTTTTTGAGACGGAGTCTCGCTCTTTCGCCCAGGCTGGAGTGCAGTGGTGTGATCTCGGTTCACTGCAACCTCCACCTCCCAGGTTCAAGCGATTCTCCTGCCTCAGCCTCCTGAGTAGCTGGGATTACAGGCGCACGCCACCACGACCAGCTAATTTTTTTGTCTTTCTAGTAGAGAAGGGGTTTCACCATGTTTGCCAGCGTGGTCTTGAACTCCTGACCTCAAGTGATCTGCCCTCTTCAGCTTCCTAAAGTGCTGGGATTACAGGTGTGAGCCACCACGCCCGGACTTTTTTTTTTTTTTTTTTGTAGTTGTAGCCCCAGCACCTTGCACAGTGGCTAGCACATAATAGGTGTCTTAACAAGTACCTGAATGAGTGAATTAGTCATTGACTCATTCAGTCAATCAATCAGTCAATCTTGCCTGCCTCCTCTCCTCCCTGATAGTTTCCCTGCTTCCCTGTGTGCAGATCTTTGCATGACAGGTCCCCAGCCTGCCTTAGTCCAGGGCATGTAACGCCTCAGTTCATAAATCACTCCTCAAATCCAAGAGTAAACAAATGTAAGCCAGCCATGATGGCTCACGTCTGTATTCCTAAAACTTTGGGCTTGAGTCCAGGAGTTCCAGACCAGCCTGGACAATATGGTGAAGCCCTGTCTCTACAAAAAATACAAAAATTAGCCAAGCATGGTGGCATGCTTCTGTGGCCCCAGCTACTTGGGAGGCTGAAGTAGGAGAATCACCTGAGTCTGGGAGGCGGAGGTTGCAGTGAGCCGTAATCATGCCACTGCACTCCAGCCTGGGCGACAGAGCAAGACTCTGTCTCAAAAGAAAAAAAATTTAGCATTTTATCTTAAGCACAAAACTTTTTTTCTTCTAACAAAATAATACATGTTCACTGTGGAGACTTGAAGAAATAGAGTAAAAAAGAAGAAAATAGCAATCATCTGTGATCCTTCACTCACACAGAGACCAAACTGCTAGTTAACACTGTGAGGCATGTGCGTGTCCTTCTGTTCTCTTCCAATACTTACAAGTAGAAATTTCTATTCAGATGTTCATGTGTATATGTGGTGTTATACACACACGCCTATATACCTTTTCTGTTTGGGGGGCTGGAAGGCAAAGCAGTTCACATGGGAGGTTCTGGGGATCTTGAGAGGCTGGCATAGTCAGCCTTGGTTGTGCCAAGGTCTTGGGCCTGAGGGCCATGTCTGGAGGTGAGGAGAAAATCCAGGAATGCTTGGCCTGAGCTTTAGCCGTCCGGGCCCCATGGACCTCTGCACAGGAGGTCAGAACTATGGCTGAGATCATCTTTGCCTTGACATTCCAGGGAGCCGGCACAGATGAAAAGGCTCTTATTGAAATCCTGGCCACTCGGACCAATGCTGAAATCCGGGCCATCAATGAGGCCTATAAGGAGGGTGAGTTTGGGAGGCCTGGGCCCAGATGCTGGGAGAACAGCCAGGCCCCCCAACTTCCAACCCCAGCCCACAGCTCTGCCCAGGACTCTGGCCTGTCTCCTTTCCCTCAGTCCTTGAGGATTTGATAAGCCTCTTGGGTGTGCCCATCCCTGTGTCTGGGGAAAAGACAGGTGTCCTGGTAGGACAAAGGCCTGGAGGTAGAAAAGGGCTTGGCTGGAAGTGGGAACAGAGAACATTCTGGCCTGCTGGAGAGAGGGAGGGCGACTCTAGGGGTGTGTAGTCCATGCAGTTCTACAGGGCCCCACAGCCAGAAGGGCCCCACACTTGGTTGCAAGCTATGCTGTCACTGTCCAGAAATTCTTCATTTTTAAGCGAGTGGCCCCATATTTTCATTCTGAAGAATCTTGAGTACCAGTCAAAAATGTTTAAATCGGCTAGGTGCAGTGGCTCACACCTGTAATCCCAGCACTTTGGGAGTCTCAGGCAGGCGGATTGCTTGAGCCCAGGACTTCGAGACCAGCCTGGGCGACATGGCAAAACCCCGTCTCTACAAAAAATATAAAAATTGGCTGGGTGCGGTGGTTCACCCCTGTAATCCCAGCACTTTGGGAGGCCGAGATGGTGGATCCCTTGAGGTCAGAAGTTCAAGACCAACTTGGCTAACATGGTGAGACCCCGTCTCTACTAAAAATGCAAAAATTAGCCAGGCGTGGTGGCATGCGCCTGTAGCCCCAGCTACTTAGGAGGCTGAGGCAGGAGGATCACTTGAACCTGGGAAGCAGAGGTTGCAGTGAGCCGATATCACGCCACTGCACTCCAACCTGGGAGACAGAATGAGACTCCATCTCAAAAAAAACAAAAAACAAAAAAATTAGCTAAGTGTGGTGGCATGTGCCTATAGTCCCAGCTACTCAGGAGACTGAGGTGGGAGGATCACCTGAGCCCAGGGAGGTCGAGGCTGTAGTGAGCCTTGATCATGCCAACTGCACTCCAGCCTGGGTGACAGAGTGAGACCCTGTCTTGAAAAAAAAAAAAAAAGTTTACATTTTTTATCTTATAAGCAGCTTTAAAATGGCAGAATTTTTGAGTACAGGAGTGACATAGTCAGAGCTCTGCTTTTGGGTTTAGCAACTGCCATGCAGGAGGGAAGGTAGAAGAGAGAATGACAACAGGGAGGTGACTTAAGAGGCTGTTAAATATTAAAGGCGAGATGCAATGGGACCTCAACTGGGACAGAGCTGAGGGGATGGAGGGGAGATGATGGGTTGATGGGAATGCCCATTGTCTTACAAAATCAGCAGGAGGATGGCTGGATGCCCCCATGAGCCAGTTACAAACCCTTTCATCCCCACCTCCCCCTGCCAATACTGCCCTGGCTCAAGCCTGAGTTTCCTGGACCTCCCTCCCCGCAACCAAATCCTTCTTGGCCAGCAGCTACCCACACCCCCTTTCTCTGCCTCAGACTATCACAAGTCCCTGGAGGATGCTCTGAGCTCAGACACATCTGGCCACTTCAGGAGGATCCTCATTTCTCTGGCCACGGTGAGTGAATTCATGGGCCCCAGGTCGGCTTGCCCATCGGGAGGCCTGGGAGGAAGGGAAGGTTTACTGAGTGGAGGGCACAGGGGAGTTAGAAGTGCACTCCTGATGGAGAGGGGGTGTCTCCCCACTTGCCTCCTTAGAGTTCCACCGCCTACCCCTGTTGTTCCCTTGTCAAAGTTGGCGTGGTACCACCTTCTCCAGACAGTCCTCCCTGGTGGCCCTTGTCCTGGCTTGTTGGGCCCCCAGCTCACAGGACAAAGCCATATGGGTGACCCTCTCCTGTGTTGTTACCTGGGAGCTTCTGTCACCATCTCTTGAATTCCCATAACCAAAATGGCAGACCCTCATTGACAGTTACCGAGAGCTTGCTGTGTGTCAGGCATTGGTGCTAAGTGTCTTGCACACATTCTCAGTTAATGACCACAACAGCCTACCTTATAGAGGCAGGATTTTCGTCCCTGTGTAGCTGATGAGGAAGAGCATTCAGAGAGGTGAAAATGAGCAGGGTGTGTGGTGGTACAGAGATGGAGATGGGTCGATGTTTGGGGACTGAACTTTCTTGCTGCTCCTGCTGCAGGGGCATCGTGAGGAGGGAGGAGAAAACCTGGACCAGGCACGGGAAGATGCCCAGGTAAGACCCCCAGCCCACCCCAGTCACCTCTGCCGGGTGTCCCTGAGATGTAGGTCCAGCTTATGCGTGTCTACGCCGGGCCCTGTCTGTGAGTGAAGGCTCCTGGCAGGGGCGTGGTTGGTTTGATTGGTTGATACTTAGACTGTAGAAATGAGGTTTAGAAGTGTGGTGCTGGTATTACTGGCATTTCCTAGGTGAATAGCAGGACCCTCAGAGCTGGCAGGGACCTGCAGATCACCCAGGTCAAAGCCCTCATGTTACAGTGGGAAAATGGAGGTCCAGAAAGGGCAAATGACTTCTGAAAGTCACACAGCAAATCAGTGGCCCCAGTAGAATTGACCCCTAGAGAGCTGGTCTGGGAACTTGCTGAGAAGAGGGCCTGAGTGCTAAAGGCCTCGGTTTATTATCTGTAAAATGGGACCGAGATTGGAGGGAGTGTCCTGGGACGAGCCTAGAAAGTAAGTTCCTCAAGGGCTGGAATCTTCATTTTGTTCACTGATATATCCAAAGTAACACATGATCAGTGCTCAATAAATATTTGTTGAATGAATAGCAGGGAAAAGGGTTCTCTAGGAGTCTCTTGGCTGCTCTGCCTCAGCCCTGCTCCTTAGCCTAGTGAGCTTGAGGTCTGGAAATGGCTTCTTCTGGAGGTTGGACAACCCCAAATTCATTTTCCCTGAGGGTTCTATGGCTGGGCAGTCCCTACTGAGGCCAGTGCATTGTCCCCCACTGACCTGCACCTTGATCCCAGCACCCAGTAGCCTGACCCAGGTCCATGTCTCCATCTCTTCTGACTGCCTCATTTTCCCGCCCCCAAAAGCTGTGTCCAGGGATGTGGGGCACAGACACCACAGACTTTTATAGACATCCAGCCCCCTTCTTTTATAGTTGGTGAGTTGAAAAGAGCACTGATGGATTGAGAGTCAGGGAACCAACTTTTCTGTTCCCAGGTCCCATAACAGAAGTGTGGTTTGCTACAACAGCATCTGAGCTAGAAAAATCTTTAGCTGGAACCTGACAGTTACAGAATTGTAATTATAATTTTTAGAATGCATACTATATATTGAGAACGATGCCAAGATTATTCTATACGTTTTTATGTTCTCCCTTTTTACTAGAAGAAAATGAAGCTCCTTAACCTCTTCAATGAAAGAATTTCTAAGTGGTGGTGGTTTTATTTGAACTCAGGCTTGCCTGATGCCAGAGTCTATGCTTAATTCCATTTACAGTAATATCTTCCAAGACCCAGTAGAGTTAAGGTCCCCTGCAGCTTCCACATCAAATAGCTGTTGTTGTCCAGTTGTCCAACCCTTGCTTTGGAATATGGTTGTCAAAAGCTGCAGGGTTACATTTAAATGTATGGCATTTCAGCTACATTGTGGGCACATGGATGGGGGTTAGGCTGAGAACCCAGCCAGACACTAGGGTGGCTTGCTGAGGCCACATTTCATTCACTCATTCAACAGACGTTTATTAAGTATTACTGTGAACAGCCTCGTGTGCTGCTGAGAGTTTTTTAAAAATCTCAGCTCTCACCCCAAATCCATCCTCCAACCCTGAATTGATCTTCCAGGGAATGCTTCTGCCTGGTGCCTGGTTTGCCAATGAGGCTGTGCTTCCAATTGCCGCTAGCAGGGGGCAGTGGTGGGCCTTGCTGACAGCTGCTTCGCAAAAGGAGAGAAGTGGAGAGAGAGAACCCGGGTGGAAATAGCTAAGGGACCCTTGAGCGAGATCCCTGCCCAACTCGGCTGCTTCTCCAGATTTAGGATGCTAGACCCAAGCTCATTTTCTTATAACTAGCAGTACATTCTTTTATAGAAACTAGAAAATAAGGAGAAGCCAAAAAAGACTCCATAACCTAATAGTAATAAGCATTGTCAGTATTGTGGCATACATTATTCTAGTTGCTTCTCTATGTATATATAAAAGTGGATTCTTTATTTCTGACAGTTAAAAATTAATACTATGTGAATATTGTTGCATTTTTAAATCAACGATATCATTTAATGGCTATATACTGTTCCATATCTGAATCTACCATGTTATTTAACCAGCCTTCTTCCTAGTAGCAAACTCTTTTATCACATTCATGAATTATTCATTAGAATGAATTTCCAGAGATGAAATGGAAATGTGGGAGCAAAATGTATATAAAAATTAAGGGCATTTGATAGGGCCGAGTCAAGCTCCCCCTTAGATAACGCACATGAGTACTTGGCAGTTTGTATTTGCCTGTTTTACACTGCCTCCCTGGCGGTCTCTCACTCTGGATGTCTAGAACACCCTCAAGCTCTTAGAAGTCTGGGACTGTTATTAACCAGTTGAACATATGTCCAATTTCCAACTGTGGCCCCACAGTGATTGTTAATTGCTTCCCCTTTCACTCTGTTGTCCAATTAGAGCAATAAATTATAAATAATTATTATAGACCTACCATGAAATGAAGGATTGTGGTCATTTTTAGATAATCAATACTCAGACTTTTTTTTTTTTTTTTTTTTTTTTTTTTTTTTAAGACGGAGTCTCGCTCTGTTGCCCAGGCTGGAGTGCGGTGGCGCAATCTTGGCTCACTGCAACGTCTGCCTCCTGGGTTCAAGCAATTCTCCTGCCTCAGACTCCCAAGTAGCTGGGATTACAAGCTCCCAACACCATGCCCAGCTAATTTTTTTGTATTTTTAGTAGAGACAGGATTTCATCATGTTGGCCAGGCTGGTTATGAACTCCTGACCTCAAGTGATCCGCCCGCCTCAGCCTCCCAAAGTGCTAGGATTACAGGCGTGAGCCACCATGCCTGGCCCAGGCTTTTAAAAATATAACAGCTTTCTTGAAATAGAATTCATTTACCCCACTATTGACCCATTTAAAGTGTACAATTTGGTGGTTTTTAGTATCTTCACAGACTTAATGCAACCATCACCACAATCAATTTTAGAACATTTTTTCACCCCCAAAAGAAACTCCATACACATTAGCTGTGACTCCTCATATCCTACTAACCCCCCAGCCCTAAGCAACCACTAATCTACTTTCTGTCTCTCCAGATGTGCCTCTTCCAAACACCTCATGTCAATACAGTGATATTAATACGTGGCCTTTTGGACTGGCTTCTTCACTTAAGAAAACACTAACCTAAACACTATGTTAAACACTTAACAGTGTTTTCACGGGTCATCCGTGTTGTAGCATGTTGGTACTCCCTTTTCATTGCCAAATAATAGTCTATTATCCATTCATCAGCTGATGGACATTTGGGTTATTTCCACCTTTTGGCTATTATGACTAATGCTGCTCTAAACATTTGTGTACAAGTTTTTGTGTGCACATATGTTTTCATTTCTCTTAGATAGAATTGCTGGGTCATATGAGAACTCTAAGTTTAACCATTTGAGGAACTGTCCAGATTAATTTTTGCATGAAGTAGCTAGGCTAATAAGAACAAGCTTTTGTGGTGAATATTAATTTAGTGTCCCACCACTTTTTTTTTACATTACAGATATTATTATCTTAAAGATGCTTTGAAAAACCGAGTATGTCTAGGGTACTCTGACCCGCGTAAGTGAGAACAATTGGGACTTTGGATTCTTTTCTGTTAAATTTTTTAAACATGTCCCTCTCTCTCTCTTTTTAAAAATGATACCGTTTTATTTAGCATAAGTTTTTACAAATTTTTGATAAAATACATATCAACTTTACCATATTAATCATTTTATATATTTATTTATTTTGAGATGGAGTTTTCCTCTTGTTGCCCAGGCTGGAGTGCAGTGTTGCAATTTGGCTCACTACAACCTCCACCTCCCGGATTCAAGTGATTCTCCTGCCTCACCCTCCTGAGTAGCTGGGATTACAGGCACCTGCCACCACACCCGGCTAATTTTTTGTATTTTTAGTAGAGACAGGGTTTCACCATGTTGGCCAGACTGGTCTCAAACTCCTGACCTCAGGTGATCAACCTGCCTCAGCCTCCCAAAGTGCTGAGATTACAGGCGTGAGCCATCATGCCTGGCCAATCATTTTAAAGTATACAGTTCAGTGGCATTAAGTACATTCACATTGTTGGGCAGCTGTCACCACCAGCCACCTCCAAAACTGTTTTCGTCATGCAAAACCAAAACTCTGGACCCACTCAACAGTCACTCCCCATTCTCCCTTCCCCCAGCCCCTGGCAACCACCATTCTTTCTATGTCTGTGAATTTGACTGGGGACTTCATGTAAGTGAAATTATACAGTATTTATGCTTTTATGACTGGCTTTCTTTACCTAGTATGATGTCCTCAGGGTTCAACTAGGTTTTTGTTTTGTGATGTTTGAGATAGGGTTGAGACCCAGGTTGGAGTGCAGTGGCACAATCTTGGCTCACTGCAACCTCCACCTTCTAGGCCCAAGCAATCCTCCCACCTCAGCCCCCCAAGTAGCTGGGAATAACGGCGTGCGCCACCATGCTCAGCTAATTTTTTGGTAGAGTAGGGTTTCTCCACGTTATCCCGGCTGGTCTCAAACTCATAGGCTCAAGTGATCCTCCCACCTTGGCTTCCCAATGTCCTGGGATTACAGGTGTGAGCTACTGTGCCTGGCATAGGTTGTTTTTAATACAGAAAAATATTTTAAAAACCAGAAGCAGCCCATAATCCTAGTAGCCTTGATAACTCTTATTTAACATTTAAATTTAAAATGAAATAATATCTTTGCATCTTTAAGAAATTTTCAGGAAGAATAAAAAAAATGCGAAAGCTTTCCCTCATAGTCCCTCTCCTCAAAGGTGTCTCGACAGTTTCTTAAGTACTTCCCAGGAAGTATGAGAAAGTGAGTGTCTATTTTTTTTTGAATCTAGATAAAAGAAACACTATATTACACAAAAATATGCTATACTTTACTTCTTTACTTAATTTAAATGGAAACTCTCCTTATCAGCATTGTAGATAATCTTATCCTTTGTAAAAACTGCATGGATTGTTTCCATTGATTGGATAAGTCATAGCCTGTTTAACAAGTCAATCTCAGGATGGTTTACAGTTTTTCTCTAGTATGAAAAATGCTGACCAGGTGCAGTGCCTATAATCCCAGCACTTTGGGAGGCTGAGGCGGGTGGATTACCTAAGGTCAGGAGTTCGAGACCAGCCTGGCCACCATGGCAATACCCCATCTCTACTAAAAATACAAAAAAAAAAAAATTAACTGGGCTGGTGGCATGCACATGTAATCCCAGCTACTCAGGAGGCTGAGGCAGGAGAATCGCTTGAACCTGGGAGGTGGAGGTTGCAGTGAGCTGAGATCGCACCACTGCACTCTTTGGGAGGCCAAGGCAGGAGGATTGCTTGAGGCTAGACTGGACAACAAAGTGAGACCCCTTCTCTACAAAAAATAAAAAAATTAGCTGGATGTGGTGGCACACACCTGTAGTCCCAGCTACTCAGGAGGCTGAGGCAGGAGAATCGCTTGAGCCCAGGAGGTCAAGGTTGCAGTGAGCCGAGATTGTGCCAATGTACTCCAGCCTGGGCAACAGAGCAAGACCCTGTCTCCAAAAATTAAAAAGAATGCTGCAGTGAACAGTCTTGTATTCTATCGTGGAAGGCTTTTGCCAGTATACCTGTAGGGCAAATTCCTAGCAATATAATTGCTTGATCAAATGGCATATGCCTTTTAACTTTTAACGGACATTGCCAATTATGCAATGAAAAGAAGAGGAAGGTTTCCAGAGTATAGGCTATTGTGAAGTTTATAAAGAGTTCAGTCTATCCAATAGAATAAAGTCAGCAGAGTTTCTGGGGGAACGGCGAAAGCAATACGCAGCCTAGGTACATGAGCCTGGGTATTTTGTTCCCAGGCTCTCCAAGTCACAGCTATTTGCCTAACAAAATAGTGTCCTAACCACAGAATTTTGTGCTCTGCATAGTGCAGTGATTAAAAGTAACCCTTGTAAAATGACTTTCCCATCACTGTTTGCTGTGTGCCTCCAGGCAGGTCAGCTCCCCTTAAGGCCTCAGCTGGCCAGTCTTTCCTGTCTGTAACATGAAGGCTAAAATTACATGTCTCTTGCCTTGGAACTCTGAATATGCTAAAGGGTGCAGAGAACTTTGCACTGCTCACATTTACATCTCAGTGGTTCTGTAAGGAAGTGGCAGGGATTATTTCCACTTTCAGACAAAGAAACAGGCCTGGAATCTCCTCTGGGTTTTGGGGTGCGAAGGGCAGAGTTCCCCATTTCTGTGTCTTTCTCTTACCCTTCAAGTGAACACGTTTTTAGTTATTGCCAGGCCTATCCGCATTCTGAGCTCCAGCCCAAAAGGTCATAGGAAGGTATTTTTATCTTGTCCCTACCCCCCTTCCTTTCGCATCCCGGGTTCTCTCAGGTCTCTTGGGACCTCTCCCACTCCCAGCCAGGCCCCTCACCCTGCACCCCAGGGCCCCAGCACCAGCCTCCCCAACCTCCTCTGACTCTTGCCTCCCTTCTCTCCCTCCTCTCTCCCCTCCCTGCTCTCAGGTGGCTGCTGAGATCTTGGTGAGTGTCCTGTTCTTCATTTGGGTTTTAACGGCCTCTGAGTAAAGTCCGCCTTTACTGGGCCGAGCGGGGCAGTATCGAGCAGTGATTTGGGAGCTTGCTGTGCGGCTTCTCTCTCTCCCCTTCCGGGCCCTGCTTGGTAAAAGATAGGCCAGGCAAGTGTTTCCCAAACTTCAGCTAATCATCTCTGGCACGATTTGTGCTGTGTAACCACCAGCTATTAATACTGATCTTTAAATCGACTCACTCTTAAACCCAAAATGAGTTAAGGGGAATTTACTATCAGTATAAATAGAACTAGTAGCTAGCTAGAAGACAATCATGGAAACACTAATGTGCAGTGTGATCGGGTGTGTTTGCCCTTGACCCCGCTTGGGGAAACACTGGCCAGGCCATCTTCTCTGCATATGACCCCATACACCCTTCCCAGAGGGGCTTGCAGAAAGGTTGAGGGATGGAAGGGGAACTCCCAGTTGCTATGCTCAGAGTCTATGTGGGTCCTCCTAGGAGCCCCAGCCCCACGGTCCTGAGGCTAGGATGGAAGTACCCAGTGCTAAGGCCATCTTTGTCAGTTCACAGGGTCCTTGTGAACTGGAGAGGGGAGTATAGAAGCCATTGTGCTTGAGGAAGGAAGAGGGGACCAGTCTCGGCCCCCTTGGATGGCTGGGTGAGCCCAGCTTCTGACTGCCCTCAGCCCAGGCAAAGACATGAAAGTGAATAATAACCAAGGCTTTCTCATGTCTCCCCTCCCAAATCCTTGCTCCAACTGGGGCTCTGCAGGAAATAGCAGACACACCTAGTGGAGACAAAACTTCCTTGGAGACACGTTTCATGACGATCCTGTGTACCCGGAGCTATCCGCACCTCCGGAGAGGTGAGGCCTGACCTCCTCCCTTCCCAGCTCAGCAGGAAGATCCCAGAATCTGATGAGAGCCTCTCAGCTCTCTGTGGCAAGAGGAGCCCGTTGCCCACCCACCTCCTCCTTAACCCAGCAGTAGCGTGTCATGGGTGACGGCGACTCTGGAGCCCTGGGTTCTAGTCCTGGCTCTACCACTTATACCTCACCTTCTTTCTCCTCCTTAGGGAAGCAGGTGGGATGCCCGGGATTAGGTATAGCAACTGGATTTCACCTCAAAGGCCAACTCTGATTGGTAGTAGCTGCCTAGAGTGCTGTGTTAAGGATTCTGGGGTCCCGCGTCATGATTCACTGGCGATGCCTGCCAGGAGCAAGGCAGCGAGAGGTGGTGGTGGCACAAGACCCACATAGACATCTTTGAACCACAGGCTGCCGCATGCTCAGGGCACACCTGTATGCAGTGGCCCTGGCACTCGGTAATCATGAAGTGTCCTGCACTGAGACATTTACATTTTAATGTCTGGCACTACATTAAATGTCTACATTTAATGTCTGGCACTTCTCAGTATTTAAGGTGCTTTAACATAGTGGCTAAAAGAATGGACTTGGGCACTGGACGGCCTTGATTTGAATCCCCCACTTAACAGCCATGTGACCTCAGGCAAGTCACCGAATCTCTGCGCCTGAGCTCCCTTACGTAGGAATCAGGGTTTTAGCTCTACCCGAGATGATTGTTGTGAAGATACAAAAAACATAACACACATAAAGCACTGGCGCAATGCCTGACTCAGTGAGTGTTTCCTGAGTGTTATCATTGTGTCTTCATCCCAAGCGGACACAGGAGGAAGAGGAGGCCCAGGAAGGAGAGGGATCACCCAAGGTCCCTCAGTGAGCTGGGGCAGAACCATGACTAGGACCCGTGCTCCTTTTACTACCCCAGCCTGGGTTCCCAGAACTTGGCCGAGGTTCTAAGACCATTGGCCAGGCACGGGGACTGGCGTGGGACAGATTTGGCTCTGAGCCCACGGCAGCCTTGATGTCAGAGCTTCTCTATCGGGATGATCTTGCCCAATGCATTTAGGCCTGGGCTGTGGCCATATTTGCTGCCCTTCCACTTTCTCAGGCACAGCCTGTGGGAGGCACTGGGTGGGGCTGAGGAGGGGTCCTCCGCCTCCTGCACTGAAGCTCACCCCCACCTCTGGGGCTTCTCTTGTGGCCAGTCTTCCAGGAGTTCATCAAGATGACCAACTATGACGTGGAGCACACCATCAAGAAGGAGATGTCTGGGGATGTCAGGGATGCATTTGTGGCCATTGGTAACTGGCAGGGACTAAGGGAAGGGCTGGGGGCACTGGGAACTTGAACAGATTCTCTGGAAGAATAGAACCTTGGCAGCCTCCGAAGCTACTACTGGAAAGTAAACACTGTCACAGTTCGCCTCCAGGGGTGCTGCCAAATGTGTGATTGTGCAGGAATGTCATGAGGTCTGTGCGAGGCTGCAGGAGAGGGTGAGAAAATAACTGTTGCTAGGGAAGAACCAGGAAGACTGGGGCAGGCAGGGGAGGGGGCACGCTGTCCTGCACAACTAGGGTGTATACACACACACACCACACACACACTTGACACACACACCTAACATATACAAGACACATACTATACACACACACATTCTCACATGTGACACACACTCATACATAAAACACGTTACATATGCATGTGACAGGTGCACACCACACATACACACATCACACACAGAACACATTATATATACACATACATGCTACACCCCCACAAGACACTACACCTACACACACACCACTCACACACTATGCACACATGACCCATGCACACCACATATACGCAGCACACATGCACACACATACAAGACACATACACGCTAGATGCAGATGACACACACACAGACCCTCGTCTCCTCTCAGTACCTGGCTTTTTGGTTACGCTTATATAATTTGAGCTCTTGACTTTGAAAAGGTTTTTCCCTTTTGGATCTTAATTCCACCGTGTATAAATATGGATGAGTGGATATGGGTTAGGGCTGAAGTTATTCTCATTAATATTCATCATTAGTGGTATCTTGTTTCATTTACTATAAAACACATTGCATCAATGCACTTTTAAAAAATCTTACCAAGAGGTATCCGTGGAAGATTTTCACATAATTGCCTTCAATTATAAAACACATCTTGATTTCAGAGACACTAAAATGTGGGGGAAAGGTGTGTTAGATTTGGGTGAAGTAGAGGTGGTGGTAGGGGTGTTGTTTAGCACGTGATGGGCCTTTACCACCCAGGAGCAATATCTAGGAGGCGGGATAGCCCGACGAATAAAAGCATGGAATCCAGGTTGAATCCCTGCTCTGCCACTTACTCACTATATGTCCTTGGGCAGGTCACAAAACCTCTGTGTCTCAATTTCCTCCTTTGTAAAGTGGAGATAACAACAGTGCCCAGCCCATAGGGTGGATTTTGTGAGGCTGAAATTAGTTAATTATATGTAAAGCACTTGGAACGGTGCCTCTTGGCATGTAATACTCACTGGACAAGGGTTAGTTTGTATTTGTATTGTTGTTTCCCACCAAGCCCTGCGCAAAGTTAGTTGCACGCAGGTTTAGTTACATTCTCATCAGGTGCTCTTAACCAGCTTATTTTACAAAAGAGGACACTGAGTTCAGAGAGGCTTATAGCAGTAGAACCAGGACTCAAACCACAGGCTGCCTACCTCCAAAGCTCATGTTCTTAACACCAGAATAATTAGCCTTTGGAGACACTTTCAGATTCCTACCCTCCTCGTGTATTTCCCTCTTCCCTTTCTCCTCCCACCTTGAACAGGTATACACGTGCAAACACACACCACAACACACCATTTCACACTCCTCCATCCAATGGCAGGCATCGGGGTCCCATGTGACAGATGGACAGGCTCAGTTTTTAGGAAGACTTGTGGGGTTGGTTACAGAGGAGAGAAGTTTCTGCCCAGCGTGCTTCTTAGCCAGACTGATAAAGCCCTAGGTCTGAAGTCAGGGAAGGCTTCCTGGAGGTGATGTCATGACTGGGGGCATGGACATCAAGTACAGCCTTGAAGGATGGGATTTGATTTAGAGAGATAATGTAGTGAAGGGCAGATAGGAAATGCATCTATCCAGGAAGGACAGAGAGACACAGGAATTTGCAGTTTGTTCTGGGAATGGGGGAGCAAGGGCCATGAGGTTGCAAAGGAGGCCAGGAGCTTTGACATTCAAGCCAAGGAGCTTGGGATTTGTTTGGGAGGTAGTAGGGAGATATGTAAGGAGCTGGAGATGGGAGGTGTGTGATGTGATCTTTTCCACAGGGTTCCTGAGCCTGTTGCAGAGGAGTCTTGCTTGACTCTGCCACTGGGGTACGCAACTCCAGCCTCTTGCCGTCTGTTCTCATTATATCCAGAGTCATTCCAGCTATAGTACTGGTGTCTGGTTCCTCCTTTTTAAGCTGTCTGAGACACCTGTGCGTGGGCTCTGGAGCCTTGCAGTCAAGCAGCTGTGAAGGGCTAGAGAACCCTAGGCTTTGAGAAAGGGCGGGGTTGGTGAAACCAGGCAGGCATTATCTGCAGCCAGGGTAGGGAGCAGGGGCTGCCAATCCTGCAAGATTGTTCAGGCCCTGGGGAAACACTCAGCCCCAGGGATTTGCATGGTCCCTTAAATTTTACCAACGGACAGTCATTCTTTGGAGCAATATTTCTCTAAATCAGTAACTCTCAAGCATTAGGCTGCACCAGAGTAGGGTGGCCAACCATCCTGATTTGCGCAAGGCTTTCAGTGCTGTTAGGTTGGTGCAAAAGTCATTGCAGTTTTGCCATTGAAAGTGATGGCAAAAATTGTAATTACTTTGGCACCAACCTAATAAAACCTGGAGTGTCCCAGGCAAACTAGGACAAGCTGGTCACTCACCTCTAGAGTTTCAGATTCAGCATCTCTGGAATCTGGAATCTGAGGCATGAGAATCTGCCTTTCTTCCAAGTTTTCAAGTGATGCTAATGTTGTTGGTCCGGAAACCACACTTTGAGAACCACTGCTCAAAATCTTTCCAAAATCTGAATCTTTAGGGTGGAGCCTAAACCCTGAGTTTTAAACAAGCTTTTTGGGTGATTCCAATGCATTTAAAAATTTGAGGCCCCGTGCCTTGGGTTCATGAGGAGTTAATTACCTTTGAATCCTCTCCTGACCTTGGTTAGCTGTAAGCACCTTAGAAGGAAGAGAGTTGCAACCAATTGAGAGCCAGGCCTAAGGATGGGCCAGAGGAGGAAGCATGGGGAAGGGGAGCAAAGGTGTCGTCTGAGCATGACCCTGGGGTTGACAATGATCTGCAGACCCATGCAGGGATAGACGAGGTGGGGAGATGGGGGAGGCCGGTCCAGAGTCTGGGTTCACAGCCTCTGACCACGTTCCCCGCATCTCTCTGCTCTTCCTACCAGTTCAAAGTGTCAAGAACAAGCCTCTCTTCTTTGCCGACAAACTTTACAAATCCATGAAGGTAAGAAAACATGCTGGCGTTCCTTTCCCTTCAAGCACTGACTTACATACACACACAAACACACAGATGTGCACCATCCCCCAGATCAGGATTCCTGGCAGCTGTTTCTTCCCATTTGACATTTATTAGCATCTGCCCTTGTCTGGCTCTAGGATGGTATTTCCCAGTTGGGGGTGATTTCCCCCGCCTTCCCCCGCCCCGGAGGATATTTGGCAATATCCAGACACATTTTTGGTCATCACAACTTGGAGATTGTTGCTACCAGCATCTGGTGGGGACAGAACAGGGATGCTGTTAAACAACCTCAGTGCAAAGGATAAGCTTGCGCAACAAAGAATTATCCAGCCCCAAATGCCAAGGTTGAGAAATGTGCTCTGGAGGCACACAGGGCTGGGTAGGACACAGTCTCTGCCCTCTCAGAGCTCACAATCTATCCGGGGACACAGGGTCTCCTAGGACAAATAGTCATCAAAGGTCACAAGCGCTCCCCTCTGAGTCTAGTCCTGCCCTTCTGGGAGAGCCCAAGCCACACTGGCCACCCTCTCAGCCACTGGAGTCTCAACTGCAGATAGCCTGGGCAGGTGGGAGGGTAGGAAGGAACCTGAGACCCTCACCCTACAGTCTCCAAATGTGACAGCCATTCATTGAGCACTCACGATGTGTCAAGCCTGTGCCAAGGGCTTCATCTCTCTGACCACAGCTGACCCTCATGGCAGTCCTGTGAAATTGTGGTAGCATCCTCATTTGATAGAGGAGGAAACTCAGGCCTAGGTAGGGTAAAACGTTGCCCACATTTACATAGCTCCTAAGAGGCAGAGCTGGGACTCGAACCTAGCTCTGACTCCTAGGCTGGTGCTTGTCGCTCCCTGGGGGCAGAGGCAGCTCTGGCTGCCCACACATTCCATGCCCTGTGCCTGCTCCTTGGGCCCGGTGGTAGTTTCCTAGGGCTGGTGTAACACATTCCAGAAATTGGGTGACAAAAGAAATTTATTCTCATAGTTCTGGAGGCCAAAAGCCCAAAATCAAGGTGTCGCCTGGGTTGGGTCCTCCTGGAGGCTCTGGGGGAGAAGCACTCCCCTGCCTCTCCTAGCTTCTGGTGGTTGCCAGAAGTCCTTGGTGTTTCCTGGCTGTGAATGCATCACTCCGGTCTCTGCCTCTGTCCTCACCTAGCCACTTTTCTGTGTGTATGTCTGTGCCCTCCCTCTTCTAAAGATATTGGTTATTGGTTTAGGCTTCAATCTAATTCAGTATGCCTTCATCTTAACTAATTACATGTGCAAATACCTTATTTCCAAATTACATCATGTTCTGAGTTTCCAGGTGGACATGGGGACACTATTCAACCCACACACATCTTTTTTGCGTGTCAGTCTGGCCAGTCCTGGGCACAGAGGGATTTTGGTCAGGACTGTTTGCAGAAGACAGAGGTGGAACATCCGCCCTGTTTTTGGAAGGAACAAGGGAGAAAGGCAGATGGGATACCACTGTTTCTTGCCTGACTGGGCTCTATCTCTCCTTCCGCCTGTGTCTCCCTCCTGCCTGGCTCCACCAGGGTGCTGGCACAGATGAGAAGACTCTGACCAGGATCATGGTATCCCGCAGTGAGATTGACCTGCTCAACATCCGGAGGGAATTCATTGAGAAATATGACAAGTCTCTCCACCAAGCCATTGAGGTAAGGGGAGGGGCTAGAGGTTAGCAGGAAGCGGGTGAGTGTCAGATCCCTAATATAAGATTAGAAGTCTTTATTCCCATGGACTTTTTTCCAGTGGGTTACCGCTTAGAACAGCCAGGATATTGAAATGAAAGGGGGTCTGTATTGCATTGTTTATACCGAAATCAATTCCAAAAGAATCAAAGGTTTATAATTAAAGATTTCCAAATAAAACAAGAGCCCATTTTTTGCTTTTTTTAAAGCAATGTTATGGAAGTATAACTTACATATCATGGGCAGGCATGGTGGCTCACACCTGTAATCACAGCACGTTGGAAGGCCAAGGCAGGTGGATCACTTGAGGTCAGGAGTTCAAGACCAGCCTGGCCAACATGGTGAAACCCTGTCTCTACTAAAAATACAAAAATTAGCTGGGTGTGTTGGCTCATGCCTGTAATCCCAGCTACTCAGGAGGCTGAGGCAAGAGAATCGCTTGAACCCAGGAGGTAGAGGTTGCAGTGAGCTGAGATCACGCCACTGCACTCCAGCCTGGGCAACAGAGCAAGACTCCATCTCAAAAACAGACAAACAAACAAACGAAAAACTTACATATCATAAAATTCACCTGTTTTAAGGGTACAATTCAACAGTTTTTAGTAAATTTACTGAGTTGTACAACCATTCCCATAATGCAGCTGGTTTCCAAACACTTCTATCATCCCACTAAGCTCTCTCATACCTGTTTATCTAGTTCCATCCCCAGCCATAGGCAACCACCAAGCTACTTTGTGTCTCTGTAGATTTGCCTTTTCTGAATATTTCATATAAATGGAATCACCTAATATGTGACCCTTTGTGTCTGACTTTTTGTTTGTTTGTTTGTTTTTGAGACGGAGTCTTGCTCTGTCGCCCAGGCTGGAGTGCAGCAGTGCCATCTCATCTCACTGCAACGTCCACCTCCTGGGTTTAAGCAATTCTCCTGCCTCAGCCTCCCGAGTAGCTGGGACTGCAGGCATGCATCACTATGCCTGGCTAATTTTTGTATTTTTAGTACAGACAGGGTTTCACTGTGTTGGCCAGGCTGGTTGCTAGCTCCTGACCTCAAGTGATCCACCTGCCTTGGCCTCCCAAAGTGCTGGGATTACAGGTGTGAGCCACCACACCTGGCTGCGTCTGACTTTTTTGACATATGGAGCTTATATTTTTGCTCTTTGAGATCAGCCAAGATCTTAAAGTCTGATGCTTGGTTCTACTTGGCTAACGAGACTATGGGCATCTCAGAGGCAGTCTCTTACAGACTTAGTAGGAATGTAAGTAAATTGTTGGCACATTTTGATACTATATTATGTTTTAAAATCATACATCAAAAAATACAAGGACAAACAAAATCCCGAAAACCATGTCTCATAACAATGATAGGAGTCCCTCAGAAGGGAGATCCATACCATACCATGGGTCAGGAAGTTTGGCCTCCCCAGTCTGAACGTATACCAGACCACTGTGATGTGTGGTGAGCGTGATGGTGTTTGTACCCATTCCCAGCAATGGCTTGGCAGTTAGCACTCAATGTTGTTTGTTCAAATAAGAAATCACCTAACACGATATGCCAAGGGCCATGGGGGAGGGTATCAGCAGAGTGCCAGGGGAACCAAGGGAGGCCAGAGTTCACTGTGCCTCCTGACGCAAGAGAGTGGCCAGAGTGCTTCTCAGAGGAGAGGGCCCTGCTGGCAAATGGGATTGGGGGTGCACAGGGGCATGTTGGACAGGGGAGTGACAGGTGGAGAGAGGACTGAGATGCTCCTGGGGGAAAGGAACAGGTGAAGCTGCAGAGCTCTGCACAGGTCAGATCCCAAAGGGCCTTGAAGCCAGGCCGGGAGCTTGCATATCTTCCTGGGGATAAACAAAAGGGACGTGGTCACATTTATGTGTCTGGGAGATCCCAGTAGCCTACATGTGGCATGGGATCCTATGTTGGTCATGGAGAGAAGCCGAGGGAGATGTCCAGACAGATGGGCAGCCGGGAGGAGGGGGCATTGAGACTGGAAGGACTGTTTTCACTCACTCTGCTCTCTGCCTCTGCCAGGGTGACACCTCCGGAGACTTCCTGAAGGCCTTGCTGGCTCTCTGTGGTGGTGAGGACTAGGGCCACAGCTTTGGCGGGCACTTCTGCCAAGAAATGGTTATCAGCACCAGCCGCCATGGCCAAGCCTGATTGTTCCAGCTCCAGAGACTAAGGAAGGGGCAGGGGTGGGGGGAGGGGTTGGGTTGGGCTCTTATCTTCAGTGGAGCTTAGGAAACGCTCCCACTCCCACGGGCCATCGAGGGCCCAGCACGGCTGAGCGGCTGAAAAACCGTAGCCATAGATCCTGTCCACCTCCACTCCCCTCTGACCCTCAGGCTTTCCCAGCTTCCTCCCCTTGCTACAGCCTCTGCCCTGGTTTGGGCTATGTCAGATCCAAAAACATCCTGAACCTCTGTCTGTAAAATGAGTAGTGTCTGTACTTTGAATGAGGGGGTTGGTGGCAGGGGCCAGTTGAATGTGCTGGGCGGGGTGGTGGGAA
The DNA here is from genome assembly GCF_000001405.40 of Homo sapiens. Taxonomy (NCBI): domain Eukaryota; kingdom Metazoa; phylum Chordata; class Mammalia; order Primates; family Hominidae; genus Homo; species Homo sapiens. Next base: position 151,101,029 of record NC_000005.10, on the reverse strand, counting down.
GGATAGTAAATGTGCTGGGGCAAACTGACAAATCTTCCCATCCATTTCACCACCCATCTCCATCCAGGCCGCGCTAGAGTACTGGACCAGGAATTTGGATGCCTGGGTTCAAATCTGCATCTGCCATGCACTTGTTTCTGACCTTAGGCCAGCCCCTTTCCCTCCCTGAGTCTCTATTTTCTTATCTACAATGAGACAGTTGGACAAAAAAATCTTGGCTTCCCTTCTAACATTAACTTCCTAAAGTATGCCTCCGATTCATTCCCTTGACACTTTTTATTTCTAAGGAAGAAATAAAAAGAGATACACAAACACATAAACACATTTCCAGTGAGGGCCTCTGTCTTCTACCTAGAGCCTGCAGCCTGGATTTTCCTCATTAGAGCTTGAGGTTGTAAAGTCTGTCCAGGAGCGAGTTACGTCTTTAAATTCTTGCAAGGTGTTTCCCGGGAAGCGCACAGGAGAATCTGAGTTTGCAGCAAGCCTGGGAAGGCTGGCCCAGCCCTGCTCCGGGCCTCAGGTTCCCCCTCATCCCCTCTCGCTGTCTGGACATTTCTGTATGCTCTTCATCCATTTCAACCAAGCCCAAACTTCCTCTTTTGAACTATGCAAGGGTGCCCGATGTGATCTTGATCTGGAGAGGTGCATGGAAAGTTTCCTTCATGCAGGTCACTGATAAGCAAGTAGGCGCAACTGCAGTTCCTCTGCCTTCCCTCCCCCGCTGCCCTACTTCTGGTCTGTGGCTTTGGTCTAAGATTGTCCAGTGACCATGGCATGGGGCTGGCTGCTGGCCAAAGGGCACTTCTCCCTACCCTGGCTGACCAGACTAGTTTATTGCAGGTTAGCGCGTGTTTGTTTTCTTTTCTTTCTTTTCTTTTTCTTCTTTTTTTTTTTTTTTGAGATGGACTTTCGCTCTTGTTGCCCAGGCTGGAGTGCAATGGCATGAATTTGGCTCACTGCCACCTCTGCCTCCCGGGTTCAAGCGATTCTCCTGCCTCAGCTTCCCGAGTAGCTGGGATTACAGACATGTGCTACCACACCTGGCTAATTTTGTATTTTTAATAGAGATGGAGTTTCTCCATGTTGGTCAGGCTGGTCTCGAACTCCTGATCTCAGGTGATCCACCCGCCTTGGCCTCCCAAAGTGCTGGGATTACAGGCGTGAGCCACCGTGCGCGGCGCATGTGTTTGTTTTCATAGCTGTGAAGACAGCAACAGGCAGGTGAGAGAGTCTGGTCTCGTCCCTCCCTCACTTGTGACCTCAGACCAGCCATTGCCCTCACTGGGCCTCAGTTACTCCAACTTTATAGTGGGGGGTTGGATCCAACAATTTTGAAGAGCTCTCTCTTAATCTCTGACATAATGAGTCTGAAACAAAGAAAAGTTACCTTACCGTGTCTTTACTTCCTTTCTTCTGGGCTGTGAACTCAAGTGCCTTGAGGGCCAGCTAAGAGCTTTTTGGGATATTTGTCTAACTTAATTGAACTGTTACTGAAAGATAAATTAACAAAATGGTTCAGAGTTTTGGATTAAGACCTTTGTAACTAACTGACCGTCAGCACAGGAGCTTCGGTTTCCTTCTCTGTAAAACAGGGCTCCTCATTCCAATTCCACCTATCCTGTAGCCTTGTGGGAATAAAAGGAGGCACCACGTGGAGGTGCTTGGCAGGGTGCGTGCCTGGCTCGGAGTCAGTCTCACTACCTGCCCCGAACCAGGCTCAGTTGTAGGGGCTGAAAGGTGGAGCCCATGATGCTTTATGGCTTTGATTTCATGAAGTCCGTCAGCTGCAGATCACAAAGGCATTTGAACCCAAAAAGAAAAGTGCCTTAAAATATATACTGAGGGAAATGGGCTTGGGGCAGAAAGGAAAGAAGAGTGGAATCAGGGAATAGAAGTGAGGAGAGCCCATGGAGCTGAGGGGAACACAGAAGAGGAGGCCTAGAAACCAGGAATGAGGACAGCTAAAATCGGGCAGTAGCTGTCTGATGCCTCCCTAATGCCTCAGCATGCATTTTCCACATAATTTTCAGTTAAGGTAGTTGCATTCTGGTACTGGTCGGTAGCAGGAAGGAAACCCTAAGAGTTTGTGAGGTGAGGTAGACAAGATGAGAAGTGACAGTTTGTCTCCAATTAAGGAGGACTTTAAATGTCAGGATTTTCTCTGATAACCTAGGGGAAGCCTTTGGAGTTCTTGAGTGGGGAAGGTGTGCGTCTAGCTATGCTCTGAGGACAAATGTAGGAAGGCAGGGTGCCATTCGGGAGCCTTTTGCAACGGTCCTACTAAGAGCTCGGTGCCAGCTGAACAAACCACATTTTTTTCTTGGAGTTTTAGCAGAGGAGGAGAGTAGCCACTGTTCTGAACCAGAGCACCCCATTCATGCATGCATGCAGTTTACACTTAATGAGTGGCTCCTATGTTCCATGCCACGTGCTAGGTGCAAAACATACAAACCAATGTGGTTCTGGTGCTTAAGGAGCTTCCACTGAGTGTCCCTCCTGCTCAGCTCTCTCCAAAATGACACTGGAGATTGCTTCTGTGGCCAAAGTTTAATCGGGAGAAGCGATGGGGGCTAATTTAAAACTAAAAGGAAAGAGAAAGCAGAAGCCCAAACCGCTGCTGTCTCAAAGTGGGAGAAAGGGAGGCTGGCTGTGATGTTCTAAGGGTAGAAGGGGCCCTCAGAAATTCTCACCTCCCTCCCTCACTTGCAGATGAAACAACTGTCACTTCCACAGAGAGGAAGCAACTGGCCCAGGGTACATAGCAAGCTAGCAGCAGACAGAACTGGAATTGCCATCCCGGCCAGGGCCGGTGCTTTTAGAAGCACCCTGTGTTTTCTCCTTTTGTCGTCACCTGTGGAGGTGGGCTTCAATACTCTCTAGCTCCTCACTGCTCCCCCTCCTGCCTTGAGCCTTGCATTTTCCCTTTAGGGCAAACTGTTACAAGCTCTGAACTGGGATGGGCCAATCTTGGTCTTTGGGGCCACTAGGAAATACCCGAAGGAAGTTGCCCATTGGGAGGGGGGGTGCCCTTTTAACCTGAGCAGAGAGCAGCTATTTAGGAATTGCCACTCAACCTCCTGCCCGTGGCGGTGGTGTGGGAACCGCTGGCTGTTTAAAGTTTCCCTATGGCCAGGTGCCGTGGCCCGTGCCTGTAACCCCAGCACTTTGGGAGGCCAAAGTGGGCAGATCGCTTGAGCCCAGTTCAAGACCAGCCTGTGTGTAGCAAAACCCCGTCTCTACAAAAAATAGGAAAAAAAAATGCTGGAGGTAGTGGTGTATGCCTGCAGTCTCGAGAGGCTGAGGTGGGAGGATCGCTTGAGCCCAGGTTGCGGAGGTTGCAGTGAGCCATGATCGTGACATTGCACTCCAGCCTGGACTACCAAGGGACACTGTGTCTCAAAAAAAAAAAAGAAATCCCCCTATATTCATGGTGCCCCAGCACAGCTGCAAGCAATAAGTCGCCACCAGAATAATCCCACTTGAGAAGCTTTGCCTCCATGGCCGTTACTTCCTTTGCAGTATTATAGGGGTGATCACCCTCTTTTTACCAATGAGGAAACTTGGGCTCCAAGTGGTGAAACATACTGCCTGAAGACATAGACAGTACATCATGGATTGACTCACTGGAAATGGTCTTAGAGATGGCCCCAACCAACCCTCTCGTTTCACAGGTTTGGTAACTGAGGCCCAGAGACAGGATTGTGACCATTGTATTAGTAAGTGCCAGATCTGAGGCTAGAACGCAGCTGTCCTGATTCCAGGCTCTGCTCTCTCTGCTGACACTTCCTCCTTTACCTATTGATGAGGAAGCCAGACTGAGCTGAGCATGGGAGGGAGAAGGGTCGGGTTGCCCAACCTGAATTTCGGAACCCAGAAGCGGTAAAACAGCGCTCTAACATGCCTCTTCATTCCCCACCAGAACCTGGGTTTCCTACAGATTTCCCCACTTTAGGGTTGGAGTGAGGCAAGTGGGAAATTGTAGTTACATAACTGAGCCCTCTGCTCAGTGGTTAAGTCTGTGGAGGCAGGCAGGCCTGGGTTCAAATCCCATCCACCACTATTAGTAGAAGTAAATAAGTAACTTGACCTGTCTGTACTGGCAATGCATGTTTATTTCTGAGCACACTGTCTAGAACATACGAAGGACTCAGTATATCAGCTCTTTATTATCAATAATAGGCAGGATTCTATTTTAGAGAAGAGTAATCAGGGTCAGAGGGGGGAGTCTGATGCTCTACACTATGCCTGCTACACAGAGAGCTAAGTGGGGAAAGATTATTAGAAAAATCTCAACCAGACCAGGCTCAGTGGCTACACCTATAATCCCAGCACTTTGGGAGGCCGAGGTGGGTGGATCACCTGAGGTCAAGAGTTCAAGACCCGCCTGGCCAACATGGTGAAACCCCATCTCTACTAAAAATACAAAAAAAAAATTTAGCCGAGTTGCGGTGGCGGGCACCTGTAATCACAGCTACTTGGGATGCCGAGGCAGGAGAATCACTTGAACCCAGGAGGCGGTGGTTACGGTGAGCCAAGATCACACCACTGCACTGCAGCCTGATTGACAAGAGCAAAACTGTCTTAAAACAAAAAAAGAAAGAAAAAGAAAAATCTCAACCAAGCAAGGGACACTGAGTGCAGAAGCGATGAATTAACCACAGGGAGGACTAACAAAGGCTCCTTGGAGAACGGGACACTTGAGAGCACCTCAGCAGATGGTTAGAGAAGCTCTTACATTAGAAACTACTGAAGGAGGGAGGGGTGTCCAGGCAGAGGCAATGGCTGAAGCAAAGGCGCAGAGCTGGGAAAGGAGAGGTGTGTGGGAGTGCTGGGGCCCGTCACCCGCTGTGCGAGGACGCCCTCTGGGAAGGTCACTGAGTCCAGGCTGAAGAGTATGGACTTTATCCTCCAGGCACTGGCTAGCCCCTGAATGTGCTAGGGAGGGAGATTATATGATTAGAGATGTCCTTTAGAAAAGATATCCCCAGGGACCAGCATGGAGGAGACAGGACCAGCAGCTGGGGTCCCTAGGTGTCGGGGGGATGAGGACACAAGCCAGCACAGAGGATGCAGAGATGGAGAAAAGAGAAGGACACTGGGGAGCGAGAAAACAGGGAAAAGGGCCCTAAAGTGCCATGGGGAGTGAGCGGGGAGGAAGCAGATGTGAAGCCAAGTTCCATTCCCTAAGAACTCAGAGAAGGACATGAGGACAGAGGTCCCTGATGTAGGCTGTCCCACTGCCCTCCTCTCAGCTAGGTAAGGACTGACAAAACCCTAAACAAGAGCTGTCTGGGAATGTCCCCCCACCACACAAACAGGCCCAGCTGTTAAAATTTCCAGAACATGCATTTCCTTCTGTGGGATGGCCCCACCCCTTCCTCCCAACTACCACCATCTGCCTGTTGTGCTGCCAGCTGCAGGCAGAACCCCTCCCTGGCCGTCTTGAAGGCCATGGACCTTGACCTGGGAGGGCCTGAAAGGAAAGTAGGGAGGGTGGGGAACTGACATTTCCTTCCCCCACTTTCCCATGTGCCTGCTATCCACTCAAGGCCCGTAAATACTGCTTGTCACACAGAATTACAGTCACTGCCAGCCATACCCACAGAGCACACAGTAGAATGAGAAACACATTGCTGGTAATACAAAGGAGTGTAAGGTATTCTGCTGGTAACACATACAGAGACACACATTGTTGACCATACAGAGAAAATAATTTTTTTTTAGTTTGCTGATAACAACCAAAAATACAGACATTATGTGTGTGTGTGTGTGTGTGTGTGTGTTGCTGTGCACGTGGGAAACACCTCGCATATGTATCCTAACTTGTTCTTCACACACACTGGGGCATGTGCACACTCACACTTTTCTTAGTGCATAGCCTTAGTGTGCCCCACACACCTCCAGAAATCAGGAGTCTGCTTGTTGTTGTGTAAGCCCATCAGAGGAGGACAACCAACCAGGCTGTGTGGAGGGCAGACTTCGAGCCCAACAGCCCTGACTTGAACTCTGATCCTACTTGGCATCCTATTCTGGGAGACAAGACTAGCTCCTTGGAGAACCAGGCAGTAAATGAGATCAAGCCTTGGAAAACGAGTGAAGTCCCCGGGGAAGGCTTTCTGGATACGGTGAGGCGCACAGCGAGTGAAATTTAAAGAGGTAGCAGAGAAAAATTGATTCTCCTTCAAAAGTATGGATCCCATTCTGTTCACTTTTCCAGGAGCATTCTAGAAACTGGTGGTGAAGGGGTTAACTGTGCCAGCTACCACATCCCTTGCCCCCACAGGGCTTTGAAAAACCAGAGTGCTGGGATTTGCCCAAGGTGAGTCAGGGTCACTACCTTCCTGCTGCCTTTGGCCGTTCCCAGGATAAAACTCCCCTGGTTGAGTGAGATGGAAACCTAAAATGAAACCTTGCTAGAGTCCCGGACTCAAGCCTCATTACTGTCACCTTTGTCAGCAGCCGCAGCGCCAAATCTATCGTCACCATCATCACTTCTCCCTGAGGCCTGGTATCCCGTTGGGGTAGGAATGTGCTGATTTTGCTTGGGCAACGCACCCTCTCACTGGGCCTCAGACTCAATTTTCCTACATTGGAGGATACTTTAGAGGCAAAATGAGATTAATTTCATGAGGAGCCTAGCACAGTGCCTGGTACCCTGGGAATGTTCAGGTCCTATTACCTGCCCTTCTGTCTTTCCCAGTGTCCTCTCCTCTTTTCTCTCTCCCATCCCAGGGTCCAGGTTAATTGCAGTGCAATATTTGCATAGACGTGAGACCTCACCCGGGGAAATTCCCCCTGGTGACCAACCAGGTTTCCTTTCTGAGGTCAGGCCACATCATCAGACACTGCTCCTTCCTCTCCGGCTTGCCACTGCCACCGCTGGCTTTCGCCCCTGTCATCTGGTGGGTTTAGATCCTGGCACACAGATTTAGGCTCATCCTTTGACCTTGGGCACTGTCCAGAGGGTGGGGATGTGGAGGCTGGGCTAGGGACCCAGAGCAAAACAGTGAGGGGATAGATATTCAGGGAGAAGAGGAAAGGGCAGCAGGTAGGTGGTGGATAGGAAGCCTGGATTGCAATTTGAACTCATCAGTAACTCCCTGGCTGCCCCTGGGCACAAGCCTTCCCTTCTCTGAACCTTAGTTTCCCCTTCTATCCAGTGAGAAGATTGGTCAAGATAATCTCTAAGCTTTGTTCCAGATCTGATAGACTAAGAAGCCACTTCCTTTGCTTCCACTTCCTTTGGCAGCACAGTGTTGCAACATCTGTACTTGGATCCCCTTCCTTTGACAAGAATCTTGCAACATGCCACCCTGTATTAGTTTCCTTGGAAAGCACAATTTTGCAAAAGGCCTCCCTGAATCCCATTTTTCAAATGCTGATAGAATGACACATACCTCCTCTCCACTTAGTGGCTTAGCTTGCGTTTTAACTTTTCCTTTCACACCCATCATACATACTGTTCTGTGACTCCCCGAAAGAGGGATTCTCTCTACATTCTGAAATTTGTTGTCCCTATCCTGGTATTGAGAAGTCACCTTCCTGATACAAAAAGAAGGAACAAGTTGGGAGACCACAGTGACTCAACGACAGTAAGTTCCTGGGATCACCTGAATCAGAACCAGCTGTTAAAAGGGCAGATTTGTCTCAAAAAAAAAAAAAAGCAGCTTCTAGGTCAGTGGTCACAACTTTGCATCTCAAAATCACCTGGGGGAGCTTTATCAATACCCATGCCCAGGCCACACCCCCGGAGATTCTGGTTTAATTAATCTGGGGTGGGGCCTGGAGGGTCCGCGTGTTTAGAAAGATCCCCAGGTGATTTAAATGTGCAGTCAGGATTGCAGGTGATTTAAATGTGCAGTCAGGATTGCGAACCCCTGGTCAAAGGACACTAAAGTTAACAAACCCATGGTCTATAATATTCTCTATGAAATTATCCTAATGGATGCCCTTTTGTGCACACAGCTGTGCTCAGTGTTATAAATGGGTGAAGAGAATTTACTCCCTTTTACAGATGAGGAAGGTGAGGGATGGCGAGAGGAAGTACTGATGAGGCCATATGGTGAGTCAGTAATAGTGGCTGGCCTGGCACCAAGCAGATGCCTGTGGCCTCAAAGTTTGAGGCCTGTCCATTTACTCACAGTCTGAAAAAGGGTGCTGCCAGCTCTTCAGACAGCTGTTTGCAACCAGGGTTACCCCATGTGCATCAGTAAAATAAGGAGGGATATTTGTGGATTTAACACCTGCCTCTATCACTAACAAGTCAAATCCCCTTTCTCAAGACGTATTTCTCACTGTCCCCAGATCTCTTCCTGAAGTGCCAGTTTGATCAGAACATTTTTGGCCACAAAAGTATTTTGTTAATGTTAGTGGAAAGACTCCTATGCGCCCCCCCCCCCCATTGCTTATAGAATGGAGGCGACATTCTTTTCTTTTTTCTTTTTTTTTTTTTGAGACGGAGTCTTGCTCTGTCACCCAGGCTGGAGTGCAGTGGCACGATCTTGGCTCACTGCAAACTCCACCTCCCGGGTTCACGCCATTCTCCTGCCTCAGCCTCCCGAGTAGCTGGGACTACAGGTGCCCGCCACCGCACCCGGCTAATTTTTTGTATTTTTTAGTAGAGATGGGGTTTCACCGTGTTAGCCAGGATGGTCTCGATCTCCTGACCTTGTGATCTGCCTGCCTCGGACTCCCAAAGTGCTGGGATTACAGGCATGACTCACTGTGCCCGGCCAGAGGCGACATTCTTTAGCCCAGTGTTCAAGGCTCCCGAGGTCTGTCTGCCCAGTCTCAGCTCTCTTTACATGTGTATCCCCAGTCCTCTACTCTCCCCAACGTCGGGGACACTGTACACATCACCCCCCTCGATGGGGTTCTAGCATTTCATTCTATGACCCACTTCCTTCTCCTTCTCTTCTTCCCTCCACAAGCATTCATGGATTGCCTGCTGTTTGCTAGGCACTGGTGAAATTGTGACAATCAAAGAAGAAATAGTCCCTGACCACATGGGGCTTATACTCCAAAACGAGTTTTCTCTATGGACATGTTGAGAACACTGTTGATGTGTTGGGTTGGGTCATTTTTTGTTATGGGGATCTGTCCTGTGCATGGTAGGCTGCTTGGCAGCATCCCTGCCTTCTGTCCAATAAATGTCAGTAGTATACTCCCTCCTCAGTTGTGACAATGAAAAATGTCTTCAGATATTGCCAGTTGCCCTGTGGGGGCCAAAATCATCCCTGGCTGAAAACCATTTTTCTCATCAGATGCTAAATTAACTGCACCAATAATCATTTTATTACAACTAGTTGCAGAGAGAGAGAAAGGCAGGGCTTGAAAATGCAGAACAAGGGGCCTGCTGTGGTCTGGAGGGGAGTGCAGGAGTGGGGAAGGTCAGGGAAACTTCCCAGAAGAGGCACACTTAAGTTGAGACAGAGAAAATAAGCAGGCATTGGCCAGGTGAAAGGCACAGTGGAGGGGAGGTGCTGCAGCCAGGGGCCAAGGAATATGCAAGGAAGCCAAAAGAAGCAAAAAGGAAGACCAGGCACGGTGGCTCACGCCTGTAACCCCAGCACTTTGGGAGGTCGAGGCGGGTGGATCACGAGTTCAGGAGTTCAAGACCAGCCCGGCTAACATGGTGAAACCCTGTCTCTACTAAAGATACAAAACATTAGCTGGGAGTTGTGGCACGCACCTGTAATCCCAGCTGCTCAGGAGGTTGAGGTAGGAGAATTGCTTGAACCTGGGAGGCGGAGGTTGCAGTAAGCCGAGATTGTACCATTGCACTCCAGCCTGGGCGACAGGGTGAGACTCTGTCTCAAAAAAAAAAAAAATAAAAAGAAGAAGAAGCAGAAAGGAGCTGGCACATTTGAGGAATGCTTAGGGGTGGTTAGAGCGGGAAGGGATGGTAAGTAGAAGCTAGATCATGAAGGGCCTTGGAAGAATTTGTCAGCCATTGATAGGCACCCATCCAAAGGAGAAGAAGGCAGATCTGAGCTTTAAATGAGAGCCGACTGAGAATGCAATGGGCTACCTGTAAGGTAGTGAGCTCCCCATCATTGAAATAGGGTGGCAAAACTTGGCTGACCACTTGCCAATGGTTGGGGGAGGATGTGCTGGTTCTGGGTAGGCTGTTGAGCCAGTAGACATCTGAAAAACTATGATTCTATGACCTCTTCTAACTGCCTGTCTTCAAAGTTCAGATAAGCAGGTAACTTCATTGGCTTGAGTGGGACTTTGCAAAAATCATAGATTTGATGCTTGGGTGACTCAGAGAAGTAAACGCATCCTCAGTATCTACCAGTGAGTTCCTGACAGTGAGTTCTACCTAGCTGCCTATATGTGAGCAGATAATTCTCACTTTGGATTTGGAAGATCCAGCTGAGAGTTTTGGCTTCTCAAACTCTACGGGGAGTATCGGGGAGTATCAGGGAGTTTAATTAAACTGCTGCCTTTAGGGATCCCCTCGTTAGAGAGTCTGATTTCTTAGCTCTATGATGGGGTCCAGAAATCTGCCAAATCCTGGGCTAGGTCCTAATGGCATGAAGAGTTTCTATTCTTGGGGAACTTTCAACAGAATTGATGAACCAGGAAACTCACAGAGTCAAGTTCATTCATTCCCTAAGTAAGTATCAAATAGCTTTTATGAGACTGGCTCAGTCCTGTCCCTACAACATCAGCAGCAAGACCAGAGATGTCAAAATGGATGAGGTAGGGCTGGATAATTCCGTATCAAAAGAGTGGTCCTGTGACAGTTTCCTTGTGTATACCCAAATTTTGCCCTCTTTTAAGATCCAGTATAGGTCTCATCTCCTCCACATCCTCACGGGAGACATTACTTATATTTGAACTCTACTTGTGCCATTTATTAGCAGTTGTCTTAACCCACTAGGAGCCTCATTTCTTCTTTTGCAGAATAGTATATCAGTCTTATACAGTTCTTAAGAGAGATGCATGAAATAATTCATCTAAGAGCACTGAGTACTGTGCCTGGCATATGATAAGCTTAAATATTAGCTATTAGTGTTTTTATTTCCTAACCGCCTAATGGCAATCCGCCTTTATTCATCCTGATTTCTCCTTCCTCTGAACTTTTGGACTTCCTTAACATGTCAGAATGGGAGGTCCCTTAGTGGTCATCTAGCCTGATATTTTACATTATAGAAGGGGAAGCTGAGGACCAAAACTTGCCTAGGGCCATACAGCAGAGCCAGGATTCAAAGTCAGCTCTACTGATTCCCAGTCTGAGGGCCTCTTCTTCCTCAGTGTCTATCCCCTGGCCTGAACAGAGAAGGCAGCTTCAGGGAATCCATGCATGGCTGGAAGGGGGAAGAGGTGAGAGAAACTGATTGCTGTCAGCATTTCAGCAGGGAGAGCTCAGAGCCATTCTCTTCATAGGATGTGCCAGCCAGGTATTCTAACTGGAAATCCCAGCTCATGTCGCTCCAGCTCCTTGAACGTCCTTAGCCCTTCAAGGTCCCTTTGCCATCTAAGATTCCATGGGCAGGAACTGGTCTAAGCCAGGCTCTGTGAATTTACAGAGAATATGTAATTATAGTGGACTTTAAAGTGCAAATATTGTATATAGGGGGAAAATTGTAATCCAGGAACATTAGGGCTGAGCTACACATATTTTCACCCCCTGCAGAGAAAAGGGTCTATGTACAGGAGAACATCATCTTTTTGCCCCTGGTCTAGCTCAAGGGTCAGTATCATTCATACAACTGCACTTTCTGTGATGATGGAAATATCTGTGCAGTCTGGCATGGTAGCTGCTTGCCACGTGTGGCAATCGAGCTCTTGAAAAGTGGCAGTGCCACTGAGGGGCTGAGTGTGGTGTGGGAAAGAGCACTGGACTAGGAGTCAGGAAGTCCCTCTATTTACTCACTTGGAAATTTATTTCCCCTGTCTGGCCTCCACTTCCTTGTCTGTAAAGTGAGGCCATTGGGCTAGGAGATTTAGCATCCCCGTGTAATCCTGATCTGAAGGGCACAGATGCAGTTGGATGGGATTCAATGGACCCTTCTCCGCCCCCACCTCTTATTGCTCCTCTCCTCCTGCAGAGGCTGCATGTGGCCCCTTGTGACCTGGACCTGTTTATTTCTCCAGGTCTACCTCTGTCACTTCCCCCAGTCTGCCTCAAATCCCTTGGTCTACTCAGACTGAACAGTTCATGGAATATATTCTCTCTTCTCTTTCTGTTCTCAGAATATATTCTCTATTCTCTTTGAATATTCTATTCCCTTTGTGGAGAACACTCTTCCTTATCTTCTTTCTTGGCTACTTTCAGGTCTCAGTTTAGGTGTCACTTCCTCCAGGAAGACTTCCCAGATCCCCATATCCTGACCAGATACTCTTTTGTCCAGGCTCCCAAAGCCCCCTGCATTTCTCCTGCCAAAACACATCTTTCCTGTACTTTATTGTAATCTCCTCCTCATTTACCTGTAGCCCCCAGAGCAGTGCTATCCAATAGAACTTTCTATAATAATGGAAATGTCATACATGCATGTAGTCTAATGTAGTAGGTGCATGTGGCTGTTGAGCACTCGAAATGCAGCTTGTGCTACTGAGGAATTGAACTGTTAATTCTATTTAATTTTAATCTACTTAATTTATATTTAAATAGCCCCATATGGCTCCTCAGAGTCTGTGAACTCTGAGAAGGCAGGAAGCGGGTCTGATTAGTCCACTCTTGTATCCTCAGTGGTCCATAAATGTTACCATAAGAATGAGGAAACTCTGGAACCAGGAATGATGAAGAAAGGCCACACCTCATCCAAACGGCCCTCTTCATCCCCTCCCCAGGCATATTTTCAGGGGATAAGGAACAAAGACTTTATGTTTGTAAAGCAGTCAGTAGTTTACAAAGGATGTCTACAAACTATTATTTTTATTTCTAAATTTATTATCATTTTTGAGACAGGGTCTCACTCTGTTGCCCAGGCTGGAGTGCAGTGGCGCCATAATGGTTCACTGCAGCCTCAACCTCCTGGGCTCAAGCAATTCTCCCACCTCAGCCTCCCGAGTAGCTGGGACTACAGGCAAGTGCCACCACACCCAGCTAGTTTTTGTATTTTTTGTGGAGACAGTGTTTTTACCATGTTGCACAGGCTGGTCTCAAACTCCTAGGCTTAAGCCTGCCTCAGGCCTCACATAGTGCCAAGATTAATAGGCGTGAGCCACGGTGCCGGCCCATCATTTTATTTTAATTACCATTAAATGGCAGGAGTCAGGCAAAGCAGGACTCATTAAGCAGGAGATCACTAGGGCTCAGGATGATGAGGTGACTTGTTCAGGATCTCCAGCTGGTCAGTGCAGAATTCCTTGGGCTGCGGTTTCTAAGGCCTTACTTGACATCCAAATGTGACTCGGCATGCACCAAGGAAGGAGTGGGCCCCTTCTTCACTATGGATGGAGAAGCCTCAGAGAGTAAGTGGCAACAGGTAGGATAGGAACGGGGTGGGAGGATGTGGGCTGGGCATCTGGCAGTTTCCTCAGGGCCCTGAGCACTGGAATCCCCCACCTTAGGCGAAGGAGGAAATGGAGGTCTTCAGGACAATCTAGGGAGGCCAGGCCAGGTTGCCCCAGCCCATTCTCGGGTGCCTTTTCCCAGCCCAGCTGAGGAAGCATCAGGCTTCCAACTCTTCTCCCCAGATCCCCCCCAACCCCAACTCCCTGGAATTCACAGCACGGGACAGCCAGTCTGGGAAGTGACAGGTGGAGGCTGACAAATAAGGGCCCTCTGCTCTGCCAGCGGGCAGGATGGGGCCTCAGCTGGGCCTTGCGGGGCTGCCTGGTGGCGGCTCCTCCATCTCGGGGAATTCCCCTCCTGCCTAATAGTCAGCTCAGCCCAGCCCTCCTTCCTGCAGAAGCACAGTGAGCCGAGGAGCCTTCATAGGGACAGCCGCCCCTGGTGCACACACCCTCGTATTCTCCTGCCCTTCCCCAGGTGAGTGACTAGATGGGGGCCGGTGGGCCAGGACAGGGGAAAGGACCCACCGCACAAGGGTGCTGGGGCAAGCAGACACCCTCAGCTCTGTGCCAAGAGCCACCTGGCCTCCCATGTCCTGCCAGCCAGGGTCTGCTGCTCTCAGCCTAGCTTGCTCTTCCCACCCAGGTCTTGGGCTCCCAGCCCCTGCTCCTCACCCAGCCTCCTTCTCCACTGTCTTCTCTCCCCCATCTCGTTCCTTCTTCCTGCCCCTCTTCTTCTGGCCTTGCCTTCTTGGCCAGTCTTTTTCTCTCTAGTTGTTACTAGCTTTTCCAAAGGGAAAAGCAAAGCCTATTTTTGTCTTATTCCCTCAAGAAAAGGGAGGTATGCAAGTGTGAATATGGATGTGGGTGTTTGTGTGTGTGAGAATGTGTGCCTGTGTTGTGTCAGATCCCTGAAGCGTGTATGTGTCTTTCTGTGTGGGTGTAAGTTGGTGACTGTGTGTATTTGTGTGTGTATCTGTGTGTACAGTGAATTTTTGATGGAGAGGGTACAAGTGTGTGTTGGGCACTTTAGAAGTCTACAGCTAGATAGGAAGAGGCCAAGAATCGGCGCTGCCTCCAGGGGAACATAGTGGAGGCTGAGACCCTCCTTAACACTGGAGCAAAAGGATCTCTTGCTTCTCTCCTGCCTGCTCTGCTTCTAGGGCCGCTGGACTCTTTTGTGGTGGAACCTGTAACAGAGAGCCCAGGGCACAGGGAGTGGGCCAAGGGCAGGCAGACACAGCTGACGCAGCTTCCTCTTTGATCACTTAGAAAATCTGGACTAAAATTCTATTTAATTTTAGTTTAATTCTACTTATTTAAATAGCCCCATATGGCTCCTGAGAGTCTGTGAGCTCTGAGAGAGCAGGAAGCGGGTCTGATTGGTCCACTCCTGTATCCTCAGTGGTCCATAAATGTTACCATAAGAATGAGGAAACTCTGGAACCAGGAATGATGAAGAAAGGCCAGTTCATCCAAACGGCCCTCTTCATCCCCTCCCCAGGCATCTTTTCACAGCCTAGGGAAGTCCCTGGCTAGAAGAGGCAAGGAACAGAGGCCAAGTCTGACGGTGGCTTCTAGGCTACAGAGGAATGGAGGGAGAGCGGGGAGGGGCCATAGAAGAAGAGGGTGTGGGAGAGGACAGGGAGGAAGGTGGGTGGGACTGAAAGAGGATTGCTCTCAGGGCCCTGTTAGGGCTTCCCGGGATTAGGAAATGCTCCGGTTTTGTGGGTCTAACTTCCTGAGAGGCTGGGCCGGGCTGGGCCTGGCTGACCTGTTCCCACTTCCAGGAGGATGACAAGGGGCAACCCTGGATGCAAGCCCAGATCCAGCTTGACACCCTGACCTGGAGACGGAGAGGCCAGGGGGAGAGACGCTGGAGTGGGGAGACCCAGGGCTCCTAGGAACTGTGGGAGGGGCCTGGCTAGGCCACGTATGTGACGAGGCTGGGAATTTCCCCCAGTGTCACTTTGCCCTTTCCTCTCCTCCAGTGGTGCCCTAGAAACTGAAGTGTAACAGGCCAGCCCAGGGACACAGGGAAAATAGTTGGGATAGAGAAGGAAGAAAAGGGGAAAGAGCCTGGAGAAAAGTCAGCAGCAATGCCTTCCAGGCCCAGCTCCTCAGAAGACAGTCTGATGTCTAGGGCAAGCTGCTCCCCAGCTCCAGGCCTTGGGGTCCTCCTGGAAAAAGGAGAGAAGCAATCCCTGCTGCCTCATAGAATTGATGATCATAATGATCATCGCTACCTTTCACTGAGGCCAAGCCTTGTGGCATTTGATTGTCACCACCCTCTGAATTGGGCACAGTTACAGCCTTCATGTCATTGATAAAGAAACCAAGGCACAGAGTTGTAAGTGGCAGGGCTGTGATTTAAGCCCAGAGGCCAGAACCCACACCTTATCCTCTGCGTGACGGTCTCTTGGGAAATGGGCAAGTTGTGGGTATGAAATGGTTTCATTCACCTTAAGGTGCTGAATGACTGTGAAAACCTCTGAAGATACAACTACCTCCTCATGCAGGTATTTGGGAGCTGGATAGAGAGAATTAAAAATGTCTTCTTAGGCTGAGGAGAGAAGCTGGGACCATGGACCCTGCTCATTTATTTACTTTTTACCAAAAACTGCCACAATTGCCTAGAACAATTTTAGTCAATATCATGTGCTTGATATGCATTCTCATTTAACTATCACCAAAATCTCTCTTTAACATACACATACACCCAGCACCAAAAAGTACCTAGAATCCACTGGAGGGTCTTACACTCCTGAGATTGCCTCAGGTTATGGATCTAAGGAAGGGACCCAGGGCTGCTCTTTTCCTAGTTCATTAGCTGCTCCCGAGTTCCATTCTCCCCTAGCCAAGGCCCTGATTCACTCATTCTCCTAATGCAATGAGGAATGTTCTTGTTTGATTTAGATGCTCCATTTCCTATCAGTGGGGTATGTGGAAACAGCACTGTGCTGGGAGAAGGATACTTGGGTTCTGTCCTATGTATGAATCACAAACTCAACGTAAGACCTCCCGCAAGTCCCTGCCGCTCTCTGGCCCTTGGTGTGGCTCCAGCCCTACAATGAAAAGACTGGGTTGATCATTTCTTTCTTTCTTTTTTTTTTTTTTTGAGACGAAGTCTTGCTCTTGTCCCCAGGCTGGAGTGCAATGGCGCGATCTTGGCTCATTGCAACCTCCACCTCCTGGGTTCAAGTGATTCTCCTGCCTCAGCCTCCTGAGTAGCTGGGATTACAGGCGCCCACCACCACACCTGGCTAATATTTGTATTTTTAGTAGAGACGGGGTTTCACCATGTTGGCCAGGCTGGTCTTGAACTCCTGACCTCAGGTGATCCACCCGCCTCAGCCTCCCAGAGTGTTGGGATTACAGGCGTGAGCCACGGCATGCCCTGCCTGGGTTGATCATTTCTAAAGACCCTTCAAGCCTGGCACTCTGAGTTCTATGTCTTGCTAGCTGGCAAGACTTTGGAGCATGATGCTTAAGAGTGTTAAGCGTTTAAGAGCCTGGATCTTCAAGCTCCGGTTACTTGCTGTGCTGTAAGACCTTGGGCAAGTCATCTAATACCTCAAAGCTTCAGTTTCATCTGTGAAATGTGGATGATAATGGTGCCGACCTCATAAGCTGGTTGGGAGGCAAATTATGAATAAAAGCGCGGAGATAGCACACAGCAAATACTCCATACATGTTACCTTTTAATGCTTTTATTATGCAGCCTCCACCCCTCTTCTGGAACTTGCTCTAGAGTTAAGTTGGTTATAGATGGATTTTTCATATGTTTTTTATTACCTTCAAATGTGTATTTGGGTCTGACTCTGTAGCTACCTCAGTAGGGGTGGTGGAGGAGGGAGTAGCAGAAAGGAGATCGAGAAGTTGCGTGCTTTAAAACAAAACCAAATAAAACAAAACAAAACAAAGGCAGTTTGATTCTCCTTCTGGGTGTGGCTTTGTGCGAGTGCTTGTCATTACTCTGGAAGAACAAGAGGTTGCACCTGCCTGAGTCACTCAGCTCCCAGCGTCAGGCCCAGCTTCTTGACTTGGAAATCCCCTTCCAGACCACAGGGTAGCAGGCAGTGCCAGGCTAGGGGGCCTGTCTCCCATTCCTGCCATGCTCCTAGAGGCTAGGGTCTCACAGAGGATGTGTATGGTGGGATGGCGCCTGGTGAGGTTGCATTGCTGAGTTTAAGAGCCAAGTTCTACCCAATGCATGCAGCCCACATCTAGACACCACTATCATTTCTTGAATGCCTACTGTGTGCTGAGCCTTGGGCTTTATTTGCATTGTCCAATTTATCCTCATGATTCACATGAGGAATAGGTATATTATCCCCCATTTTCCAGACAGAAGCCTGAGGCTTAGAGGGGCCACCCAGGTAGTAAGTGGCTGAGCAGGGATTGGAATCCCATTAGCTCAATTCATAGCCTGTGTTTATGACAGTGGTGTTTTCTGCAAGGCAGTGAGAAAAATCATGTCATTGTAAAGACAACTTGGTACAGTGGACCAAGCACACAGGACTGGGAGCCAAGGCCCTGGATTCCAAGGCCCTGGTTGTGTCACTCAATGTGTGTGGCCTAGAGTAAGTCCTTTTCTAGACAGAGGACTCAGTTTACCTATCTGTCAAATAGGGGTTTGTTATCTATGGGCTCCATGGTCTCTAACAGGGTGGAATGTCCTGAAGACAAACCAAGACTTCAAAGAATGGAAGAGGTGGGGGCAGTCACGACTTTATAAATAAATGAGTTTTCTCACAAATTGGAACTGTTAAGAAAAAGGATCCAGAACTAGGAAATCAGACAAAAAGATGACTGAGTGCCATTTTTTTATGTCAAGCTTGAGAATTCCCAGCGGACACTTTGAGAAATGAAACTGTCTGCCCGGCTAAGGCCAGACATGCTATAAAAACAGCTGAAATAGTGTGGAAACAAAATGCAAGTAATTAGAGACCAGCCATTTTTAGGTAGATTTTAGTTTTCAGTGGGTAGAGGGTGGGGGTGGAGAAGATGTGGGTTGGGAATAGGAAGAGAGCCCTGCAGGAAGAGAATTGGGAAGTACAGGCACAAAGAGCAGGAAGAAAACTGGCAGGTGCGGACCTGATGGGTGGAGACGATGCCTGGGAGCTGCTATGTAAACCAGGGCCAGGATTCCCAGTTTCTCTGTAGGATCCCCCAGTGGTGAGACTCAGTGGTGCTTTGGAGTTTGCATCGCTTCCTCCCTCCCTCCCTTCTGAATCAAGGCATAAGTGTAATTCTTTTCATAATTAAACTAGAATGAATATCGTTTTGAAGATCTGATAACACCGTTGAATTAACTGAAGGAACCCTAGGAGGTTACAAAGCCTTATAGGAGAATCCCCAGATTAGGTATATAATTTGGGCAAGTATCTGTGTGTGTATTATTGCGAAGTCACAGTTGATTGATGGGTCTCTCTTCTGTAAAATGAGGGTGTGTATTAAACAGTTCCCCAAATCCTTTCCCCTAATTCTTTTTGAGGATGAGGGCCTGTCAATGACTAAGTTTTCAACAGTACCAGTGAAATGGGTCTTTTGCAATAGGTTTTTCATAAAGCTATATTTAGTTTAAAGAGCTGTTCTTTATTCCAAGGTTAGACCTTCCACTTTTTGGAATTAAAATTTAGCTTTCTTTCTTTTTAAAAATAAAAGGATAAGCTTTTAAAAAGCTTTCCTACCCTTAAAGCAAGTTTATGTTCCTTACCGGTCTAGGAAATCCCAGTCTGTTGGGATTATCTAGCCCACATATAAGTAGGTAGGGTGGAAGGCGGCCTCTGGATTTGCCCACCCGGGTTTGAATCTTGATTCAGCCCCTTACTGAGGTCATCTAACCTTTTTGTGACTCAAATATTATTTAAGAAAAGGTAGTAAAACCCACCTCCCTAGCGTGATTGTGCGAAGAAAATAATGCACGCAAAGCATCTACAATGTCTGGAGCAAAGCGTTTACGATGTCTGGGAATCCTTTACAATGTCTGGAGCAAAAAATGTTCGCGGTAGAGTCTTTATGGGTCTTTTCAGCTCGGAATTTCTATAGCTTTGTTAAGAAGAGTCCTGGAGTGCCCTGGACGGAACTCTGGGGGCCTGAGCTCCAGCTCTGGCTTAGGGCCAAATGCTTACGTGCCTTTTGGCAGGTCCCCTCCCTGTTCTGGCCTGTGTTCCCCTCGGCACAAGGAAGGGGCTGGGTGGTCTCTGTGGCTCGCCTCCGCTCTGAAATTCCGGCTTTCAAGGTGGCCCCAGGCCTTCGACAGGGGCTTCCGGCGCTGGGAGTGCGGCAAGGCGCCGCGCAGGCCCGGGACGGTGGCCCCAGGGAAGTCGCTCCTAGAGGGGAAGGCCGCCGAAGGGACGAGAGACACCGCGGGCCCCCGGAACCGCAGGCAGCCGGTGTTTACCTCGCTCGGTCCCACCCCAGGCGGCCGCGGGCCCGCCCGGAGCGCGCGGCGCGATTGGGCGAGTGGCCTGCCAGTCTCCGGGGACTTTCCCAGGGGTGGGGCGGCCCGGCCAGGCCCCCGGCACTTCCTCGTCCTCGGCCCGGGTGCCCTGCCCCCGTCCAGGAGCCCTAGGAGTGCTACGGGGGGCCGGAGCCTTGCCCGGGCCGCTGCCCCGTCCCTGGATTCGGGGCTGGACGCAGCAAGCGGGGCGCTGTGTCCCCAAGCTCCCCGTCCTCGGGTAAGCCGGCCGGCCCGGAGCGGGGATGGAGGGGAGGAAGGGAGGCCAGGCCCAGATCGTCCAGAGCCTCGGTGGCGGCGGGGAGCGAGCTGGGGAAGGTGGCTTGTGCACCCAGGCCCGGCGCGCGGGGTCCCGGGGCGTCTCCGCCAGCGGCCAAGCCGGGCTGAGCCGCTACTCCCTGCTTGGCGCTGGGCCTGGTGGGGGGCGCGCGTGCGCACTGCGCGGGGTAGCACGCCTGGGAACGGCGTGGGGCGGTTGTAGAGAGCGCAGACCCTCCGGGTGCGGGCGGCGCTGCGGCCCTTTGGGTGTCTATCCTGTGGAGACGAGTTGCCTACGCGGCGTCAGGAGTTTTCGTATCAAGTTGTGGAAGCAGTGTACATATGTCACGAGGAGGAAAATAATAATTTTTATTGGGCGCTTTCCAAGTGCTGATCTTAACGCTGTACGTGTATTAGACTCATTTAATTGTCACTTCCATCCTAAACATTAATATTGTTATTATCTCCATTTTATACTTTAGGAAACCGAGGTACTTGGAGCTTGAGGTCACACAGCTGTGAGTTGCAAAGTCAGATATGAACTCAGGCATTTGGCTCCAGAGTTCCTACTATACTATTTCTGTTGAACATATTTTGTATGCACATTGTTGGAGGCATTTGTGTGCATGTGCAGGATGGATGAGTTTCCAGGAGTGCTTCTGGGGATGGAGTATGAAGGCTGAGCTTTCCACTGTAGGACATTTGTGTGCACGTGTGCATTGTACATTCATTGTGCGTACAGGAGCAGATGGGAATTTTGTGCGACTGGGTGAGAGATTGTGTTTTGGTAGGGGGAGGGAGGGACTTTTGTGGATGATGCAGAAGAATCAGCAACGTCCTTCCCCACCCCCTTGCAGAATGACAGTGCAGGGAAATGTGTAGATTCCTAATGCATCATTTTTTTCTCACAGTACGGTCAAAATGGGATTTAATCAGCACTTACTCATTTTCCAAACAATGGGGTGTGATAGAGGGGAATTCGGCATCTGATGAGAGGTCAGAAAAGGGGACTCAGAATGTTTTAAAAAAATCCTTGACAAAGGAGGGTAGAATTGTATTAGGAGGGTAGAATATTAGTACAAACTCAGCATCCCCGTGGTGGTCTCTGTTTTGCAACAGAAGAAACTGAGGCAGTGAAAAAACTGATAATGCTAATAGCTTACTATGTGCCAGGCACAGTGCTTACATTCCGTATCTCATTTAATCTTTTTTTTTTTTTTGAGACAGAGTCTCACTCTGTTACCCAGGCTGGAGTGCAGTGGCACGATCTCGGCTCACGGCAACTTGCCTCCCAGGTTCAAGCGATTCTCCTACCTCAGCCTCCCGAGTAGCTGGGATTACAGGCACTCGCCACCATCCCCGGCTAATTTTTTTGTATTTTGAGTAGAGACAGTTTCACCATGTTGGCCAGGCTGGTCTCAAACTCCTGACCTCAAGTGATCCGCCCGTCTCAGCCTCCTAAAGTGCTGGGATCACAGGTGTGAGCCGCCCCGCCCGGCCTCACTTAATCTTTCTAACAACTCTTAATTTTCAGATGAGGAAACTGAGGCCCAGAGAAGGTTAAGGCTTTCCCAAGACTAGCAACGCTTGAATCCTGGACCCTGTTCCCTTTCCCCTGACCAAGGCTGCTGTCCTGGCTGTGTCCCGGGAAAATAATGTGATCAGGGACTGGCACTTCATGGAAGCACGTGATCATGCCCCTCTGGAAGCTGCCGCTGGGAGTGTGCAGTGTTCTACACGCTTATGTAACCACGTTTGTCTCCCAGCCTTGGGTGTTCCATGGGTATGGCATGGCACTCATGCTGAAGGTTGATGCCTGCCCCTGGATACCCCCACCAGTTTTTTCGGGGCCCCAGGAAGCTGTGGGGTCTGAGTCATACCCTTACCCCCAGTGCTGCCTGTGACTTGGGGCCCGGATGTCCTGGTTGGGTCAGGCCGACCTGATTTGAGAGAGGCAGCGTTGTAGGAGGTTGTTTGTCTGCCTCTCTCTCCAACCCACTGGTTACTGTTTTACTCCTGTACCCGCTGTGATTTGGTCACACCATGCTGGCCTGCTTTTCCCCCTCCAGCAAGCCAAGCTTGTTCTCATCCTTAGGCTTTCATACATGCTGTTCCCTCTGCCCAGGACATCTTTCCCCGTTTTTCCCATGGCTGGTTTTTCCTTATCGATCAAGTCTCAGCTCAAATGTCAGCTCCTCAGAGGGGCCTTCCCTGATCTTTTTATGCAAAGCAGCCCCTTTTTTCACTTTCTGTCACGTTACTATTTTATTTTTCTCATACGTGTATCATGCTATGAAAGAATCTTATTTGCGAATGAGAAAGCATATGTATAGAACTTAGTGTCTGGCAAATTGTTATTTTTAGTGTTTATTTGTTTACTGTCTTTCTCTTTTCCTAGAATAGAAGGGGGTGAGCAGGGACCTCCTTAGTCCTCTCGAGTGTATTTCTGTAGCGGGAGAAGAGTGCCTGGTGGATGGCTCTTCTGAGTTTGTTCAGTGAATGAGTAGAATAATGGCACATTTCACAAATGAGGAAATTAAGGCCTAGAGATGAGAAGGCAGGAGGAGAACCAGAGTGCTCTCCTAGCGCTCTCCCAAGCATCATTTCCTGATGACTCCTGTGCCCAGTGCCATGCAGTGTTCTTGATGCACAGGTGCGTAAGGAGCTGGCTTTGCCTTCCAGGAACTTTTGGTCAAATGGGGAGATGTGCTATGAGTGTGACCTGAAAGGCATTGTGTGCCAGTAAGTGCCAAATGAGTCGGATTGGCATAGGTATAACTGGAGTGCAGAGTAATTTGGGGGCACCAGATGGTTGGAGGGGTCTTCTGGAGGGAAGTGACTTCAAGGTCAGACCCTAAAAAAATGACAAAGTGCAGAGTGGAACCTGGGTCTCTTCTGGAACTTAGTAGACTAGTCACAATAACTGGAATCAGCCTCTCCTCGGTTGGGAGAATTGACCAGTTGGCCTGGGAAAGACCCTAAAAGATTTTGATACCAGACATAGAAATGTTGATTTTTCTCCTTAGCAGCATTGGGAAATGGTCAGAGCAGTTGGTTCACAAACATGAGCATGCATCACAATCCTGGGGATGGAGGTAGAGGGTGGTTGTTAAACACAGATTGCTGGGCTGCAACTCCAGAGCATCCGATCCAGTGGATGGTGGTGGTGCCAGTGCCGCTGGTCCGGGCTGCTCCTTGAGCACCCCTGGTGAAGAGCACATGATTCAGTGCTTGGCAGACCTGGGTAGGTGCCGTGTCTGTCACTCTGGGCCTCTGCATCCTCACCTGTCAGCTCTGTATGACGTCAATGCTACCTCCTAGAATGGTGGGAATTAATGGGATAGTGTGTGGCAAGCACTCAGCACGGGCCACCAGTGTGGTAAGCGCTTGGTACAGGGTCGCTGCTATTATCGTTAATGATGCTAATCATGAGGCTATTGACAGGATTCCAGTAGAAGATGATGAGACTGGTTTGATTTTCTGTGCTCTGGATAACTTGCTGCTAAGGTTTGAATGTGTCCCCCAAAAGTTCATATCTTGGAAACGTAATCCCTCTGCTTCATGAATGGATTGTCAGCTCTGCCCTCATAAATAGATTAATGTCACTATCACGGGGTAGGGGGACGGGAGGTTAGTTATAAAAGGGGCCAGTTTGGCTAATACACTCTCTATTTCAATCACTCATTTTCTCCTTCTGTCTTCCACCTTGGCATGACCCTTGTCAGATGGTGGTGTCATGCACTTGGATTTCTCATCATCCAGAACCATGAGCCAAATAAACTTGTTCTTTATAAATTACCCAGTCTGTGATATTCAACAGAATAGTTGCAGAAAGCAGACTAAGACACTTGCCTTCAACCCTCTGCCACTTGTGGTCCATGCTGTGTCCCCTCTGGATGAGTTGTCCTTTGCTTTGTCTCAAACATCTGTCCCTGTTTGGAGTGGCGGAAACTCAGATGTGGGTGGGGCTTTGAAGACACCTGGCTTGCATTCCCTCAACAGCCCCAGTGCCCCTCTGCGTGACCCCGACCCCTGGGATCAGGGCGCTTTCCACCTCGTAGGCAGCCCCTTCCAGTGTTATTCCAGACTTCTTTCTTTTGTGGGCCCACATCAGCCCGGGTTCTTCCTTTCTCACCTCCATCATTTTCCCTCATTGCTTACCTGACCACTGTGAGGGAGGGGGAGAGGTTGAGCAGTAGCATGGTGTGGTAAGAGAGTGCACAGTGGCCACCAGAGGACGAGGTGTGCATTTCTTCTGTGCCACTGCTGTCCCATGTGGCTGTGGGCACGTCTGTTCGCCTTTGCCGACTTTGGTTTCCCAGCTTTAGAATGAAAATGTTTCACTCTCTGGCATCTCAGGGCATTCTCTTCCAAGTCTTAAAAACTCTATAACAACCAATGATTGGGTCACCCTCTCTTTGGCTCTGGCAGCTCCTGGTTTCCCTCTGGGCCAGGCCTTGCTGTGCCTGCCCTCCTAGATTCTTGCTGCTATGCCCCCACATGCCTGCAGTGCCTGCCCCTCCTATCCCTGGCCGTCTGTAGGGAGGGTATCCAGGCATCCTCCAGAGAGTTGCCACAGGAAGGCACAGGGCAGCTGGGTCCCCTTGTTTTGTGGGGGAGCACAGCTCCCAACCCCCAGAGAAAGACCTTGGCGGCCACCATGACCATTGTGGGAAGTTCTTGATGATTTTCCCATGACTGGCCCAGGACAGTCACTCTTCAGATTGGAATGGATGACTGGTGAGCAGCAGCTGGCTGTTTGTCTGAGGGCTGCTCTGGGCAGAGCTGAACTCTTCTCTCCCAGGGACCTCACCCTGAGGCTGTTCCTTGAGAGGCAGGAGCTCTGCGTCCTTGAGCACCTACACAGTGGACAAACCGGGCAGCCCAGGCAGGGGTGTGTGTGTGGGGTAGGTGGGTGTAGGTGTGTGGGTGCTGTGGGAGTTGTGTCACCAAGGAGTCATGCTGAGAGGCCAGGGCAGGTATGGGACTGCCCTATGAGTCAAGGGCCTTTGGCTCAGTCTCCACCCACTGGGCAGAGCATTGGCCAGGCTCTCTGTTGGCCTTCAGGCCACTTGTCCTTTGCCTTCGCTATAGTCAGCTTCAGCAGCAGACTTAGGAGCCCTGGTCCCTCTCCAGCCCACTTCTGTCTCTGCAGGTGCAACTCCTGCGTGATCTGGTCCTCAGGAAACTGGCAACATAGACTTTTAGAAAATATTGTCCTAAGCACATTAACACAGGAACAGAAAACCAAATGCTGCATTTTCTCACTTATAAGTGGAGCTAAATATCAGGTCCTCATGGACATAAAGATGGCAACAGTAGACACTGGGGACTGCTAGAGTGGGGAGGGAGGGAGGCAGAGTTGAAAAACTGTTGGGAACTATGCTCAGTACCCAGGTGATGGGATCACCCCTACCCAAATCACGCAGTATACCCAGGTAGCAAACCTGCACATGTACCCCCCGAATCTAAAATAAAAGTTGAAGCAGAAAAAAAGCAAACAATACAGTAAAAAGAAAAAAGAAAAATTGAAGGAGTCTCTCAGATACCGAGGGTAACACGCAGGCACCTACATGCTCACTCATCTGGTTTAAGAAATAACACATTTCCAATCAGTTGAAATTTCTCCTTCATCAGCCACCAACAAGAAACAAGTGTTCTGAATTTAGTGGGGTTTTTTTCTTGCATTTCTTTAAAGTTTTTTTTTTAATGTGTGCATCCCTAAATAATACATAGTATTTTTTTATGTTTAAAAATGTTATTTAGGCTGAGCGTGGTGACTCATGCCTTACTGGCACTTTGGGAGGCAGAGCAGGCAGGTGGATCTCTTGAGCCCAGGAGTTTGAGACCAGCTTGGGCAACATGGCCAAAACCCATCTCTGCAAACAATACAAAAATTAGCTGGGTGTGGTGGCGCATGCCTGTAGTTCCAGCTACTTGAGAGGCTAAGGTGGGAGGATGACTTGGGCTGGGAGGTGGAAGTTGCAGTGAACTGAGATCATGCCACTGCACTCCAGCCTGGGCAACAGAGTGAGACCCAGATTCATTCATGTTCGTATCTCCAGCTGTGGCTCATTCTTTTTTCACTGCTGTATAGTATTTCCTGATAGGAAATTGCCACAATGTATTTATTCATTTTTCTCTTCATTTTAGGTAGCTTTCAGCTTTTTGTTGTTAACACAAGGCATCTTTGGCTTTCATCTGAGTACCTCAGCCCCTGTCCAGCCCCTTTTCCTTCCTAGCTCCTTGGCAGCCATTACTGCTCCTGTCTGGGTAGCATTTTAAGGTTTACAGAGAACTCTATGGTTCCTACTTGGTCCTCATAACATTTCCATAGGGAGAAACAAGGAAAGTGAGGCCTACCCAGGGTCATTCGAGAAGGGATCATAGCCAGGATTTGAATCTGTGAAACCCTCTTTCCACCATATTTTGTATAAGAGGAATTCCCCAAAATTGGCATCTTACCTCTTGGAGGCAGGGGAGTTACAGGGTTAGATAAACTCTGGTTTCAGGCCATCCTCCTGCGTCTGTCTCTGGAGTAGCTGGGACTACAGGCATGCACCACTGCACTCAGCTCACTTAAATTTTTTAGAAAAATATTTTAAAATTTCCCTTTAAAAAAAATTACCAAATAGCACATGATTATTGGGGAAAAACCCCCCAAAACTCAAGCAGTACAAAAGATATAATGTAAAAAATGACAGTTGTCTTCTCTCTCCTTCCTTTCCCCTTCCTCTGTCCCTACTGTATTTAAAAACTAATTTTATAATTGTATAAGAACAGGACTAGATTTCCCATGTAAAGAGTTAAAATAGCATAGGTAAAATAAAAGTTTCTTTTGGTTTTAGTTCCTTACCGAGGTCCTTCTGTAGAGCAGTCTACTAGTAGCAGTTTGGTATGTATCCTTTGAGACTTTTTTCTTTTCTTCTTTTCTTTTTTTTAAGAGACAGAGTATTAGTCTGTCACTCAGGCTGGAGTTCAGTGGCATGATCATAGCTCACTGTAGCCTGAACTGCTGGGCTCAAGTGATCCTCCCACCTCAACTTTCCGAGTAGCTGGGACTCCAGGCATGTGCCACCATGCTCTGCTAATGTAAAAAAGTTTTTTTTTAATAGAGAATCTATTCTTGCTTTTTGCCCAGGCTGGTCTTGAACCCCTGGCCTCAAGCAATCCTCCCACCTTGGCCTCCCAAAGCACTGGGCTTCCAGGCCTTTTTCTATGCACATTTAAGATTCCGTATGTATACACACACACACACAATGTGTTTTTGAAAAAAATAGCATCCTGTTACACATATAAATCTGCACTTTGCTTTGTATTTTATGGGCATCTTTCTGTATCATTGCCAAGCAATCTACCCCATTCTTTTTGATGGCTGTATAGTATTCCATCGAATGAATGGTGGTTTGTTTAACCAGTCCCTTCTTGATGGACATTCAAGAATAGCAAAAATGTCTATTACAAAGCATGTGGCAGTGCATATTTTTGTCCAGCTTCTGTGTACTGATGCAAAGATCTCTAGATTCCTAGATAGGGTATTACTGAATCAATCAGTTACTTCTGCCCCCTTAGGTAACTCACACCTCCTCAAACACCCCTTTTTTTTTTTTTTTTTCTTTTGAGATGGAGTCCCACTCTGTCTCCCAGGCTGGAGTGCTGTGGCGTGATCTCGGCTTACTGCAATCTCCACCTCCCAAGTTCAAGCGATTCTCCTACCTCAGCCTCCCCAGTAGCTGGGACTACAGGCACCCGCCACCACACCTGGCTAATTTTTGTATTTTTAGTAGAGACTGGGTTTTGCCATGTTGGCCAGGCTGATCTCGAACTCCTGACCTCAGGTGATCCGCCCACCTCGGCCTCCCAAAGTGCTGGAATTACAGGCATGAGCCACCGCACCCAGCCCTCAAGCACACGTTTCTACATGAGAACTTTGTTCTCACCAGTTAGGCATACATGCAGGTTGTTGTCATTGAGAAAGGACATTCTTCAGTAGGTGACTCAGCTGTAAGAAAAGCAAATGTATACCCAGGCTCCCTCAATAGGAATATACTACCTAAAAGGGTGGAGGTGAAAGCCTGCATTTGGTCAGGCAAACCATGCCTGGAATGTTGGGTCCAGTGCTAGAACCAACTAGAGATAGTGTGGGGTAGAGGGTTGGTGGGGGACTGGAGGGGGGGCAGTCCCTATGTGGAACAGTATAGAGAAGGCTGCAGGTTCCAAATGTCCTCAGGGCTGGCTGTCATGCTGAAGATGGGCATCTTGTTCCTTATTCCAGGGGACCACAGAGGGGAGAGAAGGGCCAGTGGAAACAGAACTGGGAGCAGCCTAACTGTAGCCAGTGCTGGCTGCCCCAGGAATTGTTTTGGGGAGGAAGTTGGTGAGATCTGGATTGCTAAAGTTGGCCAGCTGGAGTCCCTGGGCTCCTCAGAGGACTGGGTAAGCACAGGATGGAATGTCCTCTGAGCTCCCTTCCAGCCTGAGATTCTAAACCCTGTTGACTGCAGGTGATGTGGGGCAGATTGCCACCTGGTTGCATATAAAGCTAGAGACATATAAAGGCAGGGGCTAGGAACTTGGGGCACGTTCTGGAGAACTGGAAAGTAGGTCTGGTTTCCCACCTCTGAGCTTCAGCCTGCCGCCTCTCCAGGCAGTGTAGAGCAGTGGAAAGGGCACTGATGTTGGAATCTGACAGATTGAGGCTGCATTATTTGTTCTACCACTAACCAGCTGTGTATTCTCAGGCAAATGACTTAACTTCTCTGAGTCTGCTTCCTCATCCATGTAGCTGCGTCGACTGGTTTCCTTGCTGGAAAGTGTGGATGATAATTTCCATATCTGTGTGGCAAGAAGAAAATGAGGTCATGTGCGTCATGATGCGGCCCAGCACCTGGCATACGGTAGCGCCTAACGAACTGTCACCCTCTCTCCAGCTTAGTTAGGTGCTCTCCAGTCCTCTTTTGCAGTGTGAATTCTGGCTCAGGTGTTTAGCGGGTGGTGTGTAATCTGGGCCTCGGAGGCTGAGTGGAGACAGTGGGGCCTTCTTTGTGGGTGACTCGGGAGGGGAGGATGAAGGACATGGGAAGATGTGTGCCATGTTGAGGAACACAGATCAGGCTTGGCCAGAGCCTGGTACAAGTTAGGCAGGAGGGGAGGACCTGGCACAGGGCTGCGGATGTCAGCTGAGGGTCTCTGACTGCCCTCGGGGAGGGGATAGCACCTATGAAAGCTCTTATGGGAGGACTGATGGGTTAGGGAAATCCACCTGGGCCTTAGAAGGGATTGGAGCTGGGGATTGGAGCCTTCTTAAGGTTAGAAGGTTAAAGAAAGTAGTGCTAATAAATTTCAGATCCTGAAATGTTAGAACTGGAAGGGGCCTTAATGATTATCCCGCACAACCCCCCATGTTATTACTATTTTTGCAGCTCCCTCTTTTTAGGTAACTGAGGCCTAGTGAGGGTTAAGATGTTCGCCCTAGTGTACCTTGACTAGATCCCACAGTTCTGGCGCCCCAGCTGTTACTATATGAGACTCTGTGTCTGCAGCCTCATTGTTGCTCAGTTGATTGCAAGGATGGAGGAGTTAAGTCTGGGCTCCTTGTTGGTGAGGATGCCAGGGTGCGGTCCTTGAATACACACTGTCTCAAGTATGTGCTGTGTCCTCACTCATGTGTGAACCTGACAGCCATCAGGAGAGCCCAGCCTGGTCCTTTTCTCTTTTAAATTAAAGACCTTATTTTTTATAGAGCAGTTTTAGGTTCACAGCAAAATTGAGAAGAAGGTACAGAGATTTTACATATACTGCGCCCCCCCCACCCCTAACAGGCATAGCTTCCCCCATTATCAACATCCTCCACCAGAGTGGTAGATTTTTTACAGTTGATGAATCTACATTGACACCACTGTCACCCGGAGTCCATGGTTTACATCAGTGTTCCCTCTTGGTGGTGTATGTTCTATGGGTTTGGACAAATGTGGAATGGCAGGTGTCCACCATTACAGTATTGAACAGAGTAGTTTCACTGCCTGAAAAATCCAACCCGGCCTTTGATGGATGGACCTGAGGCTGCAGTTTCCCCAGCCTGGAAATTGGTTGGGGAGGACTGGAGGTCATCATAACACAAATATGTGGACAGTTTTTTGTTTATGTCTGCAATGTGATATCATGGCATCTCACTTCCTTTCATCCTTGGGTGGAATTGCAGGATATTGCCCTTTACAGCAGAGGAAATGAGGCTCAGATTCCCAGTTGTTGGTGAGTGTGGCATCGTGGTTCAAGGGCTTCTTATAGCTACATGTTCACTAGCTATGGTGTGTCCAGGCACCCTGCTTAACCACAGTTAAATGGTGATATGCAGGTCACTAGAGAATAAGTGGAGGCCAGAACCTAGCTTACTGAGCTGACGGAAGAGCCTAAAATCCCATTAAAGGAGAGAACAAATGGGGAAAGCCTTGGCCCTTAGATAAGCTGGGCACAGTTGTGGGGTTGCCTCAGCCTTTTATTAAGCACCTGCTGTGTGTCAAATGCTGAGCTAGTTACTGTATACTCTTATTATTTTGGAAATCTTATTATAAAACAAAGATGTGTTTCTTGTTAAATCAGATAATCAGGAAGTATTGCCTAAAGTAGAAAGTGAGAATTCCCTTCCAACTATACACATATTGTTTCATTTAATTTCTTTGATCTTCTATCAGGTAGGTTCTATTATTACTCCTGCTTTACAGATGAGGCACCTGAGGCTCAGGAAAGGTGAGTGGCTGCTCCAGGGTTTCACAGCCCACAGGGTGGACAGAGCTGAGGCTAGTGCAGGTGAGGCCCCCTCTCAGGCCTCGTGTTCGCAAGGTTGGCCTTGAGCACTTTCCCTGTGTGGACCTTTCTTCCTGCCTCCAAGGCAGCGATGTTTCCATGGTGCTGGCTCTCTCTCTTTCCTCAGCTTGCTGCTAGCTCCTGAGACTTGGGTCTTCTTGATCCTGAGGCCAGCTTTAGCCATCACCCGGTTTCTGTGTGGCCCATGCTCCTCCCCTTGCATGTGAGGGAATGAGCCCA
Organism: Homo sapiens; assembly: GCF_000001405.40. Taxonomy (NCBI): domain Eukaryota; kingdom Metazoa; phylum Chordata; class Mammalia; order Primates; family Hominidae; genus Homo; species Homo sapiens. Next base: position 151,069,798 of record NC_000005.10, on the reverse strand, counting down.
TGGTTCCATACACAGCAGAGTAGACACTAGAATAGACCTCTCTGACGTTCTGTTCTGTGCCGTCTTTCCTGGAGACCCCTTCCCTATACCCCCTCTGCCAGCCCACCTGCCAGCATCCCTGGCAGCCCTCACCTCTGCTGGGGAGGTAGATGTTGGCCTCGATGACCTTCCACCTCCCTGTACCAGAGATTTGCTTACACTTTTCCCTCTGGGCCAGGGAGGGCATCACCTGCTCCAGGGTTGCAGGGATAGCTGGCCCCAGGATGCAGCCAGTGACCAAAGGCATTAAATTGGGCTGATTAAGTCCCCAAGCTGGACTTCAGTTTCCTTATCCATCAGGCAGGTATCAGCCCTGCCTTCTTCCCAGGGCTGTTGTGATAATCAGATGGAAAAACAATGCTTGGGACACTATGAAGTATTTTGCAAATGTTAGTGGCTATGCAAGTGAATATCATTTGGGGGGTCTGGGACCACCCCCCTACCCAGCCACCAGAACACTGCTAATGGGAAGATAATCTGACAGACCAAAGCATTTCAGAGCAAAAGCTAGAATGTAAATTTAATTCTGAATGTAGTCTTTATCATACCCCTCTCTTTCTGGGGTAAGGCTGAGAGTTGAGCCCTGGGGACTACTGCCTCCCTGCCACCCACAAGTGCTTGCCTGCTAGTGGGTGGCTCCTTCGGTTTCAGCAGCATCACTTCCATCTTCACGGTCTGTGGTTGTTGCCTGACCTGCCGTCTGTCTGGGCCCCTTTCTGCCCCCAAACTGGGCCTTTCTGGTTCCAGCGGGCAGCCCCAGGGCCCCTCTGGGGCAGGCTGTGGAGGCCCCGCTGGCTGAGGTCTTGTTTTGGAAGAAAGTCTGCGCTGGCTGCTTCTATACCACCAGCTGTTTCTGGTTTGGGCAAGCGGGGCTGGAGTCCCACTGCTGGTGGAGCACCTGCTGATTTGTAGTTTGTGGAACCAGGCCAGGTGGAAAGAGACTCTGAGAAGATGTGGTGGGGGCCTGTGGTGTGCCATGGGATTGCTGGGCAGGAAGGGAAATGGAGGATGGGCTGTGGGCAGCCTGGAGGGAGAGCAGGGATCTTCTGGTCCCAGCTCCATCCTGACTCCTTTGTGACCTTGGCCTTCCCTGCTCAGGGCCTTGCCTTGCTGCACTGCCTGTGCCGTGAGTGAGAATCAGATGAGCTCATGCCCGAGGACTCCTGGGCTCTGAACTCCAGATACTGCCACATGGAGGGGAGTGGTCAGTGCTTCCTTTTCCCCTTTGAAAACATCCTCGTGGTTTGTGGACAGCAGAGGGGAGTGCATGCCATCGTCATGTTCGAATGCAGCCCCTCATCCATTGAGTGTTTCTGGGTGCATCTCTCTCCCACCTGATAATGCAGGATTCGCCTCATTGCCCTTGGAGAGTCCCCTCCAGCTCTGTCATCCTGAGAATGAGTCCTCTCTCTGGGAGAAGTTATAAAAACCTCATTGATCAGAGGGAGAGTTCCCGTCTGCCCAGTGGTCATCCAGGGACTGCCGCTGACCATCTGGGCATGAGGTCAGCAGAACTTGGAAATTCCCTGTTTCCCTCTTTGTCTTTCTTTCCTCCAGAAGTCCAGGCCCTCCAGGGGTGGCTCCTCTGATCTCCAGAGAGGGTTTTCCCACAATAGGATATTTCTCCTGCGTCTCCTCTGCCCACTGCCTTTCTTTCTCCCCAAGCTCTGCCCCCTGAGGCTAAAGTAGGGGAGCATAGCTCTGTCTGCCCACTTTTTGTTTCCCATGAACCCCTTTCCCGTTGACTCCCCAGCGCCAAGAGAAACTGAGTGTTGCGTGTTTTGGAGGACGTGGGGTGGGTTTCAGTTCCCACATCCTGCATCCTGCTTTGTCCCTTCGCCTTACATCTGGGCCTCTCTGAGGGAGCATGGCTGGCCCAGCCTGGATTCTAGAAGTGTCTGGGCGTCCAAGTGCGTCTGGTCAGTGGGTCAGGGTTAGGCTTTCTCTGGGATGTTGGACATGGCCTTGCAGGAGGCGGGGTCGGGGTCAAGGGCTTGTTCCCTTCAGTCTGACTTCTCTGAATTCAAGGTTTACCGAGGCCCTACTCTGGGCCACTCTGAAGATACCCTGGCACACAGGATGGACTTGCTCCCTGTCCTCATGCAGCCTCTAATCTACAGGACAAGGCAGACATTGAGTAAGAAATTCCCCATGCCTTCATGTGGTGTTGACTGTGAGTTCCATTTAGGGTGAATGCATAATGGTGGACAAGAACCAGGACACTGCTGCCTTTGTCATGCAAGGTGGCTCCAGGCCCCTTGTAGCCCTCTGTTTCACTGTTCTTGAACTCCAAGCAGCTCTCAAGGAAGGCCCACCCTCCTGTGCTCCCGACAGGAATACAAAGATGTGCAAAGTACGCTCCTGCCTCAGGAAGTTCCCAGCCAGATGGGCAATGCCCGCACCAGTCAGACACATGCTGTACCAGGTGGCAAGCCTCGTGAGGACAGAGGCAAGCAGAGGGGAAGGACCCCCAATGTCTGCCAACATTTTTGAGTACTTTACTATGTGCCAGTTCCAGTGCTAAGTGCAGCCCCCACACTGTTTCTTAGTTCGGTGGAAACATCTGCACTTTGTGCTATGCTGTAGAACACTGACCTTTCAGGTTAAAAACAAGTCACCCCTAAGCCGGGTGATGACTTGTGATGGGAGTGTGGGTAGCTGTCCTTTGCCTCGCAGGCTCAGCAGGGCGTGGGTGCCTCCCACACGGTGTATTCATCTTGTATCTGTCAGTCTTTGGGAGAAGGGGTCCTTCTCATCAGAACTTTGTTTTTCTTTCTGGCCCATTCCATCCTATGGACGCTCTTGGACAAGTCCTTATTGGTTCTTATGCTGCAGGGCAAGGGAAACTGCCCAGAGGTGACCTGATAGCATGGTGCTGCCCTACAAAGAGATTTGAACTCCCTGTCTGCCCCTCTGGCTCTGTGTCCTGGCTGTGTGAGTATGGTGGGGGTCAGAGTCACAGCAGGCAGGGCTGACTTTGCATCTTGGCTCTTATTGCGGCCGGGTCATCGTGGCTGAGTTACTTAACCGCCCTGAGCCTCAGTTTCTCCCTTGTAAAATGCAGATGAGATTAGTATGCATGTTAGAGTTACTGTGCAGCTCCTCCAAGATTGTATATCTGAAACATTTAATGCAGTGCCTGACAAGGAGGCGATTCAAGCATGGTGGTGTTGCTGTTAATCCTTTCTCACTCTGATCTTTCATTTACATTCTGGGAGCAGGGTGGTATGGTCGTAGTCACCTGGCAGCGCCAAGGACCCACGGAGCATGGTGTGTGGACTTGGGAGGGTCTTTGAGGATTCCTGATGAAACAGTTTTTGTCTTGGGGGTGGTGACCTTGGGAGGAAGGTGCCGAGCCCCCAAACCCTTCTGAGGTCCCCAGTGAAGGCCTTGGCCCTTTCATGCTGGAGAGCTATTTGGAGGGCTGGAGGCTGGCTCGGTGTTTCAGCCTTAGGGCCTCTGCCCTTACTGTTCTCTCTGCAAAGAATGTTCTTCCTTCAGATGTCTTCATGGCTAGTTCCCTCACCTCTTTCAGGTCTTGGCTAAAATAGCTCCTTATGCTTGGGGCCTTTTGTGCATAGACTTTTTGATTACCTGAAATATTGTGTTCCCCACCATCCTCCTCTGCTTTCACCCCTAGACTATAAGCTCCATGAAGGATTTTTGTCTGTTTTATTTGCTGATAATTCCTCAGCACCCAGACTGGTGCCTAGCACGGAGTCGATGCTCAATAAGTAATTGTTGAATGGATGAGTGAATGGACAGAGAGCTTCTCTACTAAGCCACAGAGTTAGGATTCTAAAATCACCTTTCCAACTGGTTTCAGTGACATAAAGCAGATGAAACTGAACAGATTACTAAAAAAAAACCTTGGTGCTCAAATAGACAGTGGTTTGATGAAAAATTCTTCTGTTCCTTAGAACTGCAAGGGACAGACCATATATGATATGAGACTCACGGAGGAGGGTGACAGTGTATTAAATATTAGTCAGGGTGTTTTTTTCTTTTCTTTTTTTAAAGAAGATGATACACATATAAATGGAACTTTGGACTGGGTTGACTTGCTTATCCCTTAGGGTACAAGCATTTCACTTTAAAGATTACTAAATTAACTTAAGACTTTCATTTCCCTCCCTCAGAGAGGGGAAGGGACTGCCCATAATCCCATAGTAAATTAATGCCTAGACCATTAATTGAGTAAGTGTTTATTGGGCAAAATTCATAGCTAATACTGTGGTAGGCTCTGAGGATGCAATGATGGGTAAAACATATGGGATTCCTGTTCTTCTGGACCTCACAGACAGGACATGAACTCAGATTTTTTTTTTTCCAAGTCCAGGTTCTTTCTTGTATCCCACATTGCACCCTACTGTTTATTTGGACTCCTGTTCCAAACAAGCCAACAGTGCATTGAGGCTGCTAAGAGAAACTAATGCCATTCTAAGGTTGTATTAATAGAGGCAGAGCGTCCAGATAAAAGGAGGTGACTGTCCTGCTTTACTATAATATGGTCAGACCAGCTTAAAGTGGGGGACTGCCTTCTGGGGCATTGACAGACTAGAGCTTCTCTGCAAAGGATGCCCCCATGGCCTGGCCAGCCTGCTGATATGCTGCTGTTGTCCTTACAGCCAGGCGGGCACCACGGCAGGGGCTGAGCTACCCTCATGGAAGGGAGAGGACCGTACCGGATCTACGACCCTGGGGGCAGCGTGCCCTCAGGAGAGGCATCCGCAGCTTTTGAGCGCCTAGTGAAGGAGAATTCCCGGCTGAAGGAAAAAATGCAAGGGATAAAGATGTTAGGTAAAGCAGACCCTGTCCCCTCCCTGCGAGCGCCCCTCCCTGCAGACTGTGATGCCAGTCCCTCTACTAGCAGTGGAGAATGAAGCTGGCATATGCCTCTGCCCAAGTCATCCCCTGTCCCTCCTGGCCCAGCGCTGGCTCCTGCCTCACAGCTGTCTCTATGCACCATGTAGCATGGTGACAGTATTCCCAACCCTGATTCCTCAGCACCCGGAAACCAGGATGACAGGACTCAGGTCCAAGAGGGAGGCGTGGGCTAAGGGAAAGGGGGCTGGAAGGCCCAGTTAATGGCCATGGAACTAGAGTGGTCTCCTCTTTCTGGGGCACGAGAGATGGGGAGAGCCAGCATGACCAGGCAACTGGGGCACGCGTTCCTAGGTGTTGGAGCAGGGAGCAGAGCTTGGCTTGAAGCAAGGAGGTGGTAGGTCCCTCAGTTCTCTTCTCCTGGCTCTTGCTCAAGCCATCCCCACTTTAGAACAACCCCACCTCCCTCCACACGACCGACGGGCCCTGTGCATCAGCACCCAGTTGCTGTGCCCCCTTCTCCTCCAGACAAGGCTTTCATTGATTTCCCCATCCAGAGGGGGCTCTCTTTCTTCCACACTCCTGAAACTCTTCCTTTGCCTTGCCGTGCCCTTCTCTAGTCTCATGTTTTAGAGGGGAGCATAGCCCCCTGATTTTTAAAATGCTTTCTCCTTGCTTGGCAGATCCTTGCTTGGGATGGCCGACTGGGGAGGGAGGAGTGGTTTCCCCATCTCCACTTGTAGGAGAAGGAAAATGGAGGCCTAGAGGGCTGGTTGGAATTATCCAAGGTCTCCGCCCTGCAGGCAGCCCTTTGCCCTGGTGGCTCAGGCTGTGGGTAGCCCGTAGGGTGGGGGAGCCCCTGGCTTTCTGTGGAGTGCCCTGGCTGGGTGTGAAGGGAGTGGGGCAGAAAGAGAATGCTGGGGGTTGGGGGAGCCGAGGAGTTTCTCATAGATTCCTTCCGCTCCTGTGTCCCCCGATTGCTGGGCCCTCGTCCTTGCTCTAGCCTGTTTCTTATGGTGGACCAGCATGGAGTTTGTCCCACTTGGCCCACAGAGCAACGGTGGGAGTGAAGTCCAGGGCCTGGAGCCTCAGAAGCCAGGCGGCAGCACGGTTAGGGGCCTGGGACGGGGAGAAGCAGCACACTGAGCCGAGTAAATGCTTTTGCTTCCTCTTCCCCAATAACTCTAGGGGAGCTTTTGGAAGAGTCCCAGATGGAAGCGACCAGGCTCCGGCAGAAGGCAGAGGAGCTAGTGAAGGACAACGAGCTGCTCCCACCACCTTCTCCCTCCTTGGGCTCCTTCGACCCCCTGGCTGAGCTCACAGGTATAAGAGGAGTCTGGGTACCTCTGACTCTCCCTGTACCCCAAACTGCCCAAATCCTTCACAGTGAACTCCCTTCTTATGCCAAAACCCACATTCTCTCGTTTATCCTTAGGTCACAGGCTACCCTTCCATTCATGTTTTGGCTGCCACATCCCCCAGAAGGTCAGATTTGGAAGGGACTTCAAAACAATCTTGTTAAAAATAGCCAGTGACTCAGCACTCCTGAGGCCCCAGCAGACATGAGTAATAGATACAACAGTTGACTACATTGCAGTCCTGTGGCCTTGGGGTCTTTATCAGCATATTTAATATTTAATGAGCAGCTACTGTGTGCCAGGCATCGCACTCCAAGCAGCTACTCCCTGTCACTTGGAGCTGGCATATGAGTTGGAAGCTCCCTGGTCGTGCCCTGCGCGTCCATTTTACAATTAGGGAAGCTGAGGCCCAGGGAAGAAGCTGGGCTTGCCTGTTAGCCTGCTGCAGCGTATTTCAGATGTAAGGTTACGTGTGCTGCCCATTAAAGGACAGGGTGACTGTGGCTCGGGGTTGAAGTCCCATGTATGGTAGAGGCATCACCATGCGTACAGAGTGTGCATTACTCTGGCATGTCTCCAAGTCCAGGGTAAGGTCTGGGACCAGGATGGAAATGATCCGCACCTCAGCTGGACTCAGATGCCTCCTGCTGCAGCTCTACTGTATGGTATCTGGCCCAGGCCAATGTGACAGCCTTCTATTGGCTGGTGGTTGCATTTGCTGAATGGACAAATGGAGGAAAGTGATGGTCTCAGAGTCCACTGTGCTGCAGTCAGTGGGCATTTCCAGCCTCTGCTTGTCTATTCAGCAATGTTCCTGAGTTCCTGATTGGTGCCAGGTCCACTCTCAGAGTGAGAAATGAAGCTACCTTCAAGGAGCTCCCTGCAGCAAGGACTGCAGGAAGTCAGGGAGGGAGGGCCAAGTCTCAGTCCTGAGTTTGCAGTTGCTGGCTATGTGGCTGTGGGCAAGTTGATGACCTTCCCAAGCCTCAGTGTCCTGACCTTTAAAATGGGGATATGGGGCTTTTATGAGAATGGCTGGGATAATAGATACATAAAGACTTTTCAAATTGTAAATCATTGTCTTTATCATTGAGGCCTGTTCAGGGCAGCAAGGAGCAGCAGCCAACTTGGGATTTTCCCAGTAAGCCCAGGGAGCATGGTCTCTCTGCTCAGGCTCTGCCCCGTCACTCCAGGGCAGGCCATTTTCTCAGACTACCTGGCCCTGATGAGACCACCTCCCATTCTCCCACACTCGAGTGGGGAATCCTGTCTGAGAACCCTTTTGTCAAGGGCTGTCCTTGAGAGGGTGGTACCTGGGCTTCTCCCCTTCCCAGTCAGTTCATCTGTGCTTTCTTGATTCTCCAGGAAAGGACTCAAATGTCACAGCATCTCCCACAGCCCCTGCATGCCCCAGTGACAAGCCAGCACCAGTCCAGAAGCCTCCATCCAGTGTAAGTTTTATTTGGAGTCATGGGTGGAGGTTGCCTGGATGGACCTCAAGTCCTACTGACAGATACAAGAACATGAAGAAAGAGGGTTGAGGTCAAGAAACTGTGTTCCGTCTCGCTGGGTGATATTGGGCAAGTCCATCGCAAACTCTCTGGGGCCTCAGCCTCCCCATTTTGAAATGAAGGTCATAGTTAAAACTTACCAGGAAGACCCTGGTATGTACAAGGAATTCTTCTCACTTACTAAGTTGTATACTGTTAAGTATCACTGAGTGTGCACAGTGCTAGGAAAACAGACAGATGTGACATGGAGCTCACATTCTCAAAGAGGGCTCAGAAACTATCTTCTACAGGCTGGGCGCAGTGGCTCATGCCTATAATCCCAGCACTTGGGGAGGCTGAGGCAGGAGGATTGCTTGAACCCAGGAGTTTGAGACCAGCCTGGGCAGGATAGTGAGACTCCATCTCTCTAAGAAAAAAAGTAGTCAGGTGTGATGGTGTATGTCTGTGGTTCCAGCTACTTGGGAGGCTGGCTGAGGCAGAAGGGTCGCTTGAGCCCAGGAGGTCAAGGCTGCAGTGAGCCATGTTGATGCCACCACACTCCAGCCTGGGTGACAGAGTCAGACCCTCTCATAAAAAAAAAAAAAAATCTACAGATTTGGCTGGAGAAGTTTTGCTTGGTATCCTACAAGGGATTGCATAGTTCAGCATCCTTATCCTACAGATCAGGTGCAGGGAAAGAAGGACCTGTTCTGAGGTTACACGGGTAATGGGGAAAATGTAGATGGAGGAGGGAGACTTTCTAGGGCAGGGCCAAGAGCCAGAGGTGAGTTCTTGGTGGCCATGAGGGTCAGCTGGAAGCTGAGCACTGACTCCTCTCATCTATCCTGCCCCTTTCTGGGATGAAGGGAGGCTGCAGACCAGGTTTAACGGGACATGGAAATCCCAGATCCCAGAGCTAATGGCTGGTTCAGGTGGGCCATTGGCTTCTTGGTTGGTTGAATGACCAGTAATTCTACTAGGAATGACGGAAAGATGTGAAAAAATCTGGGATTTCTTGGCCACCGTGGATTTGGTTGAATCCTGAAATAGTCTCCAAATTTGGTGAATCATCTCTGGGACTTTTCTCAGATCAGTTCACTCCTCTGGGATCTCCAGGACTGGCTTGGGAAGGCCAGCACAGGACATGCTTGGTGGTGGCCGTAACAGCTGCCATCTGTGTTCTGGGAAACCGATCAGAGACGTCTGGGCCTAAGAGACAGCTCTGGGGCCGTGGCAGGAATGCTGGATCTGCAGTCTTGGGTTCAATCCCTGCTTTTGCATTAACCAACTGTATACTGTAGTTTCCTCATCTTTCCAAAGAGGATATAACCTTCTGACCCACTCCATGGGTCACCCTGAGAAATAATGGAGCTCATGAAAGCATTTAAAAAGTACACGGCCTTAAAAAATGCAATCCTACAGTGCTGCTGGTTCAAGGTCAGCTAGTCCCACATCTCCCTTCTACAAAAGAGGATTGGCCATCGAGGGGATATGACCTCACATTATGCAGAGGGCTATGACAGGCTTGTCGAGAATCCTGCTTTGTGATCTCATGTGAGATGATATGTAACGGTCCCTGTGTACTCAAAATGGGAAGAGATTTTGTCCCCCTTGCTGCTCTCAGCCACAGGGCCGCAGAGGAGGGGTGAGCTGTTTTTCTCTCGGGCAGCACCTAACTTCCTTTCTGCACAGGGCACCTCCTCTGAATTTGAAGTGGTCACTCCTGAGGAGCAGAATTCACCAGAGAGCAGCAGCCATGCCAATGCGATGGTGAGTGGACGGGCAGGACCCCGGGCTTGACCTGCTGCCCTCTTTGTGTCCTGTCACTTGCTACCATGTGAGAGGCACAGAACCTGTTCAGATCCCTTAGGTACCCTGGAGTCACTTGGGGATACACGAGGGGCAGGAGCAAAGGGTGCTTCTCGCTCACATATGCAAATTCCTGGGCTAGTGACTTCCCCGACTTGGAGCACACGGGCACCCGACCGTTGTGAAAGCCTGGGCTCTTTGCCAGCCCTGTTGCCTTCTGCCAGGGGCCAGGCACCTCCGCACACTATGACTCAGCCCTTTGGGTCTGTGGGCTTCCAACCCCGGGGGAGAAAGAAGGGTCAGGAAGGCCCAGGGCCCTGTAAGACAGGTGATTTGCTCTTTGTGCAGACTCTTGGAGCACACAGGAAGGAGGTTCAACTTTCCACTTACACGCATGCGCGCGCGCGCGCGCACACACACACACACACACACACACACACACACACACACTCTCTCTCTCTCTCTCTCTCTCTCTCTCTCTCTCTCTCTCTCTCTCTCTGTCTCTCGTACAGCTCTGGAGCGTCTGCCCAGCATCCTCATTCCACACCTTACAACACTGGCTGCCTTTTTCCTAACTATATCTCCTTCTGTTCTTTCTTAAAATGGCAGACTTATTGAAGAACCATTGTGAAAAGTCTGGAAGATTCTTTAAACGACTTAAATTTCTACCTTCTCCATTCTCCCTTCCTTCCCACTTTTAAGTTTTTTTCTTTAATTGTTGTTATGCGAGCAATAGGTGCTCTAGCCCTTCACTGATATATTGATCCCTGCTGCCTCCCTTCACAAAGGTTTGGCTGACAAATATGCTTGTGTTCACTGGTTGCCCCATGTACCTGTCAGTGCCCAGTGCAGGGCCCCCTCAGGTGGCTGTCTGGCTAACTAGCATGCCTTCAGTGTTGAGAGGCTCACCACTGCCTCAGGCAGCTCTGAGTATTGGAAAGGCTCTTTATGTTCTGTCGCCTGGAACCTTCTGTCCCCTTGTCCTGTTCTGTCCCTGAGGGCTCTGAGATGCTGGCCATGGAGGCAAGATCCCCTGCTCAGAAAGTGTTTCACTCTGACTTTGGACCGATAACTTTAACTGACGTAGTAAGTTCCTCATTAGCTCTACAGTGTGCCTGTCTCTGCTGAGCCACTTGAGCCAAGACAACACAGCCTCCCTGTGCTCTGAAGCTTGTAGTCTGGAGAAGTCGCAGGCATGGGAAGCATCGCATGAGCCTTAAATAGAGCAGCATCTGCCACCTCAGCTCCTTTGTGGAAAGAGGCAGTGGGGGAATGGATGCAGAGTTGAAACAGCAGCATTTCCTCTTGTTAGAATGCGGCACACTGACGCCATTACACAGGTGTTCAGGGAATGCCAAGTTGGGGTTATAGTCATTGCCATTCCTCCAGAGTTCAGAGAAGTGGGAGGTCAGTGCAGCAGAGCACTGGATGGCGAGTCAGGAAACCTCAGTTCTCGTTATACCTCTGCCACTGACTTACAGGGCAACTTTGGGCAAGTTCCTCCTCCCCATAGCTTGGTTTCCCGGCCTGATCTCTGAGGCTCCCTGTAGCTCTGCTGTCCTGTGATTCCCATAACTGTTTCCGGGAGGCTGCTGGAGGAGCTGAGCCGTGGACAGGGTGGGAAGGATGAGCAGAACTTGCAGAGGCAGAGAGGACACAGAGAGGACACATGCAGAGACACCAGACCTGGTGTGTGTGGGTTCAGGCAGGGTAAAGTGGGGAGCCCAACTGGATGCTGCTGTGGATGGGACCTGCGGCTGTAGGGCCTTAGATGCCCAGCAGGGGAGCTGGGCCCAGTGCCGTCTGCAGTAGGGTAACACTGCAGGTCCTTGGGAGTGGAATTGGTGTAACAAAGGCAATGTCTTTGGTAGGAGTATTCCAGATAGACTAGAGAGAAAGAGTCAACTATCTGGCCCACGGTGTGCTTTATTTCTTACATACTGTACTAGTTTGGGACTTTCTGAAATAGCTAAAGCTGTGGTTCCTTAAACTGTTTTGAGTCTTGGGTCCTCAGAAGCTGATGAATGCTTGGGCCATTCCCCAGAAGACACATGTGTAGGCCAGGCATGGTGGCTTACGCCTGTAATCTCAGTACTTTGGGAGGCCGAGGTGGGTGGATCACCTGAGGTCAGGAGTTCAAGACCAGCCTGGCCATTGTGGTGAAACCCCGTCTCAACTAAAAATACAAAAATTAGCTTGGTGTAGTGGTGCACACCTGTAATCCCAGCTCCTCAGGAGCCTGAGGCAGGAGAATCGCTTGAACCCAGGAGGCGGAGGTTGCAGGACGTATATGCAGATGTCCCTTGGTAAACATGGGAGAGTGGTTCCAGAACTCCCTGAGGATACCCAAAATCCATGGATGCTCAAGTCCCTGATGTAAAATGGCGTAGTAGTTCCCTATAACCTATACACATCCTCCTATATACTTTAAATCATCTCTAGATTACTTACGATACCTAATACAATGTAAATGCTAAATTTTGGTATACTGTATTGTTTAGGGAATAATGACAAGAAAAAAATTCTGTACATGTTCAATACAGTTTTTTGTTTGTTTGTTTTGGGACGGAATCTTGCTCTGTTGCCCAGGCTGGAGTGCTGTGGTGCGATCTCTGCTCACTGCAACCTCCGACTCCCTGGTTCAAATAGTTCTCCTGCCTCAGCCTCCCAAGTAGCTGGGATTACAGGCACGTGCCACCATGCCCAGCTAATTTTTGTATTTTTAGTAGAGACAGGGTTTCACCACTCAGGCCGTCTTGATCTCCTGACCTTGTGATCTGCCCGCTCAGCCTCCCAAAGTGGTGGGATTACAGGCGTGAGCCATCGCGCCCGGCCAGTTTGTTTTTTTAGAAGATTTTTGATCTGCAGTTGGTTGAATCCATGGATGCGGAACCCATGGATATGGAGGGCTGACTGTGCAGTGATGTCCCTTTTCTGGGCTTGTTACTGTCAGGGGTCAATTCATCCTCCTAAGAACCCTGTGAGGTTGAAGGGAGGGAAGGGTTGTGCGGACATTTGGTAGATGAGGATGCTGAGGTCCAGCAGACAAGTGACTTACTGTCAGGCACTCTGCAAGGCCCAGTGTGTGGGAGGATGGTGGCCCCGCTGCTGTGGAGCCACCAGTGGCCTGTGAGTCCTGGGTTCTGCCCTGTGAGTCAGCCCCAGACAGGGAACCTGCATAACTGGAGAATTTCCCGGGGCTGAGCTGGGGTCACAGGGGGAAACTGAGTCATGAGAAATGAGGAAGCAGAGGGAGAATGGACTGGCGGCGCCTACTCAGGCCTTGGTGAAGAGTGGGCCGTGTGCCCTTTCCCTCTCCAGGCGCTGGGCCCCCTGCCCCGTGAGGACGGCAACCTGATGCTGCACCTGCAGCGCCTGGAGACCACGCTGAGTGTGTGTGCCGAGGAGCCGGACCACGGCCAGCTCTTCACCCACCTGGGCCGCATGGCCCTGGAGTTCAACCGACTGGCATCCAAGGTGCACAAGAATGAGCAGCGCACCTCCATTCTGCAGGTGAGGCGCGTGGGGAGGGCAGCCCGAGACAGGCAGGCGTGCTTCCCCCCGAGCTCTTCCCACCTTCCTGCTCCTGGGAATCCACTGGTACCATGGGGACTTCTGAAGGCTGTGTTGTGGGCAGACTTCGGGCTTTTTGTTCAGGGTGATGAACAGGATAAGGAAGTTGTGGGGAGGGATGAGGAAGAGGAAGGAAATGGGGAAATACGGGATGGGCAATGCGAGTGTCATGGTTGGGGATACCCCCAGCAGCCCTGCCTTTATTTCTCATGTGCAGGGTTGGGGGATGGGAAGGGAGGGAACAAAGGTCAACTCCTTTCATAATGCCTCTTTCCCCCCAGGGTAGGCACCCTCATTATCACCACTTCACAGGTGGGGAAGCAGCCCTTTTTTTGCCCAAGGTCACCCAGCTGGTAAATGGTGAAGTAGGGATTGGAACCTCGATCTCTCGCATTCCAAAGCCCATACTCTTGACCACCATCCCAACCTGCCTCCCCTATTGAATTCCTTTTGAAAGCCTCCCTGTGCTGTGGGGAATGGACAGATTTCCTTGCTAGGCCAGGCCAGACCTTGGAGTTATATGGTCCTTGGTTCCAGTAGTGACCCTTTATTGCTGTATGACCTTGGACAAGTCACTTATCCTCTCTATCCCCCAATGTTCCTATCAGTAACATGAGCTAGAAGTGCCTCCATGGTTAGATTGCTGCATTAAATGAGGCCATGTACATGAAGCACCCAGTGCAGTCCAGAACCTAGTCCATGCTGGAAGAGAGGTCCCCATTCGGAGTTCATGACGGGCATCCACACTGGGCAGGGGGTCTTAGCCTTGTGGGCTTTAGCAGCGGGGAAGTGTTCAGTTATAATTGGTGACCATTCTAAAGATGGCAAAACGGAGGCTTCTGAGGGACTGCTCGTGATCTGAGTGCCCGCCACCTTAGTGACAGAGCCATGACTTGAAGCCTCCTTACTCCCTGCAGACTCTCCTCCCAGGCCATTCTCTGATCTGTGGTCTCATTCATGTCAGCAGGCACTCAAGTGCCCCGCTGATGGCAGAAGGGGGAGTCCCCCTTGCGTGACCTTGGTTGCCGAGGGCATGAAGGGCAATCAGGTTGGAGATGCAGTATGAGGAGAGGTGTGGGGGTAGAGGAGCACGGAGGATGCCCATCCCACCTGGAGGGGAGGGGTGTGTTGGGAGGTGAGGCTGAACGAGAGGCAGAGGCCTGGAGAGCCAGGCTGAGAGAAGGGAACCCCTTTAAGATGTCAGTGAGGCTTCAAGGTATCCAGGCTGAACCCTGGCAAGGTGAGCCTGGCACAGTGCCTAGGCTGTGGGCAGGGTAGGAAGGTGCCTGGGGTGAGAGCACTTTGCGCATCCACTTTTCAGCTTTGAGATGGGGATAGATCCTAGGCCCCTTAAAAGGGGTCCTGCCAACCTCTGTTATTTTTTATTTCAGTCCCCTCCTTGTTTATTTCCTTCTTAGCTCTTATCATAGTTTGTAATAATTTTATTTAATACATTTTTTCTTATACTCTTTTTTTTCTTATACTCTCTGCTAGAAGGTAAGCTTGAGGGGGGCAGGCACCATGTCTGTTGTATTCACTGTTGCGTCCCAGTTCGTGGCACTTCATACACACTTGGTGAATGAATGAAAGGACAAAATAATAAATGATCAAATGAACTCATAGCTCTCGTAGCACCTTGGATGGAAGGTGATGATCTTTGTGACCTCTGATGATTCTATCCATTGGCCGGTTTGCACCCAGGGCATTGGCCCAGAGACTCCAAGGAAACAGCTCTCTAGACTGCAAGGGTAGGACAGCAAGTGAGGCCTTGTCCTGGCCTTCCCTTAGGGACTAGGAGCAGGCCATTCTGTTCCCTGGAGGCCTCGCCCAGAGACATGGCATCTTGGGTATTTTTACTGCCTGGGTGGAGGTGTATTGATCCAGTTCCTCCTCATTCATTCACTGATGTGTTTCTTGGTTCACTAAACAAACATATTCAAGGTCAGGTATAGCATAAGGCTCTCTGCTAGGCATTGAATGGACTCATAACAATAATTTTTTGATTTCTTTTTTTTAAGGGGTGTTGGGGGACAGGGTCTTGCTCCGCCACCCAGGCTGGAGTGCAGTGGTGCGACCACAGCTCACTACAGCCTTGACCTCCTGGGCTCAGTTCTCCCACCTCAGTTCCCTGAATAGCTGAGACTACATGCATGCGCCCTTATGCCTGGCCAATTTTTTGGTATTTTTAGTAGAGACAGGGTTTTGCCATGTTGCCCAGACTGGTGTTGAACTCCTGGGCTCAAGTGATCCTCCTGCCTCAGCCTCCCAAAGTGCTGGGATTACTGGTGTGAGCCACCATGCCCAGCTGGTTCTCTGTTTGCTAAGCCTCATCTCCCTCATTGTCCAGCCACCTCCAGTTGAAGGCTGTGTCCTCCATTCAGCCTTCCCAAGAGTCTCCTTTGTGAGTCAGAAATGAAACAACTCTGAAATCTCCCTGGGTTACACAACAAAAGTTTTCCCTCCTATTCTGTGTGGCAGGGGTTTGTTTCTGCTCTACACAGTTCCTTAGAGTCCCAGGGAGACAGGGGCCCAACTTTCCGGTGCCCTTTAGAATACGAGGCATCCACATCAGCCCCTGCTACCAGGAAAAAGAGACTGGAGAATTGTGCGTAGGCCAGTCCAGGAGTGATGCTTGTCCCTTCTACACCTCTTTTGTTGGCCAGAACTAGTCACATGGTTGCATCCACCTGCAACAGGCCTGGGAGGTGGAAGGCAGCAGATGGCTGTTTAGTGAATGGCCCTGGTCCTGGCCCAGCTCAAAGGCTGTCCCCTCCTTTGGGCACCATCTCTCTCCCTTCTCTGATCTTTCATCACAGGGGAAAGAGACACCAGTGTGGGGTCTGCCAATTGGAGTTTTACTCCCCGCCAGTGATGAGTCTTAGCAGCTGTGCACCTGTTAGACTGTATCATTTTACCTGGTTTCCCTACCTTTAACATAGAGATGAGTTACTTAGCTTTGAGGAAGTTGTGAGGCACCAGTGAGGCAGTATATGGAGAAACACCGAGCAATGTACCTGGCACAGGTGAGGTGCTCAGTGAGGATCTGTGGAAAGATTGAACAACTCTGTGCTGACACTGTATGCTAGCATTGCTAGTCAGCACCTTCCCTTCCCCCCAGCCTGTGAGGTCCTGAGTCTGGCGACCCCTCTTCCATGCCCCCAGTTCACAGAGCTTCCAATATGAGTCCCCGCACATAAGCAAGTGACTGATGGTTCATGGACACTTCCACTCTCACTGTCTCATCTGTCCCTCTCAGCAGCCCTATAGAGGAGGCAGAGAAGAAACAGTTGTCCCTGGGCTAGGTGTGGTGGCTCATGCCTGTAATCCCAGCACTTTGGGAGACTGAGGCAGGTGGATCACTTGAGGTCAGGAGTTTGATACCAGCCTGGCCAACATGGTGAAACCCCGTCTGTACTGAAAATACAAAAATTAGCCAGGCATGGTGGCACACACCTGTAGTTCCAGCTACTCAGGAGGCTGAGGCAGGAGAATCTCTTGAACCTGGGAGGTGGAGGTTGCAGTGAGCTGAGATCATGCTACTGCAGTCCAGCCTGGGCAACAGAGTGAGACTCTGTCTTAAAAAAAAAAAAAAAAAAAAAAAAAAGAGAAACAGTTGTCTTTCTTTTGTAGAGGAGGAACCAAGTGTCACAGCCACATTGTGAGGGCGTGAGGGCATAGTGAGGTCCCGACTGAATGCCTTGTCTTCTGGTTTTCCCCTTGGCAACACTGGGCACCTCTCACACCTGCAAATTGGTGTGCCTTTCAGCCCCCCTAGGACTCGCCTGCTCATTTGTCCATTTGCTCATTTGGCTGTTCAGTCATGTTGTTCCTTCCACAAACTTTGAGCTGGGGGCTGGGGATCTGGCAGTGAACAAGAGGATGGTTAGGGGTCCCAGCCCTCCGGGAGCTCAGGAATTAATTAGGGGTAAGGGGGTAGATATTAAGAAAACAGCAGCACGAACAGTTCTTTAGCTTTATCTGCCACAGGTGCTGAGAAGCGTAAAAGCGGGGGGCTGTGAGCAAGGATAACGGAGTTAGCCTAATGTAGCTGGATCGGGGAGTCAGGGAGGACTTCTCTGAGGAGATGGGATTTAAACTAAGACTTCAAAGAAGGGTAGAAGTCAGCTGGGGGAGGCTGGTGGGGAATAGGGGTCCCGGCAGTGGGAGCAGGGATGAAGGAGAAGGGATGGAGCTGTCTGTCTTGGAGGAGCAGAAGGCCCCATGGCTGATACTTGGTCAGGCTTCTCCGTAGTTGGCTCCCAAGGGAGAGGACACGTGGGTGGCCAAGTGGCTTAGCTCCTTAGAGAGGGATGGGGTGAGGCCAGGCAAAGGGGATAAGGAGTTGGGCCCTGGGGTGGCTACAGGCCCCCCACCATCCTCTAGCTCAGCCTGCACCTGGGAGGGGCCCCTCCTTTCCCTCACCCTGTCTGTTCCCCTGCCCCACAGACCCTGTGTGAGCAGCTTCGGAAGGAGAACGAGGCTCTGAAGGCCAAGTTGGATAAGGGCCTGGAACAGCGGGATCAGGCTGCCGAGAGGCTGCGGTAAGTTCAGGCCCCTCAGAGAAGGGGTGAGGAGTGGGGGCTGCAGGAGGAGGGGCTGGTGTGCAGCACTGATTTCTGGGTTGAGGACCGTGGCTCTGAGGCCCTGTGCCCAGAGCCCTATTTGGAGGTTACGTCTCTTGATCCTTCTCCTTGGCTCTTTTGGTATTTTCTCTCTGGCCCTTTTGCCACCTTGGGAGGTGTATAGAGTGCCTTGAGAGCTTCAGAAGAAGGTCAGCATAGATTGTACTTCCTTCCTCCTCCAGCACTTGCCTCTCTCCCCTGTTAACGGTGAACTGGCTGTCCAGAGGACTCAGGACTTTGCTGCCTCCTGCTGGTCACCATCCCAACCTGCTCTGTCTTCCTGAGAACATGAGAGCTCCCCCACTGGACTAGGGGGCTTAGACTTAACTGAGGGTTGAGGGTCAGGGAAAGGCATTACAAGTTTATACGCCTTCCCTTCCTTCCTTTGCAAGATTCTGAATTGACAGGTCTTAGGCAAGACCTAGGAGCCTGCATTTCACCAGGAGTCTCTGTGATTATGAACGAGGTAGGCACAGGATCACGCCTTGGGAAACACTGATCTTGACTGTCAGAGCTTGACAAGCCCTTGGAGATCATGCAGACAGACCTCTCACTGTGCAGAGGGGAAACTGAGGCCCAGGGAGAGGCAGGGACTTGATTGGAGTCTTACAACAGGAACTTGGGCCTCCTTGCTCTCCATCCTGTGAGTGGCCACAATTCCTGCCTGCACTGTGGTCCTGGACAGTTTGGGTGATGAGTCATCTGGTGGGTACCAGCTGGGCTCAGGCACATAGGAAAGGCCCGTGTCACAGACAGGACTTGCCACTCTGTTTTTCCCTCCTCTCCTGTTTCTTATTAGAATCAACAGAAAGAGAAGGAATATAAACTTTGTAAGTATGGCCACAGAAGTAATGTTTAACTACTGAGCCACTGGCTATTTTGAATCAGTGTGTAATTTATTTGCTTTTGGATGGCCAAGGATGCACTTTTGGGGTTTTTATAGCCCTAGTGACCCCATCCATGGATTCAGAAACTGAAGCTGGGGAAAAAAGTCACGGATTAGAAGGCAAGAATGCAAGTCTCTGCTGTATGACCTTGGGAAAGTCATTTTACTTATTGGTTTTTCAAGCGGAAACTCAGCTGGCAAATAGAACATAAAGAAGTGGTGGTTGGGCGTTGTGGCTCACACCTGTAATCCCAGCACTTTGGGACGTTAAGGCGGGAGGATTGCTTTGAGTCCATGAGTTTGAGACCAGCCTGGTGAAATACATCACCACCCCTCCCCCAGCCCCAACAAAAAATACCAAAAAAATTAGCTGGGTGTGGTGGTGTGCCTGTAGTCCCAGCTACTCAAGAGGGTGGGGGTGTGTGGTGGGGGAGGTTGGGGGTGGCTGAGGTGGGAGGATTACTTGAGTAGGAGCAGTCGAGGCTGTGGTGAGCCGAGATTGGGCCACTGTACTCCAGCCTGGGTGACAGAACGAGACCCTATCTCAAAAAAAAGAAAGAAGAAACATTTTAGTCAGACCTGAATCCACATCACTAATTTTATGATCTCCTCTATCACCTGCCTTATTAGTTACTTAGAATTTTACTTTAATTTGATTCATCTTTTTACTTAAAATTATAAAGGCAACTTTAACTAGAGTAAATGGAAAACAGCATTACCTGTGATAAATAGAAGATAACTCTAAATACAATGAAAGTGAAAGGATGTTAATAAATTCAGGCTAAGGATCATTGCACATTGAAGGCTCTGGGCCTGCAGCCTGCACCTTCTGTGTTAACGAGGGAAACTGGCGAGTAACTAGAGAGGTGCCCAGGGCCTGTTAGCACCAAGCTCGCACCGTCTCCGTGGTCTACACAAGAAATGTGAAGATAATTGGAAAGGGTGTCACTTTCTCACTAGAATGTGATCCAGGGTTATTTAATGCAGTGTTTGGATATATCCGGAAGGTCTTGTGTGCATAGAAATTCCACAGCTGGGGAAACCCTGCCATTGACAATCAGAGACCTCCACAGATTGAGAGCAAGGTAGCTGAAGATGCCCTTTTTGGTTTTCCAGGAGGGCAGGTTTCAGGATCCTGCAGTACTCCCTGGGGCTCAGCTGCAACTCATGCGATAGTGAGCATTAAGGAGCCCTGTAGGTTTCTTAACTCAGGGTCAGCATTGTGATTTCTCTGTTTACCTCCATCCCAGGGAGGAAAATTTGGAGCTCAAGAAGTTGTTGATGAGCAATGGCAACAAAGAGGGTGCGTCTGGGCGGCCAGGCTCACCGAAGATGGAAGGGACAGGCAAGAAGGCAGTGGCTGGACAGCAGCAGGTATGTGGTCAGAAATTCCTTCTGTAGCATCCTTGGTTGCAGGTACTCAGCCTCTGCTTACCACCTCCAGTGACAGTGAGCCTCCTCCCTCCTGCAGCCAGTGCCAGTGGTAGAAGGTTCTAGCTGTTACGTGTTTTTTTCTTTACTTGGCCTGACCTCCATGCTTAGAGGCTGCTGGTAGTCACTGTGGCTTCATGGGCCTCATAAGCCTTCTCTTCTCCTGGCTAAATAGCTCCAGTTCCTTCAGCCATTGCTCATAGAAGGTGGTGTTGAGTCGTTTGCTCAGTCTGGGTGCATTCCGTAAACACATTCCAGTTTGTCAAGGTCTGTCTTAGAGAGTGGTTCCCAAAAGTCAGTTTAACATCTTTGATATTCCTGGCAGAATTAGGTTGGTTGAGCAAGCTCCCTTGGATTCTGCTAAGCTCCTGGGATTGTGTCTCTGGAGCCTCTAAAGTGGAGAGGGGAGGGTGTTGGCTAGTGTCTGTGTGGTCTGGTGATGCTGCAGGGCTGGCCCACTCCCCTATCCTCTAGTCCCAGCACTGGCCACATCCAGGTCCCAAGCAGGAGCAGACTCTGCACCCCTTGCCCAGTCGTTACCATTCCCCTTGCTGCAGAGCTGAGTCCCAACTCTTTACCAACGTGTTTTTACTTCACCCTTTAATGGGGTTTAATAGCTGAACAGTAGGGCTCAATGTCTTTAACCCACCCTACACCTATGCAATAGTAGCAATTACCGTAATGGCTTAATTCCTTATTACTGTGTGACAATGTAGAGTTTACCCAGGACATGCAAATCTATTTTCTTATTTGGGCCTCATCTCTACCTATAGAGTAGGCAAGGCTGGGACTAGTATTCCATTCTATAGCTATGGCCATAGGTTTGGAGAGGTCAAGTAACATCATATAATCAGGATTTCTGTGTGACCTGCTATCAGGCAGATGTAGGGTACGGCCAGGGAAACATGCTGATAAATGGTGAAAGTCTGCTCTTCCCTGGTGTTCCGAATCCCAGCCCATGGAGATCCTCTTTTCTTCCCTTTATTCCCCAAATCAGATCCGGCCTTGTCTGCCCTCTTGTGGAAGGGACTTGTAGACTCGGCTGTTCTCCCTTGGGTTCTCTGAGCTGCCTCAGGTGTGGAATTCCCTGGACAGGTCTCTTTACTTTTCCTGTGCCCTTTAATCTCCACTCGTCTTCCTTGAATGCCCCGAGCCAGATGCTCTTCCTGCCCTTCCTGAGAGTGGGAGCGACTTGCCCTTGTGCCCCAGGGTCACCTGTCTCATTAGAGGCATGTGTTACAGAGGGGCGACGAGTGTGCCTTGGAATTGCATGCAGGTGGAATACTAGCTCCACCTTTTACCAGCACTGCAACCTTGGGTAAGTCACATAAGACTCCTAGGCCTCAGTTTCCTCTGTAAAATGAAGATAGTAACACCTGCCTCAAGGGGTGGTTGTGAGGATTCAGTGATGCAATGCTTGTAAAGTAGGTTTAGCGTCGTAAACAGTGAACGTTAGCTGTTGCTCTTTAGGGGAGATTTGGGGCCAGCAGCCAGCTCTGCTGACTCCACGTGGACTCCTCTCTCCCTCGCGGAGGTTCAGGGTGCACCACCCTAGAGCCTGGAATCCACCCTCTTCCTCCTTCCCCGGTAACTTGTTGACCTTTTTGCTAAGCACAGCTCCCATCCAAGATGCCGCAGATTTCAAGTGGGCAGGCCTGTCTGTCCCCTTTCTCAAAGGGGGTGACCTTCCTTGGAGGGCTCCCCCTCACCTTGCTCCTTGGTGCTATGGTGTGCTTACAGGCCTGAGCCTGTAGGGGGCAAGCTCTGCACCCAGCCCTACCTGAAGCCACTTGGGGGTGCAGTGTGGAGGGAAAGAGAACGCTGGAAAGAGAACGCTGAGAATAGAGAGAATCTGACTCCAGGATGATGGCAGACAATGTCAGAAGTCCGGATGGGGCCTGCAGACCTTCTTCTGTTTGAGCTTCTCATCGCATTGAAGCCCAGAGAAGACGAGGGTCTTGGTGTCCATCACAGAGGGGCTTGGAGATAGAGTCGACACACACCCTCCGGACTACTGGCCTTGTCTGCTGTTTCACCCCAGCACTTGCTATTTTTTTTTTTAACCTTTAAACCTTTTTATTTTGGTATAACTAGACTTACAGAAGAGTTGCAAAAATAGTCTAGAGAGTTCCCCTATCCCCTTCCTTTACTTCCCCTAACGGCAACATCTTATAGAACCCAGGTTAAATGATCAAAACTAGGAATTAATGGCATGTACTACTTAGTAAACTACAGACTTTATTCAGATTTCACCAGATTTGCACTCATGTCCTGTCGTGTGCCAGCATGGAGTCTGGGATCCCACATTGCATTCAGTTGTCTCTTCTCCCTCATTTTCCTCTAGTCTGTGACAGTTCCTAGCTGTTCCTTGCTTTTCATGACCTTGAAACTTTTGAGTTGTACTGGCCAGTTATTTGTAGAATGTTTTTCAGTATAGACTTATTTGCTGTCACGATTGAGGCCTCACAAGTGATTGGATCTCATGAGGAGATTGAGGTTACGTGTTTTGGCAAGAATCTCACGGAGGTGACGTTCTGTGTACATCAGAGTGTGCAGAATATTTCTCAGTCCAGCAGACCAGGGGTACATGATGTCAGTGTTTTACTACTGTTAACCTTCATCACTTGGCCAAGTGCTGTCTTTCAAGTTTCTGCAATCAAGTGACCAATTTTCCCTTTGTAATTAATAAGTGTTTATTTTTGAGGAGAAACTTAGAGACTATGCAAATACTCTATTTTTTCTTAAACTTTCACTCACTGATTTTAGTGACCATTGGTGGATCTCCACCTGCAGCAGTTATTACTGTAGTAATGGAATGGTGATTTCATATTTTCCTCATTCTTCCTACACTTATTAATCAGAATTCTTTTGTAAGGAAGAGCTGTCCCTTCTCCCCCATTTATTTATTGATTCAGCTATTTTGTTCTATCAGTATGAACTCAAGAGTATTTATTTCATACTGTGACTTATAATCCAATACTATTGTGATGTATTTTGCTGTTCAAAGTGTTCCCGTTTTGGCCATAGATGTTTTTTTCAGGTTGTCTCTTGTGCCCTTTTGACATGCTCTTTTATTATTATTGTTATTAGTATTATTCATTTGAGCACTTCCTTACTTTCCATCACTATAAGATGCATCAAACTCACCTTATATTTTATCTGCTCCAGCCCCTCAAAGCAGCCCTGTTTCTTTTTAATAAAAAGAAAATGGTATTTAGAAACCAACTGAGCACTAGGTTTGCTCAGTGCTGCTGGATGTCTCTGCTTTAGCCCCTTACAGAGGACAGAGCTGGGAAACATCTATGTGTATTACACAGATCTTTATTTCTGCATCTTTCTAAAAATGTTTTTAAATAAACATTTTATATAACTTCAACTTTTGTAAAAGTTTTATAAAACATATATGTTTTATAGAATGAGTATATCTATATCTATATCTGTCTGTATCTACATCTCAAATGTCTTACCTTCCAGGCCAGAGAGTTTTTTGGCTGATGTGTGTAGGGAGTGAGGAGAGTGGCTGGTAGTACCTTAGAGGTTGTACCTAAACAGGGAGAATGACCGTAGGGAGGGGAGAAGGGAAGGGGAGAGGGCCTGGCAGCCACCCTGAGTCAGGGAGGGGGAATCATCATCTTGTAGACTTCTAGAAGGGGACGTAGTCATGACTGGGATGGTTAGTGGTGTCCTGCTGGGTGGGAGGAATAGGGAGACAGAGGGCTGGGGCCACTTGGGTGAGGGGTCTTAGAGGAGCACCGAGACTGGGTGAGATAATTTGTATTGAGGTTTTGGTGAAGGCTCCTCTGTGCTTCTCCCCAGGCTAGTGTGACGGCAGGTAAGGTCCCAGAGGTGGTGGCCTTGGGCGCAGCCGAGAAGAAGGTGAAGATGCTGGAGCAGCAGCGCAGTGAGGTAGGTGGCCGAGGTGGCAGTAGTGGGAGGATCCCTCTTACCTCCCGGGACCAGCAGCACAAAGGCTTGCCCTGGCCTCCTGGCTCTGGCAGGTCCCAGGTCACCATGAGGAGTTGGCATGGTGACCACTGACCTGCCTGCCCATGGATGAGGTCTGACTCCTTGCCCTGGACTGTCCTCTCTTGATCAGTCCCTTTGCCTACAGTGGTCACTCTGAGGAGGTGGCATGTGGGGCATGGCCTAAAATTGTTGGGGCTACAGTTTAGGCAGGCTCCTATGGTAGACCTTGGATGGTGGAAAGAGGTTGTGATAAGTTAGGCAAGTTTTAGCATCACCGATGAGGAGTGGAGGGACCCTTGAGAGATGCTTTAGGGAGGACCCATCATGGAAGGAAGGGATTAAGGCCGCTTCCCACTAGCCTGGAGGCTCCATAAATTTACTGTCAAAATTTTTAACGTTAAAAGCTACCTTGGCTGGGTGCGGTGGCTCATGCCTGTAATCCCAGCACTTTGGGAGGCTGAGGCGGGTGGATCACCTGAGGTCAGAGGTTCGGGACCAACCTGGCCAACATGGCGAAACCCTGTGCCTACTAAAAATACAAAAAATTAGCGGGCATGGTGGCACATGCCTGTAATCCCACCCACTCAGACTGAGGCAGGGAGAATTACTTGAACCCGGGAGGCTGAGGTTGCAGTGATCCGAGACCGTGCCACCGCGTGCCAGCCTGGGCAACAGAGCAAGACCCCATCTCAAAAAAAAAAATAGCTACCTACCTCTATTGGTGTAGCTACTTTGCAGATATTTTGAGACTCCCATTTCAAGAATTTTCTTAGGCAAGAATGAAAAGGACCAGCCAGCAGCCGAAGCCTGCCACAGAATACTGAGTGGATTCCTAAACTCCATTAAGGCGATGGCCAGGTCTTTAGGTAGTTTAAATGTCCCCCAGTCCCACTAAGGTGCAGGAGCCAGTTCGTAAGAGGCTCTTAGTTTCCCTCTGCTGCCAAGAGAGAAGCCACGCAGCAGAGTCCCTGTGCTGCAGTCCATTCCGCCTCTTCCCATGGATCTCACATGTGTTCCTCCCCCTCCTCACACCCCCAGTCTAGTCCAGTCTTTCCAGACCCGAGGTCGAAGTGCAGCTCCTTTTTGGTAGACACTTGTTCTGTCTGTTCCGTCTAGCCCCTCTCCACACAGCCCAGGTGCTTCTCTAGAACCCTGAGCCTGCCTCCCCTTGTCCTCCCGCACATTTGAAAGCTTCTTGATGTGCATATTAGTTTTAGATTTCTTTTTGTATTGTTATAAGCGTCTTTTTTTCTGATTTCAAAAGTGATATAATGCTCATTACAAAAAGATCAAGAATACCACCTCCTAGAGAAAACCACAACTGATTACAGTTTGTTGAATATCCCTCAGTTTTTTTCAAAGTAGAATAAAATTATACATATACGTGTGTGTATATATATGTATATACACACACTGCTTTACAGATTATTTTTTCTTTTCTTTTTTAAAAAATTAACTGGGTCAGGCGTGGTGGCTCACACCTGTAATCCCAGCACTTTGGGAGGCTGATGCAGGAAGATTACTTGCAACCAGGAGTTTGAGACCAGCCTGGGCAACATAGCAAGACCCTGTCTCTACAAAAAATAAATTAGCTGGGTGTGGTAGTACACACCTGTAGTCTCGGCTACTTGGGGGAGCTGAGGTGGGAGGATCACTTGAGCTCAGGAGGCTGCAGTGAGCCATGATCATACCACTGCACTCCAGCCTAGGCCTGCCTCCAAAAAAAAAATTAACTGCCTTTGAGAGTATCTATTCATATCTATAACATATGCTATATTCCTTTAATTCTTTGTAATTTTTTTTATCATATGCAATGTTTTTGAAATTGGTGTGGATCCTTATGACATATCTTAAGGGGCAGGGCCAATACTCCTTTTGTTTTATTTAGTTGATGATGTAGGGTTGTTTTTCTTCCCTGAGGAATTGTTATATCAAGAGTATGGTGGATAGTGTCATCTTCAAACTGAGGAAGTGTGTTAGGTGCTTTATTTTCTGTTTTCTTTTTTTCTTTTCTTTTTTTTTTTTAAGATAGGGTCTCACTTTGGTTGCCCAGGCTAGAGTGCAGTGCCATGATCTCGGCTTACTGCAGCCTCCACCTCCTAAGTTCAGGTGATCCTCCCATCTCAGCCTCCTGAGTAGTTGAGACTATAGATGCGTGCCACCATGCCCGGCTAAATTTTGTATTTTTTGTAGAGATGGGGTTTTGCCATATTCTCCAGGCTGGTCTCAAACTCCTGAACTCAAGCAATTGGCCCACCTTGGCCTCCCAGAGTGCTGGAATTATAGGCATGAGCCACTGTGCCTGGCGGCCTATTTTCTTATTTTCTTAACAGCTGCACATTGTCTGTTTATACTATCGTTTCTTTAACCTATCTTCTGTGCTTAGATTGGCCTCTGGATTTTTTTGTAATACAGGTATTGCTGAGATGATTAGCCTTGTGTATATATATTTGCACACTTGTGTAAGTGTTTCTATTGGTTAAATTCTTCAGAGTGGAATTATTGGGTTAAAGTTGATGAAAATGTGAAATTTCAATACATAATCCCAGACTGCCCTCCAAAGAGGTGTGTGTGTTCCATAATTATTCACCAAAACTATGTAGTTTCCATGTCTTAGTGTTAATCTTGCTTTCCTGGCAAGGTAAAATGCAGCAGTGGATGAAGGTGGATGGCTTTGAGCAACATTGAGTTTTCGAGAGCTGAGGGATGGAGACAGTGTCTGTAGCCACTATTCACACACACCGAGCACACCTTGGGACGCTGGTGTACATGGGGCAGGAGATGGCTCTCCTTGTTCCTTCTCTGCTCATCTCCTGCTAACTCCAGTCTCTCCCCACAGCTGCTGGAAGTGAACAAGCAGTGGGACCAGCATTTCCGGTCCATGAAGCAGCAGTATGAGCAGAAGGTAATGTGGGGTTCCTGGCCACGCCCACAGGGCATGCCTGGTCTTCATCTCGCTGCCTCTTTAGCAGCTTTGAACCTTGGGGAGTGGCCACGCTGAGCCCCAGTATGGCCCAGAGGAGAAGTTGGGGGCAGTGTTGGAGGGCCCAGGGGCAGCCAGGCCCTGCCCACATCCTGCAAGTGCTCTACATCCTTGCCTCACACACTCCTCTCTGCCTCTGAACCCAGATCACTGAGCTGCGTCAGAAGCTGGCTGATTTGCAGAAGCAGGTGACTGACCTGGAGGCCGAGCGGGAGCAGAAGCAGCGTGACTTTGACCGCAAGCTCCTCCTGGCCAAGTCCAAGATTGAAATGGAGGAGGCAAGTGTGACTGCTGGTCCCTGCAGAGTCAGTTCCCCTCCACATTAGCGGAGAGTTCTGTGGAGCAAACAAGCCAGGGGCAGGAGTCAGGAGACCCGGGGGTCTAGTGCGAAAGAGCTAGGTGACCAAAAACACAGGCACGTTCCTTCCCTGCACTGCAGTTTCCCATCTGAAAATTGAGAAAGTTACATTAACTACAGCTTTTCACATTTTCTTGTTTTTATTCAGAACTTTTTGTTCCATTAAAATTGTAGGGAATGGGGAACTGTACAGGGAAGCACACCATATAAAAGATCTAAGCAGGTGGCCGGGCACGATGGCTCACAATCCTAGCAACTGGGGAGGCCGAGACGGGTGGATTACCTGAGGTCAGGAGTTCAAGATCAGCGTGGCCAACATGATGAAATCCCATCTCTACTAAAAATACAAAACTTAGCCAGGTGTGGCAGCAGGCACCTGTAATTCCAGCTACTCAGGTAGCTGAGGCAGGAGAATTGCTTGAACCTGGGAGGCGGAGGTTGCAGTGAGTCAAGATTGCACCATCGCACTCCAGCCTGGGGAACAAGAGTGAAACTCTTGCTAAAAAAAAAAAAAAAAAAGATCCAAGCAGGCCTGCTGTATGGCACTTGGTGGGGTGGGATGCTGCCAAGTGTTCAGCATAGTGATGGTGATTTGTTGGGGAGGGGCTACAACATGAGACAGAGCTTCATTTATCCATTCATCCCGGCATTTGTCTTCAGAGCCTGTCTCAGGCATTGTGCTTTGGCATAGAGTCCACAGGAACAGCTCAACCCTGCCCTCGCTGGGAAAGAGGTGCCAGACAACTAATTACAGAAGCAAATAAAGTAAAAGTGTGTTAAGTGTTGCAGAGAAGGCCGGGTTGGGTGGCTTGTGCCTATGATCCTGGCACTTTGGGATGCCGAGGTGGGAGGATTGCTTGAGGCCAGGAGTTTGAGACCAACCTCAGTGACATAGCCACACCTTGTCTCTACAAAAATTAAAAAATTCACTGGGTGTGGCAGTGTGCACCTGTAGACCTAGCTACTCAGGCTAATGTGGGAGGATTGCTTGAGCCCAGGAGTTGGAAGCTTCAGTGAGCTGTGATTGTGCCACTGCACTCCAGACTGGACAACAGAGTGAAACCCTGTTTCTCTAAAAGAAAAATGTATGGCCAGGCATGGTGGCTCATGCCTGTAAACACAGCATTTTGGGAGGCCAAGGTGGGCGGATCACTTGAGATCAGGAGCTTGAGACCAGCCTGGCCAACATGGTGAAACCCCGTCTCTAATAAAAATACAAATATTAACTGGGAGTGGTGGCGCATGTCTGTAGTCCCAGCTACTCGGTAGACTGAGGCACGAGAATCGCTTGAACCCGGGAGGCGGAGGTTGCAGTGAGCTGAGATTGTGTCACTACACTCCAGCTTGGGCAACAGAATGAGACCCTGTCTCAAAAAAAAAAAAAAAAAGTACTACGAAGAAGAAGTTACAGAGATCAGAGAGTGGGCATAAGTGAGACCAGATTCTTTCTTGGGGGGAAACAACAGGTCCCCTGAAGTAGTAGTATCTGCCCAGTCATATGTATGAATGAGACCAGCCAAGGCCCATCAGGACCTTGGAGCAGCTTAAAGAGGAAAGGCCACTTGACTGCCAGACTCTTGGGAGATTTTATTTATGTCACCATGTTTTCCCCTTCATGGGAACTGGGCATGGTCTTTTGCCTAGCTTAAAAATGGACATTTTCAACCTGGATTGCCTTTCACAGTTCCTCCCGTCAGCATGGGACACCAGGGGCCTTATTTGAGCAGTCAGCCTACGTCTGTGACACCCCCTTACCTTGGAGGTGTGGTAGGGAGAACACTTCTGTCTTTCCTTATGAGTGCACAGTCATACCTGGTGACTCGCAGCCAGACATCCTGGCTCTTTGGCCCCTCTCCCTTGCTCACAGTGGTAGGTGAGACAAATCCCTGGAATGTGAGGGCTCTTCCCTGTCAGCTACAGGGAAGGTAGGACGTTTCATGACAAGGCGTGGCCCTGTAGATAAGGATGAATTTCGGTAAAGCCCATGCCCATCCGGGAGCCTCTTGATGGGGAGTCCAGAACAATTCCCAGGGAGGTCTGACCAAGCCTGCCCTCTGCAGTCCGTACTGACTAAAGGTCACACAGGGCTGGGTGAAAACTAACCCCTGCGACTGGTCTCTTAATCACATGCTGTGAATACACAGTTATGAAATGTCCACATGCTACAAAGTGAAAGTTTCCCTGGACTACCTCCCACTGCCATGATCCCAGGCCCTCCCTAGAGGGAACCACTGTTACCATTTTGGTGCATCTGTTTCCAGACCTTTCTCGCATATATGTACACATAGGAATATATAGTTTATTTGGGGATGTGCCTGGTCTTTCCACTGCACTGTGCTGCCATCCCCTAGTTTCAACACCTCCTTTGACATGGAAGGAGAGAGAGCAAGGGAATAGGAAACCTGGGTTCTAGCCCCAGCTCACTGTGTGGCCTTGGGTACGTCACTTCCCCTCTCTGGACATTTGTTTCCCATCGTATTACAGGGCTGGGGCTTGATGCTGTCTAAAGGCCATCCCAGTCTTGGCTGGCTGTGGCGAAGCCCTGCTGGTTCCGTAGAGGGTATGGAACCGCCTCCTGGAAGCCTTCCCTCAGCTGTGGTGATCTTTCTTTTAGCCCCACAGTATTTTGTTTCTTTCTGGAGGAGCACTCTCTGCCTTATGTCACAGTTCTCTCTGGGCGTGTCATCTCTCCTCTAGGCTCCAAGGCTGTATGAGCTGCAGTGTCTGTTAGGGATTATCCGTAGTTTATCGCTTTCTGTGGATCACGGAAGACCCCCATGTGAATCTGGTCAGAACTATGGCTTTTCTTTCTAGCAGATTACACACAACAAAATTTCGCATTCAGTTTTGGGGCTCACAGGCCTCCTGAGGTCTCTGTGTGACTCACGTTAGGAACCCCGTACCTGTGACAGGTAGGTAAGCTTAGACAAGAGAGGGCTGTGGCAGTGCCAGGGGTCTCAGCTGCTTAGTGGATGAACTGGTGTCGGAATCCAGGGTCTTTTACTCAACTGAGCTACTGCTTTTTCTTTTTTTAATTATTATTTTAAATTGACACATAATAATTGAGGGCAGGACCGGATGGACATTACTGTACCGACCCCAGGTGCTTTGCATGTGAGCATTGTGAAGTGATGGCCAGGGGAGAACGTAAGGGCTGGGCCAGGCAGGACAGAGAATCCGAGGCCTCCTGGAGAGGCCATCCTAGCCAGCTTACCAACCTTGTATTCCCTGCAGACCGACAAGGAGCAGCTGACAGCAGAGGCCAAGGAGCTGCGCCAAAAGGTCAAGTACCTGCAGGATCAGCTGAGCCCACTCACCCGACAGCGTGAGTACCAGGAAAAGGAGATCCAGCGGCTCAACAAGGTGGGTGCCTTGGCCCGGGTCCCTTGGCTGGGCTCCCTTGAGTCCAGCTGCAATGCCCACCCCATCACTGGCACCCCCAACCATTCAGCTTAGGAAGGGTAACCCCCAGTCAGTGAGCTGGCATCCTGTTTCCCGCCTGCTCTGCCATTGCCTCCCACACTGGGAGTGACTCAGCCCTTGAATTAGCCTGTGTCACCCTTCCCTCTGGAG
Source organism: Homo sapiens (assembly GCF_000001405.40). Lineage (NCBI taxonomy): Eukaryota > Metazoa > Chordata > Mammalia > Primates > Hominidae > Homo > Homo sapiens. Next base: position 151,038,886 of record NC_000005.10, on the reverse strand, counting down.
GTGCACTCTTCCCCTTGTGCCTCACCTGCCCACCCTGCTTGTCAGGGTTTGTTTTACCCTCACTTGCTCAGCAAAGCCTTCCCAGAATCTCATTCAGGTTGCCCTGGTCTATGCTCCTGAGGTACCAGCAACTTCTCTGACACTCCTTCTCATGGCTCGTCATCACTTATTTAATTCTGTCTTCCCATCTGGTGGTGGGAGGTGCATACTTTCACCAAGGTGTATACCCTGGGCGCCTTGTACAGCGCCTGGCATCAAGCACATGTTCAGCAAACACTGATGGGAGTGGAGGAGCACGGGCTGAGGGGCCCGCCCTTGTGCAGTGGGATCCAGGGAGATGGGGCCCCCAGGGTAGAGGCTGAGGAAACCAGAAACCCTCTGGTCTGAGCCAAGCGGAGTGGTCTAGTCCCAGCTTAGCCTCTCCAGCCTCTCCAGTTCAGTTTTGCCATCCGAGCCCTGGTGGGAACGGCTCTAGTTCTGCCTGCTTTCCAGCACATTTCAAAGATGCAAGCTGACAGGAGGGAGCTTTGAAAGGAAACATTCTCTGAGGGCCTGGAGGAGTTAAGTTCATGGCTCAGCTTTTCGTTTCGTGCTAATTGTTTTTCCTTTCCCTCTGCCTCCTGACCCTGGTGACAGTGGACTCTGGCATGAGTTGAGCATTCCTAGGCCTGCTGGGGAAACCCTTTCTTTTTGGTTTTGGTGTTTTGTAAACACTGATTATGCCAAGTCTGGGGCCCTTGACCTGTTTCCAGAGAAAGAAACGCGATCTGTCCTGAGCTGGGGGACTTGGGGCTCTAAATCCAGGCAGAGAATTGTCCATGTTGCTGATCATAAAGATGACCTTGGAGGTTTTCTTGGCAGAGCCAGGGACAGACACCATGTGGATGAGTAATGCAGGGCATGTGGCCTTCTTTGCTCATGACCTAGGCATCTCCCTGTCGCTGGACCTCAGTCTTTTCATTTAAAAGTGGGGTGGAGTAGGAAGATAAAGTGGAGCCATAACTTCCCCTCGGAGCATCCTGAATTTACTCTCGGTCCTGCAGTTTCTTTGCGTGTCTAGGGGAGCTGAGGAGACCAGGTGGAAGCCCGAGTCCAAGTTGGGCCAGGTCTCTATCTCCCCTCGGTCCAGGGAGGCCCATGGGCGATGCTGTCCTGGGGCCAAAGTCCAGGGTGCCCAGTCTTGAGACATGTTCCAGAGTTCTGAGTAACATGTTAACAGAGTTAAAGGGGAAACACGGTTAACTGAAACCTTTAAGAAGATGTGGGCACACTGTTTATATAATCTATTGTGAACATGATAGATTAAGAGTATTTTTTTATTTTCAAAATGTTATTTGATGATATTTCAGCCCATTTTCAGTGTTAGAAAGGGAAAATATTAACTAAGCAGAAATTAAATCCAGTCTTCTCTATGTACATAAGTGTTGAGGATGGAAGGGGTGGTTTGGATGGGAATGGGTTGCTGAAAGTGAAGAATCTCAGGGCAGGGCAGTTGTTGGGGAGACTGAAGCTTCCCCCGGAGGACTTAATCTTCCTTCTAGGTCTGGGTGCTAAGAATTGAGCCACACATGTTCAGGGAAGGGGAGGTTTCCCCTTCTGCATGACAACCCCAGTTTAGCCTGCTGGGTAGGAGCATGTGCTGGGCTTGAATCTGTGCTCTGCCACTTACTAGCTGTGTGACCTTGACCTTGGACAAGCCCCTTCAGGTCTCTGAGCCTCAGTTTTCACATCTGTAAAATGAGGATGATGATCATAGTCTTTTCTTCATGGCACTGTGCAGAAGATCCAATGAAATGATATGTGTAGAATGCAAATAAATAGGGCAGCATTTATTAAATAGGACTGGTAGTGGTGGCTATTATTAGTATGATTATTATTAGGAAGGAGTTCCCTGAGGATGACCCCTCCAAAGGGCCCTGATTTCCAGGGGTTCCTGCTGATGGTCCCATCTTTTCCTGATTCCAGGCCCTGGAGGAAGCACTGAGCATCCAAACCCCGCCATCATCTCCACCAACAGCATTTGGGAGCCCAGAAGGAGCAGGGGCCCTCCTAAGGAAACAGGAGCTGGTCACGCAGAATGAGTTGCTGAAACAGCAGGTGAGGCTTCCGGGAGGAAATCAGGTGGGAGGTGCTCTGTGGGAGCTGGAGCTTTCCTGAGGGCCCAGACGGCTTGGAATCACATGGAACCTGTAATTAGTAATCCACTTTCTGGCCATTGGCCAGGGCCCCCCACTGGCTCTAGGTTTATCCTTTCCAGCACCATAACCCTAGCTTAAGTCGTTCCTCTACCACCTTTATGATTTAGCCATCTCTATGCCCCACACGTGCTATTATTTACCTAGTATTTAAAAAATAAATTCTAAATAAATGAATTTAAAAGGGAGCTTTATATCACTGCTGTAATTGGAAAAAACCATTTATTATTTGTCACAAGTAGAAAGTAACTGTACGCAATAAACAATAAAAACAGAACAATGTTATTAAACTCTAGCCGGATACTCTTGCCAAATGAAGACTCTGAACTGGAGTTCTTTTCTCCTTTATTTAAAGGAGATTGGCAGGTACTAAAATGGTATTAAAGACCTACTAGCCCTGAGGGACACAGAAGGATTGGGGTGAAAGAAAGCGAAAAGGTTGTGGCTCTCCCATTGTCTCTGTGCTATTTAATCCTCCTAAACTGCCTTGAACCTAGCCAGTGTCTCAGCTGATCTGCACTAAGGATGTGAAACTACAGGCTAAGAGACAGAGGCAGGCCCCACCCAACCCACCTCTGCCAGGGCACCCTGGAGCCCTAGCGGAGTTTGTAGGGTCTCTGCCCTCAGAACCAGCAGATCCAAACTCTGGTCTACACCACACTCTGGTTCTGTGATCACTGCCCCTGTGGGTCTCAGCGGAGTGAAAGGATTGCACTGGTTGATGGCTTTCAACGTTTTTTTAAAACCATATATCCTTTGTTCAAATAAAGTCCTAGCTTGAAGCCCAGAATGTAAGATAGAGGGACACAGAACTACTCTGTTTGAAGTTAAGGTGGAGGCTGGAGGTGTAGCTGTCCCACTCCCCATGGCGACCCCCAGCTCTGCCATCTGTGACCCCAGCAGGAGGCATGGGAGTCTGGGCCTGAGGAGAAATCCCCACTCAGGACCATCCCCCTCCCTCTCTTCACCCTCCCTCCACACCAGGTGAAGATCTTCGAGGAGGACTTCCAGAGGGAGCGCAGTGATCGTGAGCGCATGAATGAGGAGAAGGAAGAGCTGAAGAAGCAAGTGGAGAAGCTGCAGGCCCAGGTCACCCTGTCAAATGCCCAGGTAAGAGTGACTGGACCCAGGAAGGGCAACTGGCCTGTCCTCGTGGGGAGAGGGGGCATGGATTGGAGGGCCCTGGTGAGGCTGGATGTCAGGACCCTCACTGCTTCTCTCCAGCTCTGCAATCATATTTGAGCTCGGCAAGGCCCTTCCCCTCTCTGACTCTTTCTTTGTACAATTACGAGTTTTACTCTAAGATATCTCTACCTCTGACTTTCCACAGTCAGTTCTGGGCTTTACTCTCCCAGAGTGGAACTAAAAGATGTTAGCAGAGAAGCAGCGAGGTTCACGTGAACCCTCTTGACCTGTGCACAGACCACTGTGACAAGCAGGTGGCCTGCAGCAACAGCCTGGGCTGTGCTCCGCCCTCAGGGCCCTTTCCCGGGGCTGGCCCACGCATGGTGGCCCAGAGGGAAGCATCAGCCGGTCAGTCCTCGTGGCTGGTTAGGCCCTGGATCCAGGCCTGGCCAGAAACCACCTGTGCCGACAGTCTTTTCTCCCTCCCTTCTTCTCTCAGCTAAAAGCATTCAAAGATGAGGAGAAGGCAAGAGAAGCCCTCAGACAGCAGAAGAGGAAAGCAAAGGTGAGGAGGCTTGAGGGAGGTAGCAGCACTGACATCCTCTTACCTTCCTCATGGAGCTAGCCTGATGGATGCACAGTGTGTGCTCGGGCGTGGGGACATCCTCTGCTAACTAACTGATGAGTAATACAGGAAAAGCCTTAGAGCAGTATTGGTACAGAGGCAGTGCCCACAATGTATTAGCTGTCATCACTGTTGACATTCTGTGTCCAGGTAGCAACCTTCCGTGCCCATGTGACTAGCCTTCTTTGGCCGTGTATGAGCCTTCCGTGCCCATGTATCCAACTTTCTATGCCCATGTTCCAGCCCTCCGTGCCCATGTACCAGCCTTTTGTGCCCATGCCCAGCCTTTTGTGCCCATGCCCAGCCTTCCATGCCCATGTACCAGCCTTCCGTGTCCATGTACCAGCCTTCCATGCCCATGTGCTCAGCCTTCCGTTTCCATGTATCAGCCTTCCGTGCCCATGTGCCCAGCCTTCTGTGTCCATTTACCCAGCCTTCCGTGCCCATGTATGAGCCTTCTGTGCCCATGTGCCCAGCCTTCCATGCCCATGTGCCCAGCCTTCCGTGCCCATGTACCCAGCCTTCCGTGCCCATGTACCAGCCTTCTGTGCCCATGTTCTAGCCTTCCGTGCCCATGTACCAGCCTTCCGTGTCTATGTACCAGCCTTCACTGCCCATGTACCTAGCCTTCTGTGCCCATGTACCAGCCTTCACTGCCCATGTAGCAGCCTTCTGTGCCCATGTACTAGCTTTCCGTGCCCATGTACCAGCCTTCCGTGTCCATGTACCAGCCTTCCATGCCCATGTACCAGCTTTCCATGCCCATGTACTAGCCTTCTGTGCCCATGTACCAGCCTTCCGTGCCCATGTACCAGCCTTCCGTGCCCATGTACTAGCCTTCCATGCCCATGTACCAGCCTTCCGTGCCCATGTACCAGCCTTCTGTGCCCATGTCACAACCTTCCATGCATGTGTACCCAGCCTTCCATGCCCATGCAGCCTTCCATGCTCATATATCCAGCCTTCTATGCCCATGTATCCAGATTTCTGTACCCATGTAGCAGCCTTTCATGACCACATACCAGCCTTTGGTACCCAGCCTGCTAGCCTTCAGAGAGCTAACATTCTATTTAGAGGGTGATGAGATGGGTGTCCTTTGCAGCCTGTTGCAGGCCAAAGCCAGACGTCAGCCTTTCTTGCAGGCCTCAGGAGAGCGTTACCATGTGGAGCCCCACCCAGAACATCTCTGCGGGGCCTACCCCTACGCCTACCCGCCCATGCCAGCCATGGTGCCACACCATGGCTTCGAGGACTGGTCCCAGATCCGCTACCCCCCTCCCCCCATGGCCATGGAGCACCCGCCCCCACTCCCCAACTCGCGCCTCTTCCATCTGGTGAGTCTGTGTCCCTCCCTTGCTCCAGGGCACACACAGAGGCTGCCCCAGACACCTTCCAGAGAGGAAGGTTAAGTGAGGGGTTCAGAAACTGCATCCTTCTGAACTAAACAGCACCGTGGTGGCAGGTGGGTGTCCAGGGCCTGGCTCTGGGCTGCTACCCAGGGGCAGGGATCTGGCCACAGTCCCGCAGGGCTGCCCCACAGCTGTTCAGGGTCACTGGTCTAGGACGGAGAAGGCTGAGTAAGAGTGCAGGGTGGGAAGGAGGACTCCCTCCAGGCCCCAGGCCATGGGTATCAGAGTTTGGGTTTGCTTTTTCTTATAACTTCCACGTGTAACTAGGTTCCAGAGCCTCACCATGTTTCTCTCTCTTTCCTTTCCTTTCCTCTCCCCTCCCCTCCCCTCCGCTCCTCTCCCCTCCCCTCCTCTTCTTCTCTCCTCTCTTTTTTTATTTTCTTTTCCTTTTTTTTTTTTTTTTTTGAGATGGAATTTCACTCTTTTTTGCCCATGCTGGAGTGCAGTGATACGATCTCGGCTCATTGCAACCTCTGCCTCCCAGGTTCAAGCTATTCTCCTGCCTTAGCCTCCCAAGTAGCTGGGATTACAGGCATGCACCACCACGCCCGGTAATTTTTTGTATTTTTGGTAGAGACGGGGTTTCTCCATATTGGCCAGGCTGGTCTTGAACTCCTGACCTCAGGTGATCCACCCGCCTTGGCCTCCCAAAGTGCTAGGATTACAGGCGTGAGCCACTGCGCCTGGCCTCTTTTCCCTTCTTATCATTCTTCTTCCAAAGATCTGCTGTCACTTGTCCCATTTTCCCCAGTCCTCTGCCACAGCCCCACCTTAGGCATCCCAGCTCTCCCCTGGACCATTACAGAAACCTCCTGGCTGGCCTCTTTTTCAGCTTCTCCCATATGACCCTTCTTGGTACACATCTTTAAACACCAGAGTATATAGTATGGCGCTTAAGAGATTGGCTCTGGATTTACAAAGACCTGGATTCAAATCCAAGCTTAGCCATTCTCCTTGCTAGATGACCTTCAGCAAGTTATCCCCTCTGAGCCTCAGATTCCTTACCTGTGAAATGGGAGTGCCAGCCTGGGTTGTTATAAAGATTCAATTATACTTGACTAATACAGATTTAGTATTGTCCTGGCACAGTAGGTGCTATTGTAATTTTTGGGTGTGATTATTGATTATTAAGCACCAGTTTTGTCGCAGCCGGAATACACCTGGCGTCTACCCTGTGGAGGGGTTCGAAATCCAAATCAGAGCTCCCAAGTGATGGACCCTCCCACAGCCAGGCCTACAGAACCAGGTGAGCCCCTAATACTGAGTCTTGGTCCTCCCTGGGGGAGATAATATCTTATCTGCCAGCATTGCCTGAGTTTGGGGGTGATGTCGTTAGTTTCTGCTCTTGGTGGAGGAGAGGCCCAGCTTTCCAAAACAGTGTTGAATGGAGAGTAATGGCAACCACAGAGTGAGGGGGGCTGAAACCATTCATTCTAGTGCATTATCTAATGCCAGGCATTGTGCTAGGTGCTATGGATGCCTAGAGAACAGAAGCAGATACAGTCCTTGCCCTTATACAGCGTAATGTCTAATGAGGGAGGCAGAAATGAATAAACAAACACCACACAAACAGGCTGCACTCAAGTGCCCTAAAGGAAGAAGAGCCGGTTTCTGTGGGAGCAGATAGCAGAGGAAGCCGACCTAGACCGGGGGGGCAGCATTTGAGTTGAGACTCTCAGAATGAGTGACACTAGCTAGGTGGAGAGGTAGGGGTGGAGGATGCTTTTGCAGAGAACATGACAAATGCAGAGGCCGTGGTGGGAGGAGGGGAAGTAGGGGAGCTGATTTGAGGATCGGAGGGAAGACCAGCGTGGCTGGAGCCAAGAACAAGGTAGGGAAAGAGAGGGGCAACGCAGGGTTCAGGACGTAGCCGGGTCCTGACCGTGCAGGCCTGCGGAGCATGGTGGGAGGCCTGGGTCTTATCCTCAGCATAATGTGTAGTCACTGGACATTTTTAAAGCAGAGTGGCATGACCATATTTCTGTTTGAAAAGCTCCCCTGACCATGGTGTCCACCATGAAAGGCTGAAGAGCCTGGAGCTGTGTCCACTCGTGAAAAGATTGGGACCTTAGCGACTGCCATTGCTCCCTGTAGAGCTCTCATGGGGCACAAGGCACCACCTCGCCTGTGGGACTTCTGGGAACAGAATTATAACTAGTGGGTGGGAATGACAGGGAGGCCAAGTCCATCGCAACATGAAGAGGAACTTTCTTTCTAAGGGACACAGTTGTGCAGAAATGGAGCCAGCTCTGGGAGGTGGCGAGTGTCCCTTTGCAGGTGTGTGAGTAGAGGCCATGGGACGGACACCTTGGAGGGGTTGCAGTTTGGAGGATTTGGTGATTGGAAGAAGGGATTGGGCTGCTCAGTCATTTTCTGTTTTTCCCTGAAGAACCCTACAAGTTCAGTGGAGCCCCTTGGAGGCTGCTTTGATGAGTGGTAGAGATTGGTATAATGGGAGGGGCTCCCTCCCCAGAACTGCTCCAGGATTTGAGATTGGGTTCAAATCCTAGCCCCACTATTTCCTGGACCTGGAACTATGAGCAAGTCATTTAAAACCTCTTAGTGTCCCAGTTCCCTCTTTTACAATGGGATAATAACCTGCCTTCTTCATAGGGCTGGGTGAAGATTACATGACCAGCGTACTTAAGGTACTTAGCCCTGGCACTTGGTAGCACCCAGTAACCCTAGCTGTTATTTTCACTGTTCCTGCACTGCATTCCATAAGAGACTTTGAAACTCGCTCTACCACATAATCATGAAGTCCTCAAAATTTTTGTTTATTTAGAGTCTCCAAAAAATGACCGTGAGGGGCCTCAGTGAGACCAGATTGTGTCATTTGGCTCCACCTTCATCTTGCAGAGCCAGCTGATCTCAGATTGCCAAGAAACTAGAAGCCACTTGCACGGTGTGGCCAGAGCCTCAGCTGGATGAGAGGCTGAGATGGGTGGCCAGCTTGTACACCAGTCCCTGAACTGAGCTGTTTACAGGACTGGGGAGGCTCCACCCAGAAGGCTTTCATTTGTACTCTGCTGGGAGTGACTGGGAAAAACTCCTTCCCTGCTGCTGAGTGGAGAGAGGCCTCATCCGGCTTTGACCCACCATCCGTTGCAGAAGCCTCCAGGAGCAGCAATCCTAAGAGTGGGAGGCAGCCAAGACCCCCTTCCTTCAAAACCTCCCGGAAGTGGTTTCAGGCCCTCTAGTTGCCATGACCAATTTGTGTGTGTGTTTAATTTTTGCTTCAAGCTCTGTAGCAGGACCTGCCCCACGCACACCCCTACCCCTCTGTGAGGAGCTGTGGGAAGTGTGGGTTTGTCTCCAGAACAGAAGAGAATGATGGATATTCTGGCTCTGGGGCCCTCTCCACCACCACTCACAGTAGCCTTGCTGAAGCCATCACAGATGGGAGAAGGCCATGCCAGCCACGTCCGCCGAGGGGCGCCAGCCTGAAGCTGCCAGGCCCTGAGGTTCAGACCCTGGACCCCATAGCTGGAGGCCTGTGGTGCCAGAAGCCCAGATTAGGGTGGCTGTCCATCCCTGGATAGCTATTTGCACGAATCATGGACATAAATCCAAGTTGAAGAAGATCAACATTCTGACTCATGTTCATTTATGCGCTAATGTTCCCCTGTCAACCCCCTGCTTTCCTGGGTCCCTCCTTCTGTTCCCCTTTTCTTCCTTTCCCTGAGATGGTCACCATTACTCTTGAGTAATGGTGACGTATCAGGGCCTCCCTGAGGGTAGGGCAACCGGGGCAGTGGAAGGAGCCTAGGCCAGGACTCAGGGGACTTGGGTTTAAATTCCAGTCCTGCCCCTCACTCATCAGGAGACCTGGGGCAAGGCGTGGCCCTTCTGTGAGCCTCAGTTTCCTCATCCGTCAAACAGAACACCTCATCTTAACCTCAGCTGACTTGGAGAACTGTGGGAGGGAATGAGAGTAGATCAGAACTGGTTTTATAAACTCCAAATGCTGAGTGAGAGAAGCAGAGTGGGCCAAGGTAGGAGCCAAAAAGCAGGGACTCAAAGCATTGTCTAATTTCTCTCTTTTTTTTTTTTTTTTTTTAAGAGACAGTCTGACTGTGTTGCCCAGGCTGGAGTGCAGTGGCTCTTCACAGACTCAGTCACGGCACACTATAGCCTCAAACTCCCGGGCTCAAGGGAGCCTCCCACATCAGTCTCCCAAGTAGCTGAAGGAGTGCGCCACTGCAGCTAACTATCAGGTTGTTGAAAAAGTAATTGCAATTTTTGCCCCTTTTTTGTGGCAGGGGGGCCTCCCTCATGAAGATGCCACCCCTAATAGGGCTACATGGCCCTTGCAGTCTGCCTTGGCTGATCTCAGGGAGAATTGTGGGGTGGGGAGGTAGCCTTGGATTTTGCCATATGGCGAAAACCGCAATTACCTTTGCACCCACTGTAAAAAGTTTTTGTTGTCATATTTGTTCTTTTCTCATCCTCCCCCCTTTACCCTGCCCCACCTTCTCCTCCTCACTTCCCACCCAGGCGGGGGCGGCCACCATTGAAGAAGCACCACACACAGTAGGCTCAGCTGCTGCAGAAAGGCTTTTACTGGGCAGACGGGGTGAGTCTCAAGCCAGTGGACCAGTGAGGGGTGAGGGCACGTCCTCCGAAGGAGCAGGGGTGGCATCCCTGCCCAGGGGCCTTAGCCTGAATGCACTAAGGGCTGGCCCCTCAGACAGGCTCAGGGGAGGTCCGCCCACAAGGGCTTTGGGCCCCTCCCTCATGAAGACGCCACCCCTGCCATGGGGTCCGTGGCCCTTGCTGTCACATCTGCCTTGGTTGATCTCAGGGAGGTTGATCTCTCTCAGGGAGAACTGTGGGGTGGGGATGTAGCCTTGGGAGGGCCCTTCAGGAAGTAGGAGTGGGGGGTTGGGGAGTGTGGTAGACCCAGAAACTTCTGGGGACGTCAGTCATAGTTACTAATATTTGGAGGCAGTGGGAGATGCTGGCCCCAAGGTTGAGGTATCAGTTAGAGCAGAACAATTGGACCTAGAGCTGGTTTTTCCTTTGGGTTTAGGTGTAAGTGAACTATTATCATTGGAGTGGAGAACTGGAGAGAAAGGGTTGTCACTGTCCAGCACTACACAGCTGCAGGCACACAGATGGTACACATTCCCAGAAAGACACATAGGTAGACACGTGGCTGTACACCCATGCACACACACACAATCACGCATACCTGTAGGCATGTGTGTAAACACCCACATGCACCCACACCCACATGCCTGGCAGTACACAGAACTGTATGCATCCATTTGTGCCAGGCTGGGGCCTTGAGTGATAGGAAAGGGGTCTGTGATGGGTAGATAGTGTGGTTGGAGACACGGATTTCTTCCTGAACAAAGTCCCTCCCCTACATGGTGGACATGGGATGAGACGGCCTTCAGTTACTTCCTCTTGACCCCCAGGGCTGCCTGCCGCCTCATGTAGGACAGGATGTCCATCTTGACGTTGCTGACCGTGGTCCGGTGGTGCCAGCGCATGATGGGTATACCATCTGGCCCCACCAGGAACTTCTCAAAGTTCCAGCGGATGTCGTGAACCTTCATGGGTTCCCAGAAGAGGCGGTCAGATGTACCCAGGAGCTCCGAGGTGGGAGGACAGGAGTTCTAGAGCAGGGATAAGAGGAGTGTCAACCTTGCTTGAGGCCCCCTGACCCTCTTCCTTCCCAGGCCTTCCTGGGGAATAGCCTGGCCCTGAGAAAAGAGCCCCAGTTTGGGAGTTAGAAGACTGCCAGCGCCAGCTGTGGCTCTAGAAGATTGTGAGACCCTTAGTATGTTCACTCTGGGTCCTTCTGGGCCTTTCTGTAAAATGGGCCAATGAGACCCTAGTCAGGGTCTGCAGAGCCCTCTAGTTGGAACAATAGTCAGGTGCCAAGAAATTCCCCAAGAGCCCAGGAGCAGGGGAGGTGGCATGGGCCCTGACGCTGTGGGCTGGAGCCAGGAGGGGCTGCAGCCCCAGCCAGCACAGGTGGCAGCTCACTTACCTTTAGGAAAGTGTAGAATTTCTGCTCTTTCTCTCCATTGACATCCCCTTTCTCAAAGAGCTGGAAATTAGGGACAAAGCCTCCACCTGGTCGGACATACCTGTTGAGAAATGTTCTTAGGTGGGTCCCAAGGAGGTGGGCACAGGGCTCAGAAATGAGAGGAAGGGACAGAACAGGGGAGAGGGTGTTGGGAGTCTGGATTTATTCTGCAGTGGGCAGCAGGAGCCAGTGAATGTGCAGTGGGCATAGGCATAATGTGAGTCCACGGTCTTCCTTTCTAGCCTGGTCCCTTTTCAGTGTCCCTCAACCTTGGTGCTCCCTGCGGATGCACATCACAACCAGTTGTCCCTGTCCTTCTCCCTCTCTTGTCCCTTCCCTTCCCTCATTCCACTGGGGATCCTAGAAGAGGAGAGTAGTTCTTGGTGGCCGATAAATGTCCACCATGATTTGGGGTTGATAACAAGATGTGGGCCATGTGAGAGGAGCTTTCTCAGGATGCTGAGTGAGTACTCACTTGAGGGTAGGAAGGATCTCTGAGTTCTCTCCTGGTTCCTGTTTTCCAAATTGGTTGCAGGGAAAGCCCAGAATGACCAGACCGAATGGTGCAAGCTCTTCCTGTAGTGCATTCAGTTCTGGGCCAAAGAGAAAGAGCAGATGTGGGAGTATCCTGGCGAGGAGCCCTGTCTCATCCACACCACTCCCCCGGCTCACCCGCTGTGCCGCTGGAACTACTGAGGCCCGAGAAAGGGAGGGACTTGCGCAGGATCACCAGTGAGTTCACAGCAATGCTGGGACTCAGGTCCTATCCTCTTGACTCTAATCTGGATGGATTGGAGGTTTGGAGGACAAGAATAATACCCTTCCTCAAGTCAGCTGTCAGTCACCTGCCCATTGCCAAGGCCCTCCACCTGGGCCAGCTAGAGCACTCATTCAGAACCCTCAGGATTGAGTTTTCTGGAGCAAGAACTATCCATCCCTGGATACAAGGCAGAGAACTTCTTTGGGGTGAGGTTACAACCCTCCCATAATCTTTGGCAAATCAGGAACACAGATGAGGCCCTGGCCCAGCTCCCCAGTTTCCTCAGTGTCCCCTGGTCTCTTTTGCAGCAGCACCCAGCCCATCTCTTGCCCAAACGCACTCTGCTCTGTTCCAAGGCTAGAGAGAAGCATCCCAGAAAAAGCACTCACAGCCACTGGGCCACGTGACCGCCGTCCTTTCACTTCCGGGAATTCGCCTGTGATTGCCAGGCAGAGCATGGAGGGTCAAATTGCCCTTGCCTCCCTGACCCCCTGCCAGTAGACTGCTCAGCCCCAAAGCGTTTTCCCCTGGGTGCTGTCGCTTGCCTTTGGTTGCCTGTTCCCCTAGCCTCTGTATTCTACCCCAGCTAGGGAGAAAGGAGTAAGCATATCAGGAGATCATGAAACCTGCGCCAAATGCCCCATTCCACCGCTAATAGCTTTGTGACCCTGTTTAAGTTGTATCTTCGCTCTGAGTCTTGGTTTCCCATGTGTAGATTGAGAAGAGGGGAAGGCTAAACTAGATCATCTTCAAAGTTTATTTTAGAATGGGCATTAGAAGTGTAGCCTGCTCCTTCATCCCGCTACACCACGCATACACTCTGGGGCCTCGAGGCAATTGCCTGCTTTCCAGAGAGCTGCCAAGAGAAGCACCAAAGCAGATGGGGCTGAGGGAAAATAAGATATTCTCAGCAAGATGGAGCTTCAGTTACCATCTCATGCTCCAGCCAAAGGGAGCTCTAAGCACAAACCTAATCTCTATCCCTCTGCCTTTAGGGTTGTTGAGGTGCCCAGAGATGAAGAAGGATAACTAGGAATCTCCTAGAACATGTCCAAAGGCAATCAGACCTCAGGCTTATATAATCATCTTCACAAAACCACGGAACACAGTGGAGCTGAGAAAAGGGGCTTGGACTCTCGTGATTGCCATCACCCTTTCCCCCATGCACCAGAAAAGCTCCTGTGATTGAAATATGCCATACAGCCCCAAATAAAGCAGGGAGGAAGGGTGGGCTCTTACCAATGTACTGGCCCGTCAGGCCTCAGTAGCTGGCCACGTTGACAAAGAGGACGTATTTGCCAGCATACTGCTTGAAGGGGATGTACTCCTCCCCATCAATGGTGAGGGCTCCGTACTCGTAAATGGTGCCACTTATGCCACCATGGCAGTCCATCTGGAACACAGGCCATAAAAGGAGCAGTTAGAGCTGGAAAGGAACTTGGACATCTCCGTTTTCAAAAGAATGAAAGATCCCAACAGAGAGAGTGACTTTCTCAAAGTAATCACCGAGAATTGGAACTGGACTAGCACTGACGTCTCCTAATTCCTTGTTTAAGATAATGATTATGAAAGCACTTAATAAGTGCTTTTCGGGTACTTAATATTAAGTGCTTAAAAAGCACTTATTAATATTAAGCACCTAATAAGCACTTATTAATATTAAGCACTTAATAAGTGAGTGCTATGGAACCCTGGAGAATGACTTATTTTGCTAATTACTTCCACATCACATGTCAATTTCAGAACATTTACTGGGCTCTCAGGGAGACTGCCCTAAAGCTGATGACTGGGTTCCTAGACGGGCTGATGGAGACTGGTTGGGTGGCTGTTGGAATAATCCAGGCAATTGAGGATGAGAACCTGAACTAGGCCAGTGTGAAGGAAAAACTGAACAGAAAGGAGGAAGAGGCCGTATGGACATGGTGATTCAGAGGCTCCCAATCTGCAGGACAGGAAAGATGAAGCTGTTGTTACCAAATAGGGAAGCAGGACTGAGAGCCAGGCATGGGGGAAAGGGCTGTGGTGAGGTAGGGAAAAGCAACAGTACCTGCATGTGTTAATGTTCCGGGTCTGAGCAGGCTGGTGATGACCCTTATGCCTTCCTCCCTCCCCAGCTGCTGCTCACAGTCAGCCTCCAGGACAAGGAGGGACAGAGTGCAGTGGACTGTGGGCTGGGAGACCTGGGCTCCATGTCCCTTTGCCATTAACTCCCTGTGTGGTCTTGGACTGGCCCTTTCTTTTCTTCGGACCTGAGTTTCCTCATTTATAAAATGAGAACCTTGAACTGAACCAACTCTCCAACCAGGTCAACCATGATGGCTTGATAGGATCATGATCAGTGGGAGAGAGGGGATTGGGGTCACTGCTGGCTAGTAGGATGTGGCCTATGAGCCTACTCTGCCCGTGACACAGACAACAAAATTCTGAGACTATTCTTGAAAGGATGTCATTGCATCATTGACACAATTTGGCAGGTGGGCTGGTCGTGATGGGAAAGGAGAAACCTTGAAACCATTGTATAAGGTGGTCTTTAAGGTCCTTTGTGGCCCTGATATCCTTTGAGAGGTGGGCAGACAATAAACAAATGGAATGCAAAGTAGCATTATAGACCAGGAGAGGGCAGAGACAGGTGGCTGGAGTTAGAGAAGCAAATTCACTCCCTCTCTTCCCCTCAATTCTGGAGAACTTGCTGTTGAGGCAAGGTACCTGGGCCTGACCAGGTGAAGGGAGTGATATATGCTGGCAGGGCGTGGCCCCAGTAGAGTGCAGAAGAGCTGCCTCTGTCATGAAGCAGGTCTGCTGAGCTGGGCGAGGCTGCGCTTCCTCCGCCAGGCCATTCCCTGGCAGCTGCAAGCTCTCTTCTTGGCTCTGGTGCAAACTTCCTGCTTTACATGAGTCTAATATTCCACATCCGGTGACTTTTGGTGGGTGCTGGAGGCAGGCCCAAGACCTAAGATCAACATTCCTACTGCTCCTGGACCTCCTCGTTCCCAGCCAGGGCCAGTTCCGCCTTAAAATGCAGACAAACTGGGGCACAACAAATACACCCTAGACCGCCACAAAGATCTAGTGGCCAGAAAGCCAGGCATGTCTATAGCCTCTCCACTTTTTTAACTCTGCCATGATCCAAAAATGAACTCTGAGACATGGAGGAAAAAAAGATTACAGGTTGTCCTAATAATGGGAACTTGTAAACAGAAGGACCAGCTTCTGGGCACAGTTTCAGCTTGGGGGTGTGGCAAGGAGAACCCTATTTCATTAGGTTCTATTTTTTGCTGGCTGTGTGGCCCTGAGCAAGTCACTTACACTGTCTGGGCATATGTCCAGGGAGATAAGCATGCTGCTGCCCAAAATGGTTGTGGGAATCTGCTGGCAGAGCAAAACAGGCCTGGAGTCTCTTGGAACGAAATCTCATGTCAAGGGATAGTGGGGGTCAGAAGGTGGCCCATGGGTGGAGAGCCACGGCTGTGCTCACCACTGATCACTGCAACTCAGTCCTCTATGAGCCCCCTTCCCTTCTCTGGGCACGTGGAATCCCAGAGCACCGCATCTGAAACAGTGGCCAGAGGAGATAAGGGGAGAGGCCATGAGGGTGCCTGAATCCTCCCACAGCCGGGCAAGAGAAGAGGGTTCCAATGGCTTGAGAGTTGGATGATGGGACTCAGCCAGGACTCTGGCTGGCTGGGGCTGCTGGTCTTGTGTCTTTCTCCTCTCCCGTCTTATTACTCCTATCAATATGATGCTGTGAGAAGTGGTCTGGGAGTCAGGAGACCTGAGTGCTGGGCTTTGCTGTGTCTCTGATGCCATGTGACCCCCTTTGCTGGGGCTCCAGCTCCTCCATTGTAAGATGGAGTCAGGTTCAGGGCTGTCTTAAGGGCCCTTTAACTCTGTCAGCCTGTGGTTCCATGATTCTCTCTGCCAGGTTTAGTCACCTAGAAACCAGCAGTTACTAGGATCCCGTGCACGTCAGCAGTTGTCACTCTTTCCGGCTTCTGCAGTCCTTTTGTAGAGACAAGGAGCGTGGGCAGCCTGAAGTTGGACTGGGGAGGTGACGCAGCAAGAAGAGGAGGACCTGGTCTCTTCCCTAGCATCTCCCTTTCAATTGGTAGGAGGAAAACACCTCTCTGGGGCTGAGTCACCTTTCGTCCATTCCATTCTCCACATGCCCCATAACCCTATCTCTTTACCCTGGGGTTGGGGGTAAGGTGAGTGGTTGGGTCCTAACCCAGAGCTAAGACATCTGAACTCTAAGAACTTGGGAGCAGAGATGGGCATGCCCAGGCTTTCATTAGCCAGCAAGTCCTGACTGGTTGTATGTGATATGATCACACCTCACCCTAAAACTTTTCTAGACCATCCCCATCCTATTCTCTCTGAGTCCATTTATCCTTCCCCAGAGTGCTGCAGAGAAGACACAGCTATGATGAGTTATTCATGGAGTCCACGTTCTCCCCACTAGCCTTCTTGAGGCAGGGCCCAATTGTATCTTCTTTGACCTTTCCAAAACTGAAGGTTGGGACTGACTCCACGGTGCTGGCCTGTCTATGGCCCACCCCAAACCTCAATGTTGAAAATCGATCCCATTCCTGACCTGGAAAATGCCTTCTGAGTTGGGGATTATGAACAGGGATGGATAAAAAGGAGGGGACTTGGACGAAGTGGCTTCACATCCATTTAGACTGACTCCAAGGAGAGGCTGATTAATCGGATTTAGGCTGAGGACCGAAAAGGGGTGAGTAACATGGAAGGAACCCTGTGCTTCCAATGGGCTTCCTGAGAAGTGGACAGAATTTTGGAAACGGAATCCTAGACTCATAAGAACTTAATTAAAGTGAAGACCCAGAGGATTTTAGAAACAAAAGCTCAGAGCTTGCAAAAATGTGAGTTATGCATGTTGGGAAGTTGGAGACAGAAATCGCTCGCTTTGAGTCTATCCCTACACCTGGCTTCTGCCTCCTTCCCCACCCACTCCCACTCCCTGGGTAGAGGAGAGGTCTACAGAGCCCACCCCAGTACATACTGTCAAAGGAGATAAGCATGCTGGGTCATCCCACTCCTGGCCTCAGTATCCCCACTCCAGGTGTGGGCCACACACCTGCTGGAAATAGACTGAGGCTCTAGAGAATTCTACCTCTTCTTCTGAATTAGCAGTCCCCAGCTTTCTCCAACTACCAGGTTTCCTCAGGCTAATGAGGACAGTGGGTCCTGGGTAGTGAGGCTGCCCCAGGGGAGGAAATTTCAGAGAACAGCTTGTGGATTTTTCAGCTTCTCCAAGCATCCCCTCTGAGGCCCTCAGCTTCATTGTGCCCCATGCACTCCCACCCCCAAACTCTCCCCTGCAGATGGAGAAACGGGGGTCCAGGAGCAGGTAAGGACTCAGGGTCCTGAGTGTTCTGCACTGTCACTCCAGAGCTCTTTCTAGCACAGATCTCTGCCTCTTCTACCAATGCCCTGAATCCAAGTGGCCATTTCTACCTGCCTGTATCATTCTTGGGGTAGAAGAGCCCCCCACAGCAGTTCTTCAGGACCAGGACCACCCAGCTGCCTCTCTCCTTTCTCCTTGTCTCTCTCCCTGGGAACTTGCACAGCCCACCCAGACGCTGGGCATTTTTTTCTGTGACGCCCTCCCTCTTAGGCCCTACTGAAGGGGAGCAGCTCAGGCACGGAGGTGACATAGATGTAGCAAGGCGACCCTCGAGGTGGCAGTGGGGAGAAAGTGCGAGCTCGGGGAGAGAGACCTTCCTCCCTTAGTCATTCTGCCCGCCTGAAGCACCAGGTCTCGGCTCTCCAACAGATGGAACTACGAGACGACGACGGTCGGGGGCGGGGTCCCGGCGGCGGAGGGGGCGGCAAAAGGGGTTCAGGAGGTCTCTCGCACCTGGGGATTGCCCATCTGGCGGGGAGCCTGGGAAAAGGGGTGCATTGCACTGAGCGCTGGACACCGAGGGGCTAGGTTTTTTCTCCCGGCCCCCGGCCCGGAGGCTCACTCACCTTCGACTTCTCTTGTCCCCGGCTCTGCGAGACGAAGCCGGCCAGGAGCAGGGAAAGCAGGCAGGACGCCTGCAGCAGCCGGGCCATGGCGGGGTGGGGGCACACTCAGGGTCGCCTGAGCCGCTGCCTGATCCCTGGCCACCGTCCGTCTGAGGTGTCCGGCGCTCCCAGCCACCTTTCAAGCCCTCGGGTGTGACCAATCCGCGGCCAAGCCGAGACCCTTGCAGCCAATCGCTAGGCGGCTGGGATTTCAGGGGCGGGCGCGACTTGCCCTCAGCTCCCCACCTCCCCGTCCCGGGGCGACAGTGACATAAGCAAATCTGGGCAGAGAGGTGGAAGTCAGGTCCCTGTGGACGTGGGAGGCGGTCCCTTCCTCTTTTGGCTCCAAAGTGCGAAAGGAGGCAGACACAGCGGTCTCCATTACAGCCAGGGCAAGGGGGCTAATAGCTCCCTAGAACTGATGGAAGTCTCCATTCTGGGAAGCATTTCTTATTCCTATCGAGGTTTTAAAAACACCTGGCGATGGTCCTCTGGAAATTGAGGGTTTAAAATTTCAGCAAGAGCTGAAGTTAAACTTCCAGAAACATTTACTATATATAGGTTTAGTGCTTAAGAAACAAAGAGTGGGTGTCCTGGGATTTTGAAAACCCCATTCTGGGTAGGGCATTAGGACTGTAGGGACAGAGAAGGTGGGGTGCCTTTCCTCCCCATCATAAGGATCACAGCTGACATGCCTGTAGAAAAAGGTTAGCAAGAGAAAAGCATAACGATTTATTTAATTAAAGTTTTCTGTGACATGAGAGTCTTCAGAAATGAAGACCCAAAGACTCAAGGAAAACTCTATTTTTAGGCTTAGATTCTATGAAGACCATGGAAATGCGCAGAAATGTGAGTGGGGAAAAAGGGAATGGTCTAATAGTAATAAACTGAGTGGGAAACCCAGCAAGGCTTGTCTGTTCGTATTCTTCTTGGCCTATCTGTGGCCAAACCACCTGGCTTAGAAGCAGAAAATAAATTTGCTCCCTGTGTAGTCTTTAACATGTTGCAGTTACTCTCTGGGCCTCAGTTTCCTCAGCTATGTAATGATGGGATTGATTAGTGATCTCCAGTGCCCTTCTGGCTCTGGCTAGATGACTTGTTTCTAAAGTAAGTGACAGACGGAGACCAGGAGTCCTTTGAGAATAGGGCCCATAATCACCACCTGGCACAGGGCCTAGCACACAAGAGATGTAAAGTATTTGCTGACTTAATCATTCATTACATTAAAAAAACAAAATCTCCATGGAACACTTAGGATCAGACCAGGCAGTTCTAGGGCTGGGCTGTCTAGGTATGATCCCGTTCACAGATGGGGAATGTGATGGAATCAGTCTCAAATCTCTCTGACCACCAGAGTCAACTGGGAAGCCTTTAATACAGATTCCTGGACCCCACTTTGGAATCACTGCATTAGAATCTCTAGGGGCAGAAGCTGAAAATCTGTCTTCAGACATGTTCTAAGGTTATTGTGAGGCAGTTGGCCTGGCTGTAGCCTTGGTAGTGTGAGTCCTAGGATTAAGTGCCTTCTGGAACTTTCTTCTGACCAAGAAATGCCTTGAGAAACCATACCTTTACTATGATTAAAGGTATTAACATCCCCCTGGGAATTTGGAAGATGTCTCTCAAGTTTTGCATTCTCTACGAAGTCTTCCCACCTCAAACCACAGCCTGTTGAAGTGGAAGGAACCACAGAGGCCAGGAAGTCTTTAGCTGAGTTAAAGCCTGGGAGCATATGAACAATGGCTGACACACAGTAAGTGCTCAATACGTTTTATTCAACCACCTCATTTCCCTGAAGCCTAGAGATGAGGAGCAATTTATCCAAGTTCCCATAACCAACTGATGGCAGGGAGGGAACCAGAATCCAGGTCTCTAGACTCAGTCTCAGGCCCTCTCCATGTTGTTCTGTTGTCTTTTAAGGTTCGTATTTACCCTAAAATATAAACATCTGTGTGCACATCAGTTTGTCAGAAATCCATTGTTCATTAGTATCAGTAGGCATCTAGTGACCCTCAAAATAGGCACCTAGCAACATGTTAACACCATGAGAGATGCTAAAGAGTTGTCTAAAAGCCAAAGTCCCTGCTCTCAAAGGTGTTTCCAGCAGATACCAGCAGGGTGAGGGAAGGGAAGGCACCTAGGGTCACACAAGTGCAGGCTGGCACCTGGCAGCGGGCATCTCTCTACATTTTGCACCCTCTATGTCTCACTTGTCTCACCTTAATCCCAGCCCTGGTGGTCTATTTCTTTAGGGGAGACAAGAAGGAGCCAGAGACCTGAGATGCTACCCCTGGATTGCTACGGAAAGTAATAAAATTACTTTCCTTCTCTGATCTCAGTTGTCCACCTATTTAACAAGGATCTTTGACAGTCTCTCAGTGGTGGTGTCTGTGGCTTTTCATTCCTAAGAGTATAAGGAAAGCCTGAGCCATACAAAACAGGAGTACAAAACTGATGACATGGACAGTGGGGTGGGGAGGCTTGGGGAGCCTGCCCTGGCATTAAGAAGGGCTTTCATGCTGCAGTGAGCTTTCAAAGGAGGTCTAACCATTGGCACAAAGAGCATGACAGTGAAAACAATGAGAATGAAAACAATACTTCCCAATCTTTTCATCAGCAGCCTTTTAAATACATTTGGTTGACTTGTTTTCAAGGACCCTATGTTTTGAAATATATCGTTCTCCACCAGGCTGCTTCTGATTGCCCTCAGGTTAAAGTCTAAATTCCTTAGCACTTCAGAAAGTGCCCTCAAAATCCATCTGCTTCTTCCTCTTTTGCCACACTCTCCATATTCTCTCTGCCTCCGCTACACTGGACATTTTTCCGTTCTTGCAGTCTGCCATTCTCCCTCACTTCCAGGTTTCATCTCTGCTGTTCCCTGTGCTTGGAACAGAGGTTGTCTCCCTTTAACTGGTACTATCCTACTCATTTTTCATATCTCCACTAATGTCACGTCTTAAGACAGGGGTTTCGTGATGGTTCCCTTGTTTTCCTGTAGTTCCTAGAGTATTTGACACTTTGTACATCGACCCTTTGTTGTACTTTATCATCATTTCTTGTTTGTCTATTTTCTGCACTAAATTATAAGATCCAAAAAGGCACCAGCACCAGCACAGAGCTTAATACATAGTAGTTGCTTGATACATATCTATCAAATAAATTAATGTCAAGGAAAACAATATTTGGCATATAGAATAAGGAGAGCTTCAAGTTAGCAAGTTGTAACCATGTAGAGCCCGCAAGACTGGTCTGATTTCATCTTCTAGGAAGATTCAAGACGTGCGGGTTATGATGAGTAGGCTTGTCAGAGGAGAGTAGATGATTTGCATTGGCCAAAATGGGAAGGGAGGGATGGAAGGAGAAGCTGTAGAAGAATCATAAGCTAGTTTTGCTTCCAGTCTGAGAACACGTCTTCCGCATTCCAGACAAGTGAGCACTCGGAACCTCTTCATCCTATTTTTTAGAGACCTCTATAGGGAGCTCACTACTTACCTACTTGGTAGGTGAACAGAGACCGAAGATGACTTAAAAAGAGGTTTTACAAAAAGTGCTGATGCACTGTGTCTTCAAGGAAGATAGAACACAAATTAATAAACTCAAAGGATTGTAAAAAGTTAAAACAACGAAAGCCAGCCTTATTATTGGTTAGTAAACATTTCAGGTTCTGAACTCAAAGATGGGATCAGCCACTCTAACTGATGAGCCTAGGTGGAAGCAGAAGTGAGGCCCAGCCTGCGTCACTTCAGTGCCAACTTCAAACAGTAGCCCTTGTTTTGCAATCGAGAGAAATTGCAGAACCGAGCTGGGGCCCTGGAGCTGCCAATTTCCTAAATAATTGGCAAATTTGATCTCAGGGCCAGCCAGAAGACAGGGAGTTCATCAAGAGGAGAGGTGGGTGGCTGTAGTTTTTGCTTGTGAAACTAGTGCCTTCCAAACTCTGGGCTGCAGTTTTCTCATTTATGGAACGAGGTGTTAGACAAGTTGATCTCCATGGGCCAAGCTTTAGCATAAAGAGAGTAGCAGCCAGCATTCACTCAATATCCTATCTATACCAGGTGCTGCCTTAGATTAATTAATCTCTGCAACCTCTTGAGGTAGCCAACATTATTATCCCCATTTTGTAAATGAAGAAACTAATACATAGAGAGGTTAAGCAACTTTGCTTAAGGTTATGCAGTTGGTAAGTCACAGAACCGGGATTCTGACCCACACATACTATTCTGCTGTGAGCAGATCTCTGTAAACCTACCCCACCCCCGCGCCAGCCAGTCAGAGGAGGCTGAGAAGCTGAAGAAAGAAGCTGACATACCCAGTTTCTCAGAAAGAAACATTTATTAGGGACTTAGAAACAGAAGCCACAGAAGTCTTAGGTGGCTGTGAAGTGAGATAGTGGATCCCCAAGCTATTACCCCTCCTCAGCCCAGGGCTTATATAGCATAGGGAAGGGGCGATTTCCCTATTGAAGGGATGTGTAGGCCAACTGAAGTGTGAGAATATTAAGTTTGTTTTCACCTAAGGGGAATATTTATGTTAAGGACATGCTCTTACACAAGGAAGAGTAGATAAACTGAAAACCTTAGCGGCTTTCCTGGAACTGGAGTTAATCAGAAATCAACATGGTTGAATCAGCATCCTAGACAGAGTGTCTTTAGCCTCCGCATATACTGTCTCCAGAGCCCTTGCCATTAACCTCTAAGCCAATATAGCAGGCAGGCCATGGGCGTGTGTGGCTGTTGCACGCTTGGAGTAGGGCTAGTACAAACTGATCTGTGCTGTGAGTATAAAACACACAGTGTTTTCTGAAGACTTAGTGTGATAAAAGAATATAAAATATCTTAATTTAATAAAATTGCATATGGAAATATTTTAAATATATTTTTAATATAGTGGGTTAGCTGAGCATAATGGCTCACGCCTGTAATCCCAGCGCTTTGGGAGGCTGAGGTAAGAGGATGGCTTGAGCCCAGGAGTTTGAGACCAGCCTGGGCAACATAGTGAGACCACATCTCTACAAAAATTTTCAAAATTAGCTGGGCAAATCACTGGAGCCCAGGAGATTGAGGCTGCAGTGAGTGGTGATTGTACCACTGCACTCCAGCCTGGGTGACAGAGTGAGACTCTGTCTCGAAAATAAAAATAAAAGAATAATAATATATTGGGTTGAAGAAAACATGTGCTTAAAATTAGTTTTGCCTGTTTCTTTTTGGTTTTTAAAATATAGCCACTAGAAAATGTAAAATTACATGTGACTCACATTATATCTCTGTTGGATAGCACTGGTTTCAGCTGTATACTCTTAAGGGACTGGCACAAGATTATGATTGACTCTGTGAAATCTAGGCTTAACTCCTGTTGGGGGTCCCCAGATCACCTCTAGGTTCAGTGATTTGCTAGGAGGACTCACAGAACTCAGCATATAAGTACACTGACACTATGATTTATTACAGCACAAGGTTACAAAATCAGCAAAGGGAAAAGGTGCATGGGACAAAGTCTGGAAGAAAACAGCCACGAGATTCCCAGAATCATCCCCCAGCTGAATTAAGCACACAGGATGTGCTTCATTCCTTTGTCAATGAACTGTAACAGCATGTGTAAAATGTTGTTTACCAGGGAAGTTCACTGGAGACTCAATGCCAGGGTTTTTGTTAGGGGCTGGTCACATAGGCATCCTTGGCTAAGCACATACCAGAATTCTAAACTCCCAGAAGAAAATTAGGCAGTCAACAGAAACTGCATTGTTTGTCCAGTTTAGGCATAATGAGCTACTCTTATTAGTTTGGGGAATGGTGGAAATCCTTCTGAAATAGAAGTTCCCAAGAGCTGACCACAGGCCAAGTGTAGCGGTCTAAGGATCATGGTCTCGGGCCTGTACTACTAACAATTTGCTACACATTTCTCAATTAAGCCTCAACAGGACCTGGCCTGGCAAATACTAGGTTTGTTGGGCTTACCTGAAATGGAGTTGTCTTAATCCGTTTGGGCTGCTATAATAAAATTCTATAAACTGGGTGGCATGTAAATAACAGATTTATTTCTTACAGTTCTCAGGCTGGGAAGTCCAAGATCAAGGATTTGGGATCAGGTGAGGACCTGCTTCCTCATACATGGCTGTCTTCTCACTGTACCCTCACATGGTAGATGGGGTGAGGGGCCTTTCTTGGGCCTTTTTTATAAGGGCATTTATTCCATTCATGAGTGCTCCATCCACCTTTATGACCTAATCACCTCCCAAGTTCCCACCTCCTAATAGCATCACTTGGGGGTTAAGATGTCAATATAGCCAGGCGCAGTGTGGCTCACGCCTGTATTCCCAGCACTTTAGTAGGCCGAGGCAGGCGGATCATGAGGTCAGGAGTTCCAGACCAGCCTGACCAACATGGTGAAACCCCATCTCTACTAAAAATACAAAAATTAGCCAGGCATGGTGGTGTGCGCCTGTAGTCCCAGCTACTCAGGAGGCTGAGGCAGGAGAACTGCTTGAACCAGGGAGTTGGAGGTCGCAGTGAGCTGAGATCGTGCCACTGCACTCCAGCCTGGAAGACAGAGTGAGACTCTTAAAAAAAAAAAGTCAATATCGGAATATGCGGGAGGGGGAACACTCAGACCATAGCAGGAGTTAATGACTCCCTCTGCCTGCAAAGCCCACTTAGAGGGAGAGTTATAAAAAGAAGAATCCCTAGAGACTAGCTCATTCCACCCTCTTATGGGAGAGGCTAAGGCTTCAAGAGACTGAATGATTGGTCCAGGGTCCCATAGCAAATACAAGCACCTATGAGAATCACATTTATCTATGCTAGATATAGTTCCAAGCTTTCAGCCAAAATGTCCCTTCCCTCCTCTTGGATCTATATGCTTCTGGAACATAAAGCACCTACCCTTTGCTCTATTTCTTAGTGGTAAGGTGCCCTACCTATGTCTCTGCTAGCCCCTCTCCACCTACTCTCCATACTTTCTTTCTTTTTTTTTTTTTTGCGACGAAGTCTCGCACTGTCTCCCAGGCTGGAATGCAATGGCATGATCTCAGCTCACCGCAACCTCCGCATCCCAGGTTCAAGCGATTCTCCTGCCTCAGCCCTTTGAGTAGCTGGGATTATAGGCACCACCACCATGCCCAGCTAATTTTTTGTATTTTTAGTAGAGACGGGGTTTCACCATGTTGGCCAGGCTGGTCTCGAACTCCTGACTTCGTGATTCGCCTGCCTCGGCCTCCCAAAGTGCTGGGATTACAAGGGTGAGCCACTGCGCCCGGCCACTCTCCATACTTTCTAGGTTATTGTTCAGCTGGGAGACTATACTGCTGTAGTAGCAATAACAATCTTCATAAACAGTCACTAAGCAGTAAGCAACCCACATCCTACTTCCCATGGGCTACCTACCAATGCACAAACCATTGAGGACTGGCGGGACTAATGAGTTCTAGAGTAGAACTACCAGAGGGGCTGCCTCTCTTCGCCCAGCCTGACCACAGCTAACAAATGGCCAGGTCATGTTCACATCATTCTTAGCCCTTTCCCAACTCAAAAGGTTCATGTCAAGGGGACTTGTGGGCTATACTTCAGAAAGTTCTGACTCCGGAGTTCTGACCCTGTCTCAGTATGTGCTATATAGACTAGTTCCTTCTCTCGAAGCTTTGGATTGTCTCCAACTGTGAAATAAGGAAATTAAAAGTCTAGGGTTTTTTCTGTCCCAGTCAATCTGCGGGTGGACAGTTTCTCATGAGTTGACCCCAGGCAGGGAGTCCTTGAGGACGAATGGGGTGGTACTCTGCACGGTCTGCCCAGGGACAATTGGGTTAGAGGGGGAAGGTGGATGATGGGCAAATCATGTGTCTACTTTTTTTGTGGCTATGGCTACTGTTTACCTCAAATGGTTATTCTGAGTTTGAAATGAGCTAGAACACTTAGTTCAGAGTCTGCAGATTACCACCCCTACCCCATCCCCTGCAAGAGGGAGGGGTTGGATCTGACGTCTCTGGTCCCTAACTTTCTTTGGACATGCTTTGCCACCACCTGGCTGGGTAACTTCAGCTGAAGTAGGTTCACCTCTCTGAGGCATGACCTTCCCCAGCTGTTGAATGGGGGTCAATAATTTCTGCCCAGTCTGCCTGGTAAGCCTTGTAGGAGGCCTGATACAGTGTAGAGCTGAAAGCCACTAGAATGTGGACTCCAGAAAGGACTGAGGAATTGTTATATTCTTTTCCTTCCAATTTATCAATTTATTCTTTGTCTCCAAAGCCATGTCTTGTAGATGCCTTTGTCTCATGTTACTGAGCTTTTTTTTTTTTTTTTTTTTTTGAGACAGAGTTTTGCTCTTGTCGCCCAGGCTGGAGTGCAGTGGTGCTATCTCAGCTCACTGCAACCTCCGCCTCCTGGGTTCAAGCGTTTCTCCTGCCTCAGCCTCCCGAGTAGCTGGAATTACAGGCACCTGCCACCACACCCAGCTAATTTTTTGTATTTTTAATAGAGACGGGCTTTCACCATGTTAGCCAGGCTGGTCTTGAACTCCTGACCTCAGGTGATCTGCCCACCTTGGCCTCCCAAAGTGCTGGGATTACAGGCGTGAGCCACTGCGCCCAGCCCATTACTGAGCTCTTAAATATACTAAACTTAGTGTCAGTTAATTCAACAGGTGTTCCTTAAGCACCTACTCTGTGCTTTGCATTGCAGCAACTGCTGAGGATTCAGGATTCAGAGTGAATAAGACAGGACTCCTGCCCTTGAGGCACTTACAGTCTGGTGGGGGAAGGACAGCCAATTAACACGGCTGCACAGGTGATGGATGCTGTCATCAGGGAAGGTGGCGCAGACGGATTCCTAGCCCAGATCAGTGGCAGCAGGGCCAGCTTCCAGTGGGAGTGGCGAGTAAGCTGGGAAAGAGCAGGAGGGGTTAGTTGGGTGAGAAAGAGGGAAAAAGAGGAAGAGGTAGGGACAAAGAGAAAGAGTGATTGGGGCTGAGAGAACCACTGGATCAAAGGCTGGTTGGCGTCTTCCAGCCTTGATACTCCATGTCCTGTGTGGCTGGAATGGAAAGTTCAAGGCAAAAAGTGACAGGAGATGAGGCTGGAGAAGCAAACAAGGGCAGGTGGAGATGAGCTTTTCCAACCTTGGACTTTGTCTTGAGGACAATAGACAGAAGAAGCCCCCTACCCCATCACTTTGTTTCATTATTCTTTTATTGCTTTTTGTGATTTTAGATGATCTCATTCATTTTTAAAATCTACCTATTTATGGCCTGTCCCATTTTCCTCCCAATTAGAATGTAAGCAACATGAGGTCAGAGGCCACATCTGTCTTATTTTCTCTGCTGTAACCTCAGCCCCTAGGAGAATACCAGGCACGTAGAGAGTACTCAATAAATAGTTGAATAATGAAGAATGAATGAATGAATGAGGAAAAGGAAGGACAGAAAAAGATTCTCAAGTGTCCCTTAAGCCTTGTCCTTTGTCTTCATTAGGAACAAGCCGCTCCCTCCCCAGCCCTGATAGGGGAGGGAAATGGCTTAGAAAATTTTGTCTCTTCCCTTTAGGAGGTGAAGTGCAGGTGAGGGTGGGAGATGGGCTGGGAAGAAGAGTCTGGAGAGCTGGCCCTGCAGCTGAATGCCTCACTGAGTGCTGGATATCAAGCCCCTTTTTAAAGGGGTCTGTGGTCCATGGGAAATAGCCTGGCCCTCACACTGGACCCCCAAATACTGTAAGGCACTTTGGGCAGAATTTGTTTTTGCTCGACTTCTCAGTCTTTGGTGTATTGCTCTCATAGGCATTATCATACCAGAAATGTCCTTCAAGCTGATCTAGTTCCTTGCTCCTCAGAGAGTGATCCTTAGCTCTGCAGCACTGGCATGGCCTGGGAGCTCGTCAGACATTCAGAATCTCAGGCTTTTTCCCAGACCTACTGAGAATCAGAATCTACATTCAAACAAGATCATCAGGTGACTCAGAACCTCATTCAAGTTTGAGAAGCATTAATCTAGTTCAACCTTTCATATACAGCTGGGGAAACTGAGGCCCAGAGAGGAGAAGCAATCAGCCTAGTGAATAAATAACGCAGATGATGCTGGAACACAGGGTCCCCTCTTCTCTTTCCAGAGCTTATTTTTCTCAGCTCCTTAAATCAAAGATGAAACAAGGTTTGTTCTGACTGAGCTCCAGACTGACCAGAGTTTAAAGTTGGAAATGCCTCTGCAGCTACCAGAACTCTGGCTTTGTGGCTGCATTATTGTCTGGACTCCACAGACATTCCCGCTGCTGCCTGCCCTACTCACTAATTCTGATCTTTGCCTGCCTGATCTGATAGGGCATCTGGGTTCTAGTTGGCTTTGCTGTCTACTAATTAGCTATTGATTTGGGTAAGCAATTCTTTTTAGGTCTTGGTTTCCCCATCTGCAATATGAGAATAATAATAATCCTACCTCATAGGATTATTGTGAGGATTACATGAGAAAATTCTTTAAACCCAACTAGTGGTAGTAACTAACAGGATGTTGCAGGCTTTGTATGTGTCAGGGACTGTGCCAAAGGCTGCAAATGCATTATATTTGATTCCCACCACATCCATTTTACAGATGAGGATACAAAGTCGTAGAAAGGCTAAGTGGGGCTGGGCGTGGTGGCTCACGCCTGTAATCCCAGCACTTTGGAAGGCCAAGGCAGGCGGATCACCTGATGTCAGGAGTTCGAGACCAGCCTGGCCAACATGGTGAAACCCCATCTCTACTAAAAATACAAAAATTAGTCGGGTGTGGTGGCGTGCGCCTGTAATCCCAGCTACTCAGGAGGCTGAGGCAGGAAAATCACTTGAACCTAGGAGGTGGAGGTTGCAGTGAGCCGAGATCGTGCCATTGCACTCTAGCCTGGGCAACAAGAGCGAAACTCTGTCTTAAAAAAAAAAAAGAAAAGAAAGGCTAAGTGACGGTCTACCTCACACGCTTGCTTGTGACCGCTTTGCCATGTTGCCCATTTGCAGAGCATTTTAGAGAGGATACAACCTCCCTCCACTTCCCTTTCCTAACCTGGTCCCCAGGATAGGTCTATGGGGTAGGCACTATTGCTTCATGCTTCACATGAAAATTTGAGGATCAGAGAGAGGATTTGCCCGAGGTCGCAGAGCTTGTACATGGCAGAGCTGGGTAATGAAATGGGCTTTCTGATGCCCCATCAGTAACTCTCCACCATAGTACCTTACATGCAATAACTACACATGATATAGTTGGAAACATAATCCACATGGATGTAAGACGTTATTTTTAACCATTTCCCCCTCTCGTTCCTCCTTCTTTAACAAGATATCTCCTATTCTGAAGCCCCTTTGAAGCTGTTGCTACATGGAGGCATTCATTCCTTTGTCCAATCTGTTTCTCTTCAAATACCCCCTCTCACCACCGTCCCCCTCCTTTGATGGTGGTGTGGGAAGAGTAGCATTGAGCTGGGAATTAGAATATCTGGGTCTTTGTCTCTCAGCCTTTAACCCCTCACTGGGCTATTGTCCAGTGTGGACTAGATAATCTGTAACATCTTCTGATTTAAGCCCATCTGTGCTCCCGCTGATACTAACTGACACCTTGCATGGGCAGGGCTGGAGACTCTCCAGGGCAGAGAGTATCTGTCATGCCTGCCAGGTCCGCTGTACCCTCCTAATGCTGCGGTTCTCCAAGCAGATTTATAGTCTCTCTCATGTTTAATCCTCATTCTTAGAACCACACCTCTGGCCTTCCTCTGGCCCTGGTTCAGCAAGACCCCTTGCATAGATTGCTAAAGCCGGCCTCACTCTGAAGAAATACAATTTTCAACTTGACATTAGGTGGTTATGGAACCATGACTCCTACGGAAGTCTGTGATTTCAAAGCCCTGTGCAGTAGGAACTGCCATGATATCTATTTTACACTTGTAGAAACTGAGGTTTACAGAGCCGAAGTGACTTGTCCAAGGGTTGCTGTGAGCCATGAAGCTAAAAACTGTAATGCAGGTTTTCTGACTGATGTTTCAGTGCTCTTCCTTATGTCCCTCCATTTTTTTTTTTCATTCATTTTCCATGTTTATTTATTGAGCACTGACTCTAGACAGGCCTTGGGTGGGGCACTAAGCATGTGGTAGTGAATACAACAGATGTGCTTCCTGCCATCATGGCGAGGAAGACCGTATTAAACCTTATGCTTCTTACACTATATTAAGTTGACAAATTCACATCAACTATAAACTTCGTATTTTTGGAGGGGAAAAGTTTTTTTCACCTTACCTGGTTTCTTGCTTCTCCTACAACTTTCTGTTTGTTCATGCTCCTCCCATTCAAGTCAGGGCCCTGGCTAAAGTCTGGGGAGGTCAGGCCCAGCAGCCAGAAGCGTCACCCCAGGCTCTAAGCCCTCCTCCCCTGCCTGTTCCGAAAGCAGCCACTGCTTCTCCCATTGACAGTGGGGACAGATAACACAGAGGCAGGGCCCCTGGAAGAAAGATTTCCTACACAGGGTCTGGTCTCTCATCATGGCTTGTGGGTCAGGGTGGAAAGGGCTGGAAAGGTGACTGGGACCCAGGCTGATTCATTAGTGTTATCGCTTGGCCAGCCCAGTCAGACAAATACAAGATCTGCTTGGCCAGCCCAGTGAGACAAATACAAGATCCTTATTTATTGAGGCTCAAGCCTCAAACTAGGCTCTGGGAAACATGAAAAGAGTGTTGCATGAGAACCCTGGTTTTGGCATCAGAGAGACCGGGATTCAAAGCCCAGCTCTGCCCCTTTGTAATTGTTGCAGCTTGGGCAAGGCGTGTTTCCTCATTTGCCAAGGGGATTTTGTATGGAGTAAGTAATGCATGTGAAAGCGTCTGGTGCAGTGCTTGGGATATAGTCCCTCCTCATTACATGGTTATAATTATTAAAGATGCCGGTGGTGACATCAGTGCTTTAGTTATGGGGTAAGTGCCTGAACTAAGAATCCTGGAGGTCATGGAGCCTGGGAATCTGACCTCTAGCATCCCACCAGCCCTCTGGCAGCCCATCCCACTGTCCTCTTAAAGTGCCTCCCTTCCCTGCAATGCACCACCTGCAATTCTATAACTCGTCAAAAGCTCTGTGGTCCCAGATAAGTCCGAATCTCTCTGGTCCACCCTGTTCTTACTGTAGCATGACAAGTTAGACCAGATGACCTCTAAGGGGTCCATCTGGCTTTAAAAGTCTTTGACAAGTTTCCTATGGTCTCCTTGGGAGAAGTACTTTGTGTTCAAGGTTCTGTCTTCTTCTTATCCAAAAAGGAGGAATGTGGGTTTTCAGGACTTTAGAATACCCTCAGAGAAGGTCCAGCTCTCCTCTCATGCACACATACCCCTGTTCTACCTCTCCATTTGCATATAATAGCTGAGATTAATTTAGTACCAACTATGGGCTAGGCGCTATTCTAAGCACTTTTAAAAGTGCTTTTATAAATTAGGTATACTATAAATTGCATTTTATAGTTGAGGAAACTGAGGCACAGAGGAGTTATGTACTCCAAGCTAGCAAGTGGTGGAGATGGTCTGGTTCCAGGACCTGCACTTCTACCCAACTTCTGCTCTTCACTTCCTTCCCACACTTCACTGAAGCTCAGAGAGTGAAGGGGACTTGCCCAAAGTCACACAGCAATTTACACAATGATCTCTGATCATTAAGCCATTGGAAGAGCCAGATTAAGGGCAAATAGAAGCCAAAGGTTAAAATGTCTTGGCCTCTCCCATTCTACATCCTCCCTCCACCCCCTGTTCCCATGGGCTATTTACTAAAAGCAGAGAGGCCTAGGGTGCGGTCTCATGGGGAAGTGCCAAGGCCAGGCGGGCCCTGCGGTGGTCAGCCCTCCTCTGAATGAAGCCTGGCTTCTTCGTCTACCCTCCCAGGCAGCAGCAGCACAATCAGTGGGGTGGAAGTGCCCAGGGTGGAAATGGGAGCAGGGCTGGAGCAGGAAAATAGAAAGAAAACAGGGCAGTGGCCAGGATTAGGGCAAAAGGATAGGGTGGAGGGGGAAAGACATGACCAATATGTTTTAAATGTCCACTGTGCGTGCCTAACACAGTGCTAAGCACTTTCCCTTACATCCTGAGATGAAGGTCCCATTATTACCCCATTTACGCAGGAGGAAACTGAGGCTCAGAAGGTTGAGTTATCCTGTGTGTCTACTGTGAAACGTGTCCTCTTTCCACTGAAGAAAGGGAAGGAATGACAGCAGAGTAGGAGAGGAAGGAGGAAAGAGGAAGAGAGCCAGATTCGGGAGAAAGGAGAAGAAAGTGAGTATGGGGCCTTGGCGCTCTGCCCCAGCAAGGGCAATGGGCCCAGAGTCATCCTCATCTCCCAGAAGGCTCACTGGGGAAATGTTTATGAGAAACCTCAACATTCAGAAGGGGCATGACCTTCCAGCTGGCTGTCCCGTGACTGCTGCTGGCTATAAACAGCCTGCTTATTAACCCCAGGAACCTGGCTCCTCTGCCACTTAAGGGATCGCCTGGAATGGGTGGGTTTGGAGAGCAGGAGGGTGCCTCGCCAAGAATTTGCAGACCAGGAGGAGTGGCTGCTAGGAACTAGATGATTTGTAGAGAGCTGGGCCAAAGGGGGCCCCCTCTGCTCCCACCCCTTGCAGAGTTGCTCAAGACGACATAGTGAGTTAATGTGCCCTAAAAGCCCTTAACCCAGACTTGACCACTTTAAGGGAATTACAAAGCTTGACTCATCTCATTATTTTCCCTAATGACCCATGTCATTAAAGCACTGTGGTGACATCAAATGAATTAATGGTCATAAAGGCATTTGGTAAACTGAACACCCCTGCATACCTGAGACCTTGTTTCTAGTCCAGTCCCCACCCCTATTGATCACTTAGGACAAACTCACATAGTGAGACAAACACAGAGTCACCCACCACAAGCTTACTGCCACTTACCTCCTTAGGTCGCTCAGCCACACTAAGTCCCAGCTGTGAAAGAAAGACCTTGGAGGTTATAATAGTACTGACCTACTGGGGTTGCTGAAAGGATTAACCGAGATACTTCCTATGAAGTTAGCACAGTGCCTGCACCTTTGTGTGCTCAGTCAGTGTTAGCCACATCCATGCTGTGGGTCCCATGAGAAATTCTATAAACTCCACCACCGCCACCACCACAGTAATGCTCTTAAAAATGACCTCAAATTGGAAGTTTTTTGAATGGAGAACAAGAGAGGAGGCAGGTATTTGCTGGAGCTGGACTGGGAAGAAGTAGATTTCATACACAGCTTGAAGGACTGGAAAGAGAACACTGAGAATATCACTGTGGAATTTCTGGGAAAGGAAGGGAATGTCTAAATACAAGAAATTGATGAAATGCTTTTGGATGTTTACAACTCAAAAAAGAACAGAAAGTCTCCATCTCATTCAAGGGCAGTGGTGGGACATGGCGACTTTTCAAGGACACAGGAGCTAGTGGCTGTAAGTGAAAGGTGTTGACAACCAGCTGAGCTCACAGGACTCATCCTGCTGGCTGCTGTCTCTGCAGCGTTGCTGAGTGCAGTGGATCCTTTTTCCACCTTGCATTCCAGAAACTTCTCCCAGTGTTCCCAGTAACAGTGTCCTACCTAGAGTCTAGGAATGTATTCCTGTCTATTCCATTGCTTCCTCTTCCCATTGAATCTTTCTTTTTAAAAATATTTTGAGAATTTTTATTCACATAAGTAACAGATGATTACATTTTTCTTATAAAATTAAAACCTGACAACTATGCTAAAACCCCATTTAACCCCTTCTGCTCTTCATGTTTGTCCCAACTCCTCCCCTTTATCACAATTAGCATGGATTTAGCTTTCCAGAATTTTCTCTATGCCTACACATACATCATTTAAAATATATATGTGACAGGATTGTTTGGCTTTTCTTCTTTTTTCATAAGTAATGTTTTATACATTATTATTGCACTACATGTTGTTTTTCTCATCCACTGTATGTTCTGAAGATCTGTCCATGTCAATACCTTTGATCTACTTAATTGGTAACTATTGCACAATGTGGATGTTTAATGGTTTATTTGCCTGCTCCTCCCTGACCCAGGCTTTCACCAAGACAGACAATGCTGCTGTGAACTTTCATACGCTCTCTTGTGCACGTGTGATTTTGTTTCTCTGGGATAGAAACCTGGCTGTGGAATTGCAGGTTATCAGGGTCTAACATGCCTTGCTGAATCTTAAGTGTAGGTTTTTCCCTGGCCAGCTCCCTTGGTCATTTCTTCTTCTTTTTATTTATTTTTTATTTTTTTGAGACAGAGTCTCGTTCTGTCACCCAGGTTGGAATGCAATGGCGCAATCTTGGCTCACTGTCTCTTGGGTTCAAGTGATTCTCCTGCCTCAGCCTCCTGAGTAGGTGGGATTACAGACACCTGCCACTACACCCAGCTAATTTTTGTATTTTTAGTAGAGACGGGGTTTCACCACGTTGATCAGGCTGGTCTTGAACTCCTGACCTCAGGTGATCCACCGCCTCGGCCTCCTAAAGTGCTGGGATTACAGGTGTGAGCCACTGCACCCAGCCTTCTTCTTTTTTTAAATTTTATTTTATTCTATATAGAGAGGGTCTTACTATGTTGACCAGGCTGGTCTTGAACTCCTGGCCTCAAGCAGCCCTCCCATCTTGGCCTCCCAAAGTGCTAGGATTACAGGCGTGAGACACCACACCCGGCCCTGGGTTTCTTCTGATTCTCAGGTACTATGTCTAAATCACCAGCTTCCTGTTTCTAACTCTCCTCTAAACATCTCCACTCAAAGGTCCCTGTGGTCCTTCCAGCTCATAAAAGAAAAGTGAACTCGCCTCTCCCTTCTGTCCAGCCCCTCTCCTGGTGTACACACTCACATTCTCCTGGTTGCCCAAACATGAAAATCTTAATCACAATTCTTTCCTCTTTCCCCAGCATCTAATAAGATCTTGTGGATTTTATCTCTGTAATGTCTTCTGGTTCTCATTCCTTCGCTAGTTATCTTTGGCCAGGACTATTTTAACAAGCCCCTAACTAGTCTCCTTGTTCTCTTAGGCAATGCACCAAATTAATCCTCATAAAGCACACATGATGTCATTATCTTCAGTTGGTTTCACCTGAATACAAAATACAGCGGGATCTCCTTGCCTTGCTACTCACAGTCTTCACCACTCTGACTCAGTTTTCTTTCTCTAGTTTTGATCTCTTCAGATTCCTCCTTTTTCACACCCCAGGCACGCTGATCCCCTTGCCATTCCCAGACGTGCCTGTATTTCTTGCCTCTAAGGCTTCGTTTCTGTGTTTCCTCTCTTAGAAGTCTCTCTCCCAGCCCTGCCTGTTGAAAGTCTACCAACCCTTGTAGGGCCTCCTGAATTCACATTAAGGACGCGCGTTCCAGTGTTGTGCCACGGTAGCTGGTTTCTTAACCTCTCTGACCATCAGTTTTCTTCTCTGTAAAAAAGGGTAGGATACCTTCCAGGTCTATGGGGATTTGTTTGTTGGTTTGTTTGTTGGTTGGTTGGTTTGTTTTTAAGAGACAGGGCCCTGCTATGTTGCCCAGGCTGGTTGCAAACTCCTGGGCTTAAGCAATCCTCTTGTTTTGGCCTCCCAAAGTGCTGGGATTACAGGCATAAACCACGGTGCCTGGCCTGTGGGGAAGTTTTAATGAGATTATGCAGGTAAAGCACTTAGCACAGTGCCATGCACAGAGTAAAGGCTAAATACACCTTACCTCTTATTGTCAGCATACCCCTTCCATAAAACTGTGCCCAGCCTCACTATCGAAGTGAATTTCCTACCTTCCTGGGCTCTCCTGTCTGTTACAGTGGGCACTTGGTTATTTAGGTGTGTCTGTCCTCACACCTGATAATGACCCCCTGAGGGGCAGGGATTGTCTTCTTTATTTCTGCATGCCTCATAGTGTCCCCAGCACAGCACCTGGACTTGAACTGAATGTAGGCAGAATGTTGTACTGCTGTCAATTTATTTGGAAATACAGAAGAGCGCCTGATAATGAAATCATCAGCTTTGCCTCCAAAAAATGAGGCTAATACTAATGCTACTACCTGCTCACAAGGTTGGGGTAAGCTTATGTATGTGAGATAACTTTCTAAATCGTTTTTTTTTTTTTTTTTTTTTTTTGAGAGAGAGGGTTTTGCTCTGTCACCCAGGCTGGAGTGCAGTAGTGTGATTATAGCTTTGTGTAACCTCAAACTCCTAGGCTTGAGCTGTCCTCCTGCCTCACCCTCCCAAAGCGCTGGGATTACAGGCATGAGCCACTGCACCCAGCCTCTTTTTCTTTATCCTAAATCTTAGCCTGTCTTCCCATGGTTGCCTGCTTCCCCCTTGTGGTTAAAATTCCAATCATGTATTAAAATCAGTCAATAGAAATAATCTAGCTGATAGAGGTTTATCTCAGCATTGTTTATATTACTGAAAAATCAAATACAAACCAGGCCCCCACATAGGAGTTTGGCTAGATTATGGTACAGCTACACAGGGGAATATTATTGAGCCATTTGAATATAATGAAATAGATGTCTATGATGTACTGCTAAGCAAAAATATATAAACGTATATACTACACTCCATTTTTCTAAATATCTATACAAATGTGAAAGGATAATACACTAAATGTTAATAGTGTTCAAGGGAAATTCAGTTGATATGAGTTTTTAACAATGAGCATGTATTGCTATTAAAGAAATTTAACTCCTTTAGTTTTGAGAGAACCTATCAATCAAACAAGAAACCCATTAGTTAACCGTTATGCCAGGCCCATCTGAATTGACAGGCAGCATCGACCATCATTTATCTGCTCCTTGTGCCTGCTCTCTGCAGAGGGTCTTGTATGGGGAGAAGGTGGAGTATACAGAGGATAAAGGATCCCGGGCTGGAGTTCTAGGAGCATCTGAGAAGTGGGATGATGGGGGCTATGTATCCACTGCTCTTGGCCAGGCTGATTTTCATCCTGAATTTGACCCTTTGTCCTAGCCCCAATCAGACTCGCAGCCTAAACAAAACCCTAGAACCATCACAGGCCTAACTGGAGACCTGAAGGGTAAAAACCGGCCTCTGCCATCCATGGCTCACAGTTGAGACTAGGAGAAGGACAAGAGTGTGACGAGCACAGATGTGGTAGCTGTTGAAGACTAGGGGCACTGTTGGAGCTCATAGAAAGCATGTCTTGGGTCAGGGGGTAAGGAATGTTCTTGGAGGAGTTGACAAGTAAGTTGGATATACATTCGTTCAGTGTCTACTCAGCCTTTCTCAAAGATTTAGCAACCAAGGGTCACTTTGTGGACATCCAGTGCATATACAGACTATACATTTTAAGTTTCTAATTAATCATAACTTAAAATTTAAATTATAAAAAGGTACTTACATATCAGCGAAGGAGGTGATATTGTTTTCAAGCTTGAATCAGGATGTGTATATCTGGCTTAATGAAGGACAAATTACTTCCACTTCTAGTTGTTTTCTTTTCATTTTTTTCCCCACTATTTTAGAAAGGCTAAGCTCAAAACTGTAGGTCATCAGACACTGTGGAGAACAGTATGATGGTTCCTCAAAAAATCAGAATGACCATATGATCCAGCAATCCCACTTCTAGGTATATACCCAAAATAATGAAAAGCAATGATCCAGGCATGGTGGCTCACGCCTGTAATCCTAGCACCTTAGGAGGCCGAGGTGGGCAAATTGCCTGAGCTCAGGAGTTTGAGACCAGCCTAGGCAACATGACGAATCCCATCTCTATTAAAAATACAAAAAATTAGCCAGGCATGGTGGCACACGCCTGTAATCCCAGCTACTGGGGAGGCTGAGGCACGAGAATCACTTGAACCCAGGAGGCAGAGGTTGCCGTGAGCCGAGAATCACACCACTTTACTCCAGTCTGGGCAACAGAGAGAGACTCTGTGTCCAAAAAAAAAAAAAAAAGGCAAGGACTCAGATATTTGTACACTCATGTTCACAGCAACATTATTCCTAATAGCCAAGATGTGGGAACAACATGTTTATCAATGGATGAATGAACAAAATATGGTATATACATACAATGGAGTATCATTCAGCCTCAAAAAGGAATTAAATTTGGATACATGCTACAACATGAATAAACCTTGAAAACATTATGCTAATGAAATAAGCCAGTCACAAAAGGACAAATACTGCATGATTCCTCTTATATGAGGTACTGAGAATAGTCAAATTTATAGAGACAGAAAGTAGGATAGTTACCAGGGGTTGAGGGAGGGAGTAGTGGAGAGTTACTGGAGTGTAGGAAAATAAATCTGTATTAATCAGGGTTCTCCAGAGAAACAGAATTAATAGGATATATAAAAAAATTTCCTATAATGAATTGGTTCATGTGATTTGGAAGCTGAGAAGTCCCGGGAGAGCAATCTGAGTCTGAAGAACTAGGAGAGTCAATGATATCAATTCCAGTCATAGTCTGAGTCCGAGGGTAGGAGAAGACAAATGTTCCAGCTAGAAGAGTGTCAGGCAGAGAGAAGGATGAGGGCCACCCACACTGGGGAGGGCAGTCTGCCTTACTTAGTCCACTGATTCAAATTCAAATATTAGTCTCGTCCAGAAAATCCTCACAGATGCACCTAGAAATCGTGTTTAACCAAATATTTGGGCATGCTGTGACCCAGTCAAGTTGACGCATAAAACACAAAAGGCTTCTCAGTTTCTGTCTTAAAGCTAGCCAAATGCTGATGCCAAGGTCTACAATGCATGCAAAAACACAAGGAAAAGCAAACGCTAGAGTTAGTGGCACAACACATTCATGTTTTCAGTCTTCATCCCTTGGAGCCTGACCTGTTGGAGTTGGCTCCTTGCCTGGATTGAGGCTGCAGCTTGTACTAGCTGTGCTTCTGGGCAGTGGTTATACCCTGGAGCATTGCATCCAGGCTTCGAAGCTGAGGCAGTGTCCTGGTCCTGGGGTTTAGACTGAATCCATTGCCTGTCCCTCTTCTGAGTCTTCAGAATCCTCCAGAGTGGAAGAAGGACTGCAGTGGGTAACATCAAGCACATTTCTTGCTTGTGTCTTGCCTCCTTGCTGTGCCTTGTTCTGTAAGCAGACCCTGTGGGAGTAGGGAGCACAGGGGAACAGGTGAGCAGATGGCCAGCTGACCATTTGGTGTCAAATTCTCCCTCTTCATACACCACAACCTGACACAGCTTTTCTGCCTAGAATATCTGTTAACAACCTCCTCCAGTCCAAGAGGCTTTGAACCTTAGGGGTGGCAAAGTGTCCTCACCATACCCTAGCCCTGAGACCCTATGACTTTAAAGCTTATTAACTGCCTCCATTCCTACATCATCAGCAGAGGCTCAGGGCCCAGCTATTTCTGTGGACAGGTATTCACAATCCTAAAATTCTGACTGATATTGTTATCTTCAGGCTCGGACTTCATTCTTTTCTACCTATTTGAAGCACATACAGACCCTATTGGGACATCAGTATAAGCAATAAAAATCTCTCATTTTCAGACAGTTATCCTGAACCTCCCTCAATGTGTCGATCTCTTCTACTAATCCCCCCAAAGGCACCCAAGCCCCTGGGTGTTGGATCTAAAAATCACCACCACAGGATGTCTCTCTTCCTTGTTCCCAAGACTTCCAAGTGCATCCCCATATCCGAGGACTTCACTACCAATTTTTTCACCCACTACATTATCCCACAGGAGTCCAGGGCCCTATCTGGATTCTAGAAGAGGCTATTTCCTTGTTGATCTAGGAAGGTTTTTTGCTTTCTCTTCAATCCAGTGCTCCACTTCTCTCTCCTTCTCATTCGAGCCTAATACTCATCAACAGATACTGTTTGGTCTGGAAGATTATCTGGTCTTACACGCAAATCTGGAAGGAAGGAATACTGGCATTTGAGGCCTCAGCTCTCTCTCCATCCCTCCACAGCTAGCCTAATGGCAGAGTCCCTTGGATACCAGTGAGGCAGGAGAATAGGAAACCTAAGGCCATTTCACGCTGACTTCGTAGAACTACATTGAAAGGAAAACCCTAACTTTCCATGCCTAAGTAACAAAAGGACCAGAGGCTACTCTCTTTGCAAACTCCCACCTTTTCTGCATGGCAGATGGTTAATTGAAAGTACCTCTGGGCCAGGCGCAGTGGCTCACGCCTGTAATCCCAGCACTTTGGGAGGCTGAGGAGGGTGGATCACGAGGTCAAGAGATCGAGACCATCCTGGCCAACATGGTGAAACCCTGTCTCTACTAAAAATACAAAAAAATAGCCGGGCGTGGTGGCGGGCACCTGTACTCCCAGCTACTCGGGAGGCTGAGGCAGGAGAATGGCGTGAACCCGGGACGTGGAGCTTGCAGTGAGCCGAGATCGGGCCACTGCACGCCAGCCTGGGTGACAGAGAAAGACTCCGTCTCAAAAAGAAAAAAAAAGAAAAAGAAAAAGAAAATACCTCTGATTGGTTGCTTTTGGCAACCAGGCGTTTGCCTAAGAGTGTAACTTTGTAACTTCACTTCAGCCTCTGATTGGTTTCCGTCTGCAAACAATCAGACTGATTGGGGGCCACCACTTTATTTACATGGCGTGAACACCAAGTGGCCAATGGGAAACCTCCAGCGGGTATTTGGACCCAAGAAGATCCTGTATCCCGGCCCTTGAGTGGCTGCTTGGGCCTGCTCCCACTGTGGAGTGTACTCAATAAATCTCTGCTTTTGTTACTTCATTCTTTCCTTGCTTTGTTTGTGCATTTTGTCCAATTCTTTGTTCAAAATGCCAAGCACCTGGACACCCTCCACTGGTAACATATTTTGGTGAGCCAGCCAGGAGAAGGTAAGCCCAAAGTTTGGGATTTATTTTTCTCCTTTCCCTTTTTACATACAGGGAAATCTCTCTCTCTCTTTTCCTTTCCCACTCGGGACCCTTGGTGAGCAGCGTGTAAACATGGAGGTAAACTGCAGGTTTCTGGCCATGGCTGGTGAATACTAAGGGGTTTTCATGTGAAGAAGCCTAACCGCCACCACCTGGTTTGCCTAAGGGACCTGGGTCTTTTTCTTTTTTTTTTTCCTTTTCTTCTTTATTGGTCTTTTAGCAGCTGTTTCCTAGTAGCTCTTTGGAAATTGAGGGAAATTGGCTGGGATCAATCCCCAATATTGCCTGAAGACCATGGAGTGAATGGGGATAATTGCCCTGCCCAGAAGGGAGAAGGACTCTTTTTTAAATCTTTTCTGGGTGTGGTCCCTGATCCCTATGTGTGGCACAGCTCAGAGCAAACTCGCCTGTTTCAGGCAACTTAAACCTTTTCTTATGCGTAATTCTTCCGTTTCCCTAGTCAACTGGCTAAGAGCAAAAGAAACACATCCAGCCTCCAGTTATTAAGTTCATGGAATGGGAAACATGGGAAAGTGTGGCCTTATCAAATTATAAGGATGCTAAAAGTCAAGGCCTTCATCCAGGGACAAAATGAAAGCTCATAGTAGGCCATTCCCTTTAGAGGGAAAACATGCAAGCAGGACTGGTGCCCACCTAAGGTCAGAGACGTCTGACACTCTTAAGATTGGGCCCCACTAGGGGAAGCCCCAGAGGGGAATCCTCCGGACCTCAACCTCTCCAAAGAGGATGCCCTTGGCAGAGGTTCTGAGGTCTAGTATTAAACTCTCCTTAGAATTTTATCTCGCAGTTGCAATGCTATTTGGCCCCAATATTGTTTGGAATGCGGAGTTTACTGTTGAATGGAAAACTGGGATGGCATTGCCATTGCATATATCCAGGCTTTGGTGCTGCTATTCTAAGCAGAGGGCCTGGTGAAAGAGTGATGTTCTCCTTTGGTACTGTTTGGTCTTAGTGTTCTTTGGAGTCTGGGGAGGTTTCACCTTTAAAAATCAAACTGCTAGGGCCAGGTGCAGTGGCTCATGCCTGTAATCCCAGCACTTTGGGAGGCCGAGGCAGGTGGATCACTAGGTCAGGAAATCAAGACCATCCTGGCCAACGTGGTGAAACCCCATCTCTACTAAACTCCATCTCTACTAAAAATACAAAAAATTAGCCAGGCGTGGTGGTGCGTGCCTATAGTCCCAGCTACTCAGGAGGCTGAGTCAGGAGAATCACTTAGACCCGGGAGGCGGAGACTGCAGTGGGAGCTGAGATCACGCCACTGCACTCCAGCCTGGGCAACAGAGTGAGACTCTGTCTCAAAAACAAAAACAAAAAAAATCAAACTGCCATCTGGGCACGGTGGCTCACGCCTGTAATCCCTGCACTTTGGGAGGCCGAGGCGGGCAGATCACGAGGTCAGGAGTTCAAGACATGAACAAGGCCAACAAGGTGAAACCCCATCTCTACTAAAAATACAAAAATTAGCTGGACATGGTGGCACGTGCCTGTAATCCCAGCTACTTAGGAGGCTGAGGCAGGAGAATTGCTTGAACCAGGACCTGGGAAGCAGAGGTTTCAGTGAGCCGAGATTGCACCACTGCACTCTAGCCTGGGCTACAGAGCAAGACTCCATCTCAAAGAAAAAAAAAAAAAAGAAAAAGAAACAAAAAAAATCAAACTGCCATGGAAATTGCTTTACCCAAAATTTTGGTTCACAGCCTTCATTGCATTACCTACTGGGGCAAACAAAGTAAAACCGGTAAGCTTGTGTTGCTATCTCATGGCTAGGGTTTCAAGCTATTAGATCTTCATTTGTGTGTGTGTATACATGTCTAGATGTGTTTATTTGTATGTACACTTATATGTTATGTTTGCCAAATTGGCTTATAAGTAAAAGAGCGCTCATAAATTAATAAGCCTAAGCGATTTTTAAGTTAAAGTGACTTAAGTATAACTTTACTAAACAAGCTGGCTTTAAAATTATTGGTAGAATAAAAATAGAAATGCCTTCAGAATTGTCAGCATACATTTTGTCTGGATTTTATGTTTGTGTTTGCTAAATATTTTGAGATGTCAATGTTTGGCATAGAATGTTATAAAACTACAAACCCAGCCAAAACAAAATGTGCCTTTTTTTTTTGACAAATAAGAGCAATTTAATGTTAGCTACGTCTTCTGAGTTATTGGCAAAATACTTATATATTTAATTCTGAGACTCTCAGGTTTAGGTGAGCACTTGATATTCACTGGCTATTAGAAACATGGTTAGCAAGGAAATAACTAACTTTAAGTGATAGTGTCTAATATCTCAGTTTACAGAAGTAATCTAGATAAACTGTTAAAAATGAAAGAATTGAGTACAGTAAATGGGATAAATGTTTTAGGTAAACTTTTTGTGTAAATTAAAAGCTTAAAATTAATTTTGATGCTCATTGAATATTTGGGTCATTTCCAATTAAGGAAGGGTTGTGATATGGGGAAATATGTTTCTAAAAATTGTGGAATTGTTCTTATCTATAAATGCCCATATCTGATAGTTCAGTATTTCTTTTTAGGGTTTCACTAAAATTTTAGGTTACTAAGGATAATACTTCTAGTTAACACAGAGTTCTGTATACAAAATGTGCCAAAAA
Source organism: Homo sapiens (assembly GCF_000001405.40). Classification (NCBI taxonomy): domain Eukaryota; kingdom Metazoa; phylum Chordata; class Mammalia; order Primates; family Hominidae; genus Homo; species Homo sapiens. The sequence continues at coordinate 150,995,262 of NC_000005.10, read as the reverse complement.
GTTTGTGTTATTACTGAGAAAAAGAATAATTTTGTCTAATTAAGAAGTTATCTAAAAGTTAGTTCAAATTACACATTTGAAAAAATTATTTGTGAAACAATGTAGTAAAGAACCAGTGATTAGGGGAGAAGGATGTGGAAAAAGTTTAGATAATAAAATATTCTTTAAAACATGATAAAGAATTGGAGACATTGGGCTAGTTAACATTTTCGTAGTTAAAGCTCTTAGTCTTGATTAAAGTAAAATAATAACTATTGTAAAGAAATGCATTGGCAGTTTGGCAATTCTTTTTTTTATATAGTTAAGCTTGAAGCTGGATTTAGTGTGGAGCCAAATTTCCCAGATATGCTTGCACTGCTTCACACTATGTTTACTGTTTTGCATGGATAGTGCTGGCACTGGAGTGCTTATTGGTCATGGGCCTAAAGTGAACTTCTTGATTGCACAGGATGTATGATGATATTGGTGAACTTAAGGATATTGAATTGTGTATCAGGAATAAAATATTTATTATGTGGCTCTTTTGGGGCCCTGGGCAACACTTTAGCCTCCAGGGTAAATTGAGTAAGAAAAAATTAGGGTTGCTTTCCTGTTTATTTATTTTTGCTTCTAGAAGGCTTTTATTTGGTTTTGTGGATAGTTATTTTGTTTCCTGTGCATTTCTAGCAAGTCATCATTTGTTCCATTTATCTGGAATTCCTAGGCTACCTTTGTCAGACCCACAGGAGTTAATGGAACACATCAGCTTTTTAACCTTAAACTAACTTTTTGGAGTTTAGGCTTATTGATATTTTAAGTATGTTGAGTATACTTTTGTAAACAGAATTTAAGTCATATTTCTCTCTCTGCCTAATTTCTCCAAAATTTGTAAACTATTTGTAAATGTTCTTAATTCATGGTAGTGTGTTTGTTTGCATACAGTTGAGCAGGGTCACTAGGGCTGCTCAGGGAGAGAAAACCCAGAAACCTGGCCTACTGGCAAAAGGATAAGAATTTCCTACCAGTCAGACTCTGACCTCTTTCTCTCTGTGCAAACTGGCTAAATGAGACGTGAAAGTCACTGTTTATCTCCTCTGTAAAGTTTTCACAAATGTCTTCAAAATACAAACATGTCATCTAAATTATGTTCAAATATTAGGTTTGCTAAGTGCCTTAAGGTCATAAACTGCTTCTTTGGCTTTTGAAAATTGTTTGACTTGCCTGCTTTACAGCTAGGTAAGGCCTGGGGACATGTGGAGTTGGCCACACCCCTAGCTATGCTGGAATAGTAAGACCTTATCAGCACCTAGTACATAATTAACATAACTTACCAGCTTTTACATTAAAAGTAAGATTGCTAAGAGTCATCATTATAACATGTAATTGATACTACTAAAAATATTTTTACATGCAAGGTGTGTTTGGAAAAATGTCTGTGTGTGTGTGTTTTACTAAAAGGTTATAAGAAGCCATGGAAATATAAATTGTTGCCTAGAGTTAAAAGATTGTTTTGAATTTAATAGGATAAAGCTGAAGGTTCAAACAAGTGGTGGAAGGAGTATGGAAATTAATCTTGTGGAAGTGGTTCTCTGTGTGAGAAACATCGGCCTGACCACCTGACTTTCTGATCACATTCCACTGGGAAAAAGTCCAAGGAACATCCCTATCACATTCTGCTGGAACAAGGACCAAGTCACCTCATCATGGGAACATCTTATCAATAGCCTGTTGGGCAGCAAGCCATACTGCCCAGACCCCTCCCTCCCATACCTGTAAGTACCCCAGCCTGTAAGTGGCAGTGGGTTCAGGCATTAACCTGGTCCCCCACCTCCGCAGGTCTTGGGCTAGACATAAAACCTGCATTTACTGCAAAGCATCCAACTCTCTTTCTTTAACCCTCACCTTCCCTTCAAAACCTAACAACTTCCATTGTACCCTCTCAAACTCCTGATTATGAAAAAAACTCCACTACATTTTGGCGCAGAAACCCAGGACATAGATTGGGTTCTAAACGGGTAAGTCTTCTCTTGCAACCTGGAAAGCAGCAAGCAGCAAAAATTAGACTGAGGCCTGCTTCCAGATCCTGAGTAGACTCCCTCTTTGCAGCCCTTTTTCTCTTATTCTCTCTCCTTTGGCCCTGGGCTGACCTCTAGATCCTGATCAAACTCTCTAGCCTCTTTTTTCTTTCTCCCCCTTTCTGGGTGGCTCCGGCAAGGATCACCCCCATTGCAGAACATCACGTCCAACGCCGTCTCCAATTAATGGGTGAGTCTCCCTTTACCTCCTCTCCAGATTCCTATCATGCTTCTGCTCCTTCACCAGAAAATCCCAGTGCTGGGTGAGAGGTCTCCCTGGTCACCAGGTGACCATGGTCTGCCTTCTCAGGGGACGCCCTCAGAATGCTCGCCACTCCAGTCACTCTGATCTCCAGAGGACTGTGAAGAGCTGCAGGGATGCCCTGGCTTTCTTATGTCCCTCCTCCCAAGAGGAATCATGGTACTTACTCCCCTCCAGGGTACTCACACCCCTCCTCTATATTTCTCACCCTTCCAGCCACCAGTATGGGGCAAGGCTCCTCAAAACTTCCTCCAGACACCACTCTCAGATGTCTAATCTGGAACCTCCAAACCCAAAAATGCCCCTTCCTTCAGACAAGCCTTCCTCCTCTAATTTCAACCCGGACAACAAAACCCCTCCTTCAGTCCTTCTCCCACCACCATCCCCTCCTCCTCCTTCAGCTCCGGCTCCTTCAATCCCTTATTGTTGCCCTCTGTTCCCCCTTTCTTCTCCACCGCATACCCAGTCTCACACTTAACCCCCTTCCTCTGAAAACCAGGCATACACCCAAAGGCCTTCCAAAGTCATCCCCTTGCGGGAAGTCACGCGGGCCGAAGGTATAATCTGAGTTTATGTTTCCTTCTCCCTAGCTGACCTCTTCCAGCTTGAAAAAAGACTTGGCTTCTTTTCCATGGATCCCACCTCCTTCCACAAGGAATTTCTGTATGTCACTCAATCTTATAAATTACCTGGCATGACACTTACGTCATCCTCTCTTCCTCCCTCACCCTGGAGGACAGGGAGCACATCTCAGACTGTGCTCAGCAAAACGCTTTATCCCACTTCACCACCTCTACCTGAAGACTGATAGGGCCCAGAATCCACCACTCCCACCACCATCACCACCTTGGAACCAAGAGTAATGCTGTCAGTGTCTGCTAAGCCCATGTCTTTCCCATTAAATATGAGGCTAGTTATTCAATTTTACCAGAATATTCTGAGCCCCTCCTCAGTTCTTCTATCTCTATTGTGGGAGTCGATAGAATCCCCTCTAGGCACAAACAGACTGGTCCTCTATTATGCAACCTATTCATCACCCCCTTCACCCACTCTTTCCTGTTTATCCCTCAGTGCCCTACCCCTATCTTGGGGTGGGACATACCAAGTAAATTTTAGGGTCTTACCCACAAAGGCTCAGGTTAGCCCAAATGCAGGTCACTTACCTTGGGCTTGTCCTAACCCCTAATTCTCAGGCCATTCCAACCCAATGAAAGGAGCTAATTTGGGACATGCCTCTTCCCCACACGAAAAATAACCTCCTCTCCTTCTCAGGCTGCATGGGATGCTTCCATCTGTGGATTCCCAACTTTGGCTTGCTGGCCAAGCTGTTCTATATGGCCTCACATGGGCTCATCCTAAAACCCCTCAACCCAGCTTGCCCCATCAACTCCCACTTTAAAAAGCTGAAAAATGCCCTTTTTAATGGCCCCAGTACTGGGACTGCCCAACTCCACCAAGCCTTCTACTCTGTATTGTAGGGAAAAGAAAGAGAGATCAGACTGTTACTGTGTCTGTGTAGAAAGGGAAGACATAAGAAACTCCATTTTGACCTGTACCCTGAACAATTGCTTTGCCCTGAAATGCTGTTTATCTGTAACTTTGCCCCAACCTTGAGCTCACAAAAACATGTGTTGTATGGAATCAAGGTTTAAGGGATCTAGGGCTGTGCAAGATGTGCCTTGTTAACAAAATGTTTACAGGCAGGTTGCTTGGTAAAAGTCATTGCCATTCTCCAGTCTTGATAAACCAGGGGCACAATGCACTGCGGAAAGCCGCAGGGACCTCTGCCCTGGAAAGCCAGGTATTGTTCAAGGTTTCTCCCCACTGAGACATCCTGAGATATGGCCTCGTGGGATGGGAAAGACCTGACCGCCCCCCAGGCTGACACCCGTGAAGGGTCTGTGCTGAGGAGGATTAGTAAAAGAGGAAGCCTTCTTGCAGTTGAGATAGAGGAAGGCCACTGTCTCCTGCCTGCCCCTGGGAACTGAATGTCTCGGTATAAAACCCGATTGTACATTTGTTCAATTCTGAGATAGGAGAAAAGCTGCCCTGTGGCGGGAGGCGAGACATGTTGGCAGCAATGCTGCTGTTACTCTTTGCTCCACTGAGATGTTTGGGTGGAGAAAAGCATAAATCTGGCCTACGTGCACATCCAGGCATAGTACCTTCCCTTGAACTTATTTGCGACACAGATTCCTTTGCTCACATGTTTTCTTGCTGACCTTCTCCCCACTATCACCTTCTTCTCCTGCCGCATTCCTCTTGCTGAGATAGTGAAAATAGTAATTAATAAATACTGAGGGAATTCAGAGACCGGGCCGGTGCAGGTCCTCTGTATGCTGAGCCCCAGTCCCCTGGGCCCACTTTTCTTTCTCTATATTTTGTCTCTGTGTCTTATTTCTTTTCTCAGTCTCTCGTCCTGCCTGATGAGAAATACCCACAGGTGTGGAGGGGCTGGCCCCATTCACTGTGTGTACATTCTGACCAAGGCCTTGCTCTTGGACTACTCTGCCAAACATATGGCAATGCTCCACAAGCCATTGCATACCTCTTAAAACAAATGGACTATCATCCAAGGCTGGCCATCCTGCCCAAAAATCTTGGGTGCAGCCACATTACTTGCCTCAGAGGCACAGAAACTTACTCTCTACCAACACATTACTACTGCATCTTCCCATAACCTACAGGATCTCATGAGCCATTGATCTCTTCTATCCCTCCCACCATCCTGCTTACAGGATGCCTTATTCATAGATACATGCCTTATTCATAGGTAACCCTCTAATCACCTTCTAGAAATGTAAAGCTCTCAACCTAGCCACCCTCTTCCCTGTAAACACCTCTGACTCTAAGCTCTCTCACTCCTGCCTGGACCTCTTAAACTCCCTCTTCTCCCCCTTCCAACACATTTCAAAAGCCCCTTTGCAGGGAACACCCACATGATTCATTAATGGAAGATCTTTTTAGCTGTTTTAGGGAGCCATGTCCAGCAGCTGGCTATGCCATCATTGCTGAAAATAAACTCCTAGAATCCAGCACTGTCCCGCTCCATACTACCTCTCAACAGGTGGCGCTAGTTGTCTTAACCAGGGCCTTCACCCTAGTAAAGGCAAGAGGGTTAACATTTACACCGATTCCAAATATGCATACCACATCCTACATTCTCATGCCTTAATCTGGCAGGAAAGAGGTTTCCTAACTACAAAAGGAACCCCCATAGTAAATGGCAAACTCATACACAAACTGCTGGAGGCAGCTAAACTACCACTAAAGGCCACCTTTATCCATTGTAAGGGACATCAAAAGGCTACAGATGCCATAACCAAGGAAAACTTCTCAGCAAACTCTGCAGCCCAGCAGGCAGCCCTTAAAACCTCATCATTATTGCCCATCTTTCCCAGCATACACCCTGTATATACCCAGGAGGAACAAACCTCACTCACCCGGGCTGGTGCTATTTGGGGAGGAGGATGGTTCTACCCCAATAATAAAATTGTCTTGCCCAAGTCCCAGGAACTTTCTGTACTTTCATATGTGCACAACCATTTCCATGCCGGTTACTGCCCCCTACTCTAGCTCTTAAAAGCTTATATATATTTTCCCGCCATGGCTGCCAATCTCATAGGTATTACTAAGGCATATTCCATTTGCACTCAAACAACTTCCTCTCAGGGAGCTATCAAACCACCTCCTTTCCCCACACACCAGGCCCAAGGACACCTGCCAGGGCAGGGCGGGCAGATCAACTTTACCCTCATGGTCCCCATAAAATGGGCCTGGTACCTTCTGACAATTGTAGATACATTCTCTGGATGGATAAAAGATTTTCCTACCACCACCGAAAAGGCACACACCATCACTTCTATTCTCCTCACCCATATGATCCCCTGGTTTGGACTCCCCTCCTCCATCCGGTTAGACAGTGGGCCAACATTTGTTTCACAGGTTAACCAACAGTTGGTGGAGGCTGTAAACATTAAATGGGCCTTTCATGTTCCTTACTGCCCCCAATCTTCAGATAAAAGTAAATAGGTCAATGCCTTTTTAAAACAACAAATAACCAAACTTCCTAGAGGTTAAAATGGCCTGAACTTCACTTCTTCCAATGGCACTCATGAATTTACAAGCCATTGCTCACACGCCCCTCAGCCTAAGCCCATTTGAATTCATGTACCAATGCCCTTTTATCCTCCAAAATCTCCCTGTATCTGCCCCCAGCCCGCCCCTCCACCTCCTTGATACAGGATACTTGGCTGGCATTATACCTCACTCAACATCTAATAAGACGGTACGCAAATGCTTACTTGCCCCAGCCTAAAAGTCCATCCTCCAAACACTCCTCCCTGCCCCTACAACCAGGGAACTGGGTCTAAATCACCAATTCCTTCTCCCCTCTCCAACCTAAGTGGACGGGTCCTCACCAGGTAATCCTGACTACTCCTGTGGCAACAAAACTAACATCCTTTCCACACTAAATCCACCATTCCAAACTAAAAACAGCACCAGACTTACATCCACAAGTTTTCTCACCCCCAAAATATTCTTCCTCCTTCATAGGACCAACCTCACTATGCTTAACAAGAATTCCAGAAGTTGCCAGTCCAGAAGGCCCTGGTCCATTACACTCTCTGCCTCCAAGTTCAAATCTGTTATCTCACACCTTGTTTCAGATCTTTCCTGATATTCCCTCCCCACATCCCTGGATAGTCCACTCCAATTCCTCACATTAACCCAGGAGCTATGGCTGCAGGGTACCTTCCAAAATTTCCCTCGTACTCAAATCTTCTTTTTCCCCTTTTGTCTTTGCTGTGGGATACTCTAAATCCCATAACCTCTGGCAGTTGGGCTTCCTTTGTCAACCTCACACATTACCTCTTAAATCAGTCACACTCTCCTCTTTCTTCCAATTGTTAAATTTGTTTGTCCACACAAATCCAGCAGTTCACAGCCCTTCCTGTTAACCTAACCACAGAAACTTGATCCAAAGTAAACCTGCATCTCACCTACTCAACCAGTCCCTTCCCAAAACCTGTTTATAATCTTGCTTGGCTAAACACCTTTCCCTGCAATCCATCAAACCTACCTGCACCATCGCACGCAGGGCTGGCACCCTCTTTCGTCTCATGGCCTGTAAACTAAACATGTTACAAACTGAATTCCATAAAACATCCCTTCCCAACCCCTCCCTTCTCTGCCAGCACTGTTCTCCATGCATCCAACTTAAGGGAACTCCCTAAAAAAATGCACAGACAATTCCCTCAACTGCAACCTTTATTCTTCTTCCCTGTCAGGACCGCAATGGCTGTTAACAAAAACCCATTTCTCTCTCTCTGTCTAAAACCAGACAGCCTTCACCACCAATATCCCTATCAGGCCCTAACAGGGACTATCCTTGTTAACAGTTATTCAACCTGGAAAAACAAAAAAGTTGGGACAAAAGTTTGTTCAGGATTTAACCCCCGGCTTCTCATGGCTCACTGCCTTCACTTACAACTTTGCCTGTCAACCCCCAGTCTTTTCTTTCTGTGTGGAACAAACTCTCTTCTTTGCCTACTGGCAAGTTGGTCAGGAACATGTACCCTGGTGTTTCAATCTCCAAACATTAACATTTTGCCTAACAATCAAACCATTCAGGTTCTTTAGTAATCCCTATTTCCTCCTCCTCCACACACACCAAGTGGGCTATACACTTCATTCCCCTGTTAGCAGGACTAAGCATCTCAGCTACACTTGGCACAGGGATATCTGGTTACCCCTTTCTTAGGGCCCCTAATCTTCCTCCTAATACTCACAATTGGCCCATGTATACTTACCTTCATATCCCACTTTATCTCCCAAAGGCAGAACTACCTTGTCTAGGCAGCCACCCAGAAACACATTGATACCATCTTTCCCCACCAAGTCTGGTATCAACATCTCCAGGAAAACAACTCTGAAGTTGGACACCCACTGCTTCAAAACCCAAGCCCTGATTACAGTGCCCCTATTCAGCAGGAAGCAGCTAGATAATCAACAATGCCCCTCTTCCTTTTAGACTGAAGTAGAAGGCAAGAATGTTAATCCAAACTGTACCACTTTGTAAGCCCCCCATCATTTCGCAGACATTGGTCAAAGTGAAACATTCCATGGGGATTCAGGCCATGAGAAACATTTTGCTCAACCACCTGAATTTCTTACCATATTCTGCTGGGAAAAAGCCCAAGGAACATCACTATCACATTTTGCCAGGACAAAGACCAAACCATCTCATCATGGGAACATCTTATCAACATCCTGCCAGGCAGCAAGCCATACTGCCCAGACCCCTCCCACCCACACCTATAAGTACCCCAGCCTGTAAGCGGCAGTGGGCTTTGGCATTAAGCTGGTCCCCAACCTCCGCAGGTCTTGTGCTAGACATAAAACTTGTGTTTGCTGTAGAGCTGCTAACTCTCTCTCCCTGTCTTTCTTTAACCCTCGCCTTCCCGTCAAAACCTAACAACTTCCATTATACCCTCTCAAACTCCTGATTATGAAAAAAAAAAAACAAAAAAACTCCACTACATATTTTTACCTCTTCTTTGAAAAATTTTTCCATGTCATTGCCTTAACCAAAATCTGGCCCAGCACTTCTCTGAATCTAGAATTTCCTCAGAAATCCATATTACTCAAAGGATCACAAAATTAGTTTTATGCCTTGCAAGGGATTCCTAAATTCATCTAAAGCAGATGAAATAAATTCTGCTTCAGCATTTCTCTTTCTTATCCAGAATGAGAAATGCTTAAAATGTTCAGAAGCTAAAATGAGTTATTTAGTTTCAGCAGAGTTAGTGTTTACTTATGAACTTAAGTTACTTAGTTGCCCAGGCAAGCTGTCACTAGCCTGGGATTATAAGAACTTGATTTCAAAAATACCAGCATTCACACTTCTGTGTTAAAATTCATATTTTATATTTTAACTCCAAAGGCAGTTAAAATGAAAGTCTTAATAATGAAGACATTTCAAGAGAAGGGATAAATTAAGGAAGCAGCTTTCTTGACCTACCATTCCCCATGCCATTCACCTTTGTGTTAGTGCAAACGGCACCATTTTGTAAGTCCCCTGCTATTTTGCAGACCTTGGTCAAAGTGAAACATTCCACGGGGGTTTGGGCCATGAGAAACATCCTACCTGGCCACCTGACCACAAGGAAGACAAAGGCCCAATAAAAAAAACATTCTTATTATACCCTACCAGGCAAAGGCCCAACTAAAGAAACCTCCCTATCCTGTCTTACTGGGCAAAGGCCCAAGGAACACCATGATGACATCCCACCAGAAAAAGGGTCAAACCACCCTATCATGGGTACATCTTATTGATATCCTGCCGGGCAGCAAGCCACACTATCCAGACTTCTCCCAGCCATACCTGTAAGTACTGCTGCTTGTAAGTGGTGGTGGGTTTTGGCATTAAGCGGGTCTCCCGCTTCCACAGGTGTCTGCAATATACCTGTGTTTGCTGTTGAGTTGCTCTGTTTCTCTCTCTGTCTTCCTTTAACCCTTGCCTTCCCTCCAAAACCTAACACTGATTCTCTACTTTCAGCATCTCTAAACCTTGATCCAGTAAATGCTTCTGAATCCCATGATCAAATAATTTTCCTTTTGTCCCATGGATTCTGGTATGTTAGGGTTTCAGATTCCTTGTATGTTTTCATTAAGTAACTGAAGAAGATATTCCCATTCTCTTTGAGAATAGTGTATACATGGTTACACTACATGGTTAAAAACTTCTAATTAGTAAATGAGAATTTTCTATTAAGGTATTTAATTATGTGAGCTCTCTAGTGTTACCCAAATCCAAAATTCTGTGATTTTGTGTTTCCATGGTGCTGTAATTTTAAGAGTTGAATCCACTGGTGGCTTAGTTGCTAAGGCAGTTACAGACAGCCTCGCCTTTTTCTTAGGGGTCTCCTGTGTCTGGGATTTCATATGTGGCTGGCTGGTATTCCCAAGGTAAGTGACACCTCCTTTGTAAGAAAAGTATACACAGCCTACTTATGGGTCTATGTGACCTATCTTGTAAAGAGAAGATGACCACAAACACATCCTTGTGTTCCATAATGCTAGTAAGTTCCAGGGAGAAGAAAGAACATGAAAAAGTGCCCTGGGTAAATTTTAAAAAATAAAGTGAGATAGTCCATTGGCTCCTAGACTCAGTTGCCTTTGTGGAGAAAGCAGTTAAGTATGGATGGAGTGGTTTGTATGGGCTTACAAGGGATCCATGTTAGAACACAAGATGGTGACTCTTTCTGGGAGCAAAGGCTGTGTGGTGGTATAACTCCTCAGAAGAGGAGAGCACGCAGCAGAATTCTGCCTTCCTGAAGACAACTTCATCATTCGCCAGCACCAGAAGGAAAATTGGCCATCTGGGAGAGAGATGGCAGTCTGGGTTTTTCATCAGAGTTTGCCTGATCCAAGGGATTTTACTGTTCTATGAGGTGAACAGAGGGTAAGACCCTGGGTTTCAAATTGTTTCTAAAGTCTCCCTAAACCCAGACTTAGGCACCCACTCTGCCACATGCTTCCTGTACCCTTCACAGGGGCATTCTACCTGCTAAACTAACAGAAGCACCATAGAAAATCCTTCTCCCTCATGTGTCTCATCCAGGCACACCATCCCACCTTTTGAACTTCCCTCCTCCTTCAGAATGTTACTCAGACGCCATTGTCATTCTTTACACCATCACCTTCTCCATGTGTATCATGCTTAAGTCTTCATACACTTAAGTCTTTTTGACTGCCAATTATTTTTCCACCATACCCTGTGTATAAGGATGTGTCATGATGCTTCTCAAGTAATTTCAGTGGAAGAACAAAGGAAGAGGACCAGTCACCTCCAACCTTGTCTCCTTGGCTCTAGGTCCTTTCCCACTCAACAGGGATTTCTCAGGAACTTCTAGGGGTTGATTCCATTTGTGGAGAATACCATTTGTTGATTCTCCTACATGTAAATGGATAGTCAAGATTTCATATACAGTTGATTTTATTATTCACAGTACTTATGTTAAATAAATCCACCACAAACACTGTATTAGTAAATACTGAATAATTGCTCCAAGAGGAATACAGGATTAGGTTCATGTAAGCCTCTGGTCACAACATTTTCATCAACTAGAATGCTGGCACTTTTATTGCTAGTCTCTAGCAATTCATCAATTGTAGTTTAAGTGTTCCTAAAATATATTGACTTTAGTGGTGGACTTCCGCTGTCAGTGAACCTGTGATTCTCAGCATCTACCTGTCTCTCTAGTTTCTGGGGCAGTGGTTTGTCCTGTGACCTTGATTCTTTGAAGGATCTAAGAATTGTTAATTTCCAGTTTTTCAGACTTTTTTCTGGTTGTGATGATAGGATTGACAACTTCCAAGCTCTTTACATGTCAGACTAGAAACCAGAAGTCTGCTCAGGTTTTCTTCATTATTTTTTCTTTCTGTTCTAAGACTGTATAATATCGAATGATCGAGCCCCAAGCTTACTGATTCTTCTGCCAGCTCAAATCTACTTTTGAGTACCTAAAGTGAATCTTCATTTCAGGTATTCTACTGTTCAACTCCAGAATTTTTATTTGAGTCTTTAAACACTTTTTATTCTACTAACATTCTCCATTTGATGAGTCATTGTCACCATACATTCCTTTCATTCTTTGAACATGGTTTTCTTTAGTTTTTTGAACATATTTGTAATAGCTTCTTTGGCATCTTTGCCTTACAGGTCCAACATCTAGACCTCCTCAAAAGCAGTTTTTATTGATGCTGTTTTTCCTTTACAAGGGTTATACTATTTTGTTCTTTTGCATCTCTAATAGTTTTTGAAATAATATATTGTAGCAACTCTGGATTCTGACACATCCCCTTTAGGGATTATTGATGTGGCTCTGTTTTGTTAGTTTGTTTAGTGGCTTGCTTGCACCAACTTTGTAAACTCTATTTCCCCCCGCCGCCCCCCACCCCACAGTGTGTAGCTTTTACCCCAAGCCTGGCTTCCTAGAAGTCACCGTTGGGTCAAAATATCTTAACATTTAGCCAGTGTTTGGTCAGGGGTTGTGCTTACACTCCTTGAGCTAGTAAGACTTCCACTCTTTGCTAATGTATCAGCGTGTGGCTTGGGAAATTCTTTCAATTCCACTCAAGTTCAGCTAGTACCTGTTATGGTTGGTCCTGAATGTGTGAAACATAGACATATGCACAGACTTCCAGTTTTAGCTCTTTCTCTTGTTCACTCTGTTAAACCGGGTGACTTGCTGTTTCATTTGTTGCTACTTGTTTTATGAAACTATTAGAATTCTCTTAAGTGCTTGCCACTAAGATCTCTATTTTCAACAATGCCTTAATTCATGCAACCCTTCATGTTATGATTAAATACAGTCAGCCCCCCAGCTGAGCTGAGGAGCTTCTGGCCCTCCCATCTTGCTTCTTTCCCTGGATATAACATCTACACTCTTGCACAGAAGCGGGGGACAAAGGGGAACGCCGGATTTTCCTGAAGTGACACCTCTGCCCTACCAGTGGAATCCGGGGAAGCTTCTTAGCAGGGATACTCCTTCCTGCAAGTGAGATCTTGGTAGGAAGATGAAGGCCTGAGATCTTTTTAATGTACTCCTGCCAGTCTGGAGCCTCTATCCTATTAGTGGGAGCTGGGAGAATGATCTTTTTTTTGGCTTGCCTTTCCTGGCATGAAACATCTACTCTATAGAGAAAAGCTGAGGAGGAGGGCAATTGAGGTCCCAATACTCTTAGCCTCTCTTACCTTGGCAAGAGCCTCTGCTCTACAAGTGGGAGCTAGGTTGGGTATGGGAGCCCCAGTCTTCTTGGCTGTAGCTGCCTAAAATTGAGCTTCTCCATCATGGAGCTAGGGTAGGTGAATAACAGACTACTGTAAGGTTATCAAGCTTGAACGAGAAGGTTTCAGTTTCTTAATATAATCTTTCTTCTGAGTCACTTTATTTCACTAGCAAATGTTTATTAGGTCTTTGATACACTCAAAACCATTTAAATTATTCTCCTAACATTTGAAGTCTAGAAATCAAATTTTTTAAACTCCATGAGGTCTCAAATTTCAGGACTCTATTTTCTTTCATTTTTGCTTATAATCCACTAATTTTCTCTGAGTTTATCTTTTTCTTACAATAGCTTCCAAATACAGCCAGTAAAACAGCAAATATTACTAATACTCTGTTTTCTAATTATCTTCTGGAGCTGTCAACAAAGTAAGCATGTGTAGAGGAGACAATCAAACCAAATGTTTTGTTTTGTTTTGTTTTGTTTTGTTTGAGACAGGGTCTTGCTCTGTCACCCAGGCTGGAGTACAGCGACAAAATCACAGCTCACTGTAGCCTCAACCTCCTGGGCTCAAGAAATCCTCCTGCCTCAGGCTCTTGAGTAACTGGGACTATAGGTATACACGACCACATCTGGCTAATTTTTGTATTTTTTATAGAGACAGGGTTTCATCACATTGTCTAGGCTGGTCTTGAACTCCTGGGCTCAAGCAATTTGCCTACCTTGACCTCCCAAAGTGCTGAAATTACAGGTGTGAGCCACCACGCCTGGCCCAAACCAAATGTTTGGCTAGTACAAAACATAGATAAACATCTTTCCACTTCTGACATCAGTTTTCTCACTGCTCAACTACTAGGCCTATGCCATATTTTAGGTTTTTATTACATTAGCAGGACACTTCCAGGACCAATTTCTTTCTACTAGAAAATGATTGCTATTTGCTATTAATAATCAATCCCTAAATCTCAGTGGCTTAATACAATTAAGATACACTTTTTTTTCACCCACAAAGTTAATAAGGTGTTTTGTGAATGGCTTTCCATGTAACTACCCTCCAAGCAATGGGTCTCATCAGTAGATGAGATAAAGATAAGGAGTTTGGGGTATCAGCAATGGTATTGCTTCTGAACAAGCAATTATAGAATAGATGTAGAGGGGCAATTCAGGGCAGTGGTTCCAGGCCCACACCTGAGTCTGAAAGACTGACATGGTTGTGAGAATGAAACAGAATGATACACATGACTCCCTACAGTTCTCTCTAATATAATCCTAATTAGAGTTGTTTCCTTGTCTGTCTTCATAACTAGAATGGGAATTATATCCTTAAATAATATAAAATAGCTAACATCTTATGAGCACCATACATACATGATATTGTATAATCCTTGCAATGATCCAACAAACTAGGTGCTATTGAGGCTCAGAGCAGATTCAGAATCTACATCTGTCTAAATCCAGAATAAGAGCTCTTAACACCTCTTGTAGGTTTCTGCCTTGTAATCTTAACTCCCTGTCAAAATTTGCTTTAGAAGAATGAGGCCCCACTTTTAATTTATAAATAAGGAACAAGTTGATTTTTAATGGCATGGATACTCACATGGAAATTTACAGAATACCTACCCCTACTGTTAGATGGAATTTTAAAAATGAACAATTCTCTCTGCAAAAAGTCTTTATAATATTTGTGAATTGTAAAATCCTTATGAAAATATCTCTCTTACTAATCTGTCACAAGGTGAATTAGAAAATGCCAAATAGAGATGCCGTGCAGTATAGCAAGCACTCTATCATATTATTGGCTTACGTAGTACTTATACTTTGTATACTCAAGCTTACAAAGTACTCCAGGGAAAAAGAGCAGTAGTGTTTGTATTTGTTTCCTAGGGCTGCCTTACAAAATATTAGAGTGAGTGGCTTAAATGACAGAAATTTATTTTCTCACAATTCTGGAGGCTGGAAGTCTGAGATCAATGTGCAAAAGGGTTGGTTTCCTTGGAGGCCTCTCTTCTTGGCTAGCAGATAGCAGCCCTCTTGCTGCCACTTCACATGGTCATTTCTCTGTGTACACCTGCCCCTGATGTCTCCTCGTGTGTCCTACTCTCTAGGTCTTGTAAGAACACCAGTCAGATTAGATTAGGACACATCCTAATGGTTTTATTTTAATTACTCTTTAGAGGCAGTATGTCCAAATACAGTCATATTCTGAGGTATTGGTGATTAGGGCTTCAACATATGAATTTGGTGGGAAGGTACAATTCAGTCCATAACAGTATGTAAAAAGGGTAATTGTACCCACCAAGAATTCCTTTTTAAATTGCAGTGAGTCTTGTAAGAGGCCATGACTATTTTCTTTTGCTACTGAGACTTATATGATATCTAGTTTATATTTATATATTTTATGTAATTAACACCTTTATGTACTTCTCATTAAGAAGCAGCAGAAGTCATACATACCAGAAAGCAACAGAAAAAAGTTTATTTTACACTTTAGAACTCTTACTGAACACTGTATTTTTGGTTATAACTTGTATTTTCTTTAGGGGAAAAATGGTAATATTTAATGTAGAAAGTCTTAGTAAATGGCATTCTATATATAGTAATTATTTTATATTTACAAATTTTTAGATTCACATATGCAATTCCAACACATATAACTTATTTTATATGATGCATAGCAAAATGTAGTGCAGCCAGGACTTACAGCAATAAGTAGTGGCACATATAGTAACATTCATATCTTGTGGGTTGTCCACATATCGTTTTCTAAGTTTGTTCTGACTAGTTCACTTATTAATATTTTAAAAGCCTTTGTGGTCCACAGTGAACATTTATTCTCTAATAAAAATGTATTTTCTGTAATATCCTCAAGAAATATTTAGGAATCACATCTGGAATATGTTTTCTATAGAAACATAACTGCGCGCTTTTATAAATATATTAAACAGGCTTATCCTCAGTAAGATTTCTTGATAAATAATAAGGTTTGCTTTTGACTGAAGGCTTTCTATCACTACAAGTTCTAGTTAAAGATATTCCCATATTTATTTCTTGTTCAGGGATGTTTTTCTTTATGAGTCCTCTTATGTCGACAGAGGGCTGATCTATGTCTGAAGGCTTTTTTTTACACATTGACTGCATTTACATGAGTTTTTTTCCCTGTGTGAATTCTGTAATGTATGAGGTCAGGCTTTTGAGAAAAAACTTTTTAACACTCATTACATGTATAAGGTTTCTCTCTAGTGTAAATTTTCTGATGTCTAATAAGGCATGACACTTCACTGAAAGCTCTCTCACACTTAGTTCACACAGAAGATTTCTCTCCTGTGTGTATTCTCTGATGTACAAAGAGGTGTGACTTCAGGCTGAAGGCTCTCCCATATTCATCACACACATAGGGTTTTCCTCTAGTATGAGTTCTCCTGTAAATGCTGAGGTGTAAGTTTTGGAAAAAGGCTTTCCCACACTCGCCACACTCATAGGGTTTCTCCCTGGTGTGAATTCTCTAACGTTCAACAGATGTGACTTGTGGGAGAAAGCTTTTCTACATTCAACACACTCGTAGGTTTTCTCTTGAGTATGGATTCTCAGGTGTATAATGAGATTTGATTCCCTGCTGAAGGTTCTCCCACACTTAGTACATATTAAGGGCTTTTCTCTCTTATGGTTCTCTTTTGCATAATGAGGTCTGACTTCTGGAAGGAGGCTTTTTCACATTCACTATGCTCTTTTTTTTTGTGGCATATCTTCTATTGCCACTAAATAAATCCAAATAGTTCAAATTCCTACCATAACAGCCACATTTTTGGAATTTTTGAAATAAAGTCTGGGCTCAGATGAAATATATTTTCAAGAGCATTACAGTTGTCACCCCTTTCCTCTGTCTCAGTTCCCTGGTCTATTAATGAAACATGCCTCAAAAGTGTTTATTGGTTCTCCTGGTGCCTCTGCATGTGGTTGGAAGTCTTGCCAGACTTCTAGAAAGAAGCACAATTAACTATATACTGGTAAATATATCTGCTAATGTATTATGACTCATAACTTTTTGTCATATTATGAGATTGAATCTTTACTTTCATGCATAATATACATATGGCCTACAAGAAATATCAAGGCTAAATGGAGTCTATCCCCCTGAGCATTTCAAGAAAGAAAACCACATTTTTTAAAAATTGCAGTAGTAGAAACAGAAACAGAATATGACAATGAACAAAGTATATATGGCTATATACAAATAGGATTTTGCAAACTGGGCAGAAACACTAAATAATCTTGAGGAATAGTAAAAAGGAACAAAGAAGGACAGTTGCAACAGGGTCAGTGGGGAGAGCTTATTTAGCAGAATTAAAACTGACCAGGGTAACAACGGTGATTGGAGAAAAAAAGTAAGGACTGGATGAGGAACAGGAATATCTGAGCTGCAGCCTTATTAACTAACTGCTGGATTGCTATAGTTTAATTTTCATTTTTCTCTTTGCTTCTAGTGTCTTTTGGCTCTTGTCTATTCCACCATCAACATTAAACTAATCTTACAAAACCATAAATTCTCTTTGCAAACAGAAACACCTAACCAGTACTTCAGAAAGCACTAATTTTAATCATATTTTAAAAATTATAATACTAATTTATTCTTTTATGGGTGTGAAGGCCCATGAATTTATATGTTTAATACGAGGAAAATTGGCCACAGGATAAGCCAAATCCTACTTATCTCAGGATTTGATTCGCTACTGAATTCTAATTGCTGAGTTTTTAATCTAGCTCATTCTATACTAGTTCAGGAATACTGCATCAATCCTGACTATTAAATTCTGCTATCACCTTGTTCCCTACCTAGCGCATATGCAAGAGGCATTGCAATTAAGTACAAAGGCTCTGAATCCAGCTTACCATGGTCTGAGTCCTAGCTCCATTACTAATTAGGGACAGGGTAAGTTATTTGATCTCTTTGGGCCTCAATTTTCTGTTCTATAAAAAAGAATAGTAACAGTGACTACCTTGTAGTTGTGAGGACAGAATGAATCAATAGATTTAAGCACTCAGAATACTACCTGGCACATAATATGTTTTCAATGAAAGTCAGATG
This sequence comes from Homo sapiens, assembly GCF_000001405.40. Classification (NCBI taxonomy): domain Eukaryota; kingdom Metazoa; phylum Chordata; class Mammalia; order Primates; family Hominidae; genus Homo; species Homo sapiens. The sequence continues at coordinate 150,977,069 of NC_000005.10, read as the reverse complement.
TTATTATTATATGTATTATTACTGATCCTCAGACAAGTATGTGCTCCTTCCTCCCTCCCTCCTTCCCTCCCTTCCTTTCTTCCTCTTTTTTTGAGACAGGGCCTCACTCTATCACCCAGGCTGGAGTGCAGTGGGGTAATCTTGGCTCACTGAAACCTCTGCCTCCTGGGTTCAAGCGATTCTTCCACCTAAGCCTCTTGTGTGCCACCACGCCTGGCTAATTTTGTATTTTTTTGTAGAGACAGGGTTTCACCATGTTGGCTAGGCTGGTCTCAAACTCCTGACCTCAAGTGATCTGCCTGCTTCGGCCTCCCAAAGTGCTGGGATTGTAGACATAAGCCATTGTGGCCAGCCCTTCTCACTTTCTTAATTCTGCTTTATACCATGATTTCCCAACTTCTGGATATCATCAATGTGGACCCTTAAGTAGCAGATTTCTCAGTGTGGATCTAAATTCTTATCAACCTTCATTTTCACCTATTTTATAAACTTCTGCCTGTACCTGACTACTATTACACTTGTGCTATCTACATCCAGAGCAATGAAGTCACTCCTTGGCTCAGAATTCTACAATTCTACTGAGCTTCCTGGTCCAGTTCCCAACATTAAGTCATTAGCTTATATGAATAGATTTACACTCTGTATCCAGTGTTGGTTCCACAGAGGCCTCAACACAACTTTTGTCCCTTTTAGGCCATTAATTGTATTTTCAAAAGGAGTAAGGCTAAGTTTGGGGGAGATGGAGAAGTAACATTAAAGAGGCTAGTTAGTTGAAGGACTTAAGAATTTAAAAACCCTATGTTAGATAGGCCGGACGCAGTGGCTCACCCCTGTAATCCCAGCACTTTGGGAGGCTGAGGCAGGCGGATCACCTGAGGTCGGGAGTTCAAGACCAGCCTGACCAACATGGAGAAACCCTGTCTCTACTAAAAATACAAAATTAATGGGCTTGGTGGTGCATGCCTGTAATCCCTGCTACTCAGGAGGCTGAGGTGGGAGAATCACTTGAACTTGGGAGGCGGAGGTTGTGGTGAGCCGAGATCACGCCATTGCACTCCAGCCTGGGCAGAAAGAGCAAAACTCCATCTCAAAAAAAAAAAAAAAAAAAAGAAACAAAAAACCATATGTTAGATAATGGAGAACAATTGCAGATTTATTTTATCAAGCTCTTGATAGGATAAATAAAATGCTTTAGGTAAAAATATCTGGCAGAAACATTTAAAAAGATCTAAAGAATCAAATCAATAAATCCAACTGGAACAATAGAAGAAGAGAGAATGTTGGCCTCATTTTTGCTAACGTCAGTGGGAATGGAGAAAAAGAAGAAATATGAGAACATTTTTCAAATGTTAAGGAAAAACAAACTAGGGAGAAATAAGCTACTGGAATATTTTGTTAGGGAAATGACATAAGCTAACTTGAAAATCAACAGGATTCCTCTAGATGTTATGTGGGAAATGGGCTTTTGGAGAACATGTTTGAAAAGCAGGGAGACTAGTTAGGAATCTGTTGCACTCATTCATTCAAGAGCTGATGATGGCTTAGAATAGGTGGAATCTGCAGAGGAAATAGAATGGTGATCATATCTGGAGTGTATTATTGAGACCTCCATGGTAAGAAGCGTGATGAACCTGCTGAGTTACCCAATACAGAGAAAATTAGAAAGCAGAATACACTCAAAGGAAAATGAGACAATCCAGTGAAATTAAAAAGTGACGAGGAAATGGAAATGAGACCATGTGTGTGTGGGGTTGCCCAAGTGCAAGTAGGGGCAAATTTTAGGACAGATGACAATAATATAATAATTATTGCTAATCTTTTTATGGTGTTAATTATGTGCTAGGCACATAAATGTTTTAAATATAAATTATTTTAAATCTCTTTGCAACCTTATGAGTTAGATACTACTTTTATTCTTGTTTTATAGATGAGGAACTGAGGTATAAAAGTTAGTAACCTACCAAAATTTACACCTCTATTGTGTGAATAGTGCTGGAGCTGATATTTAAACGAGGCAGTCTGATTTGAGTCTGTGCTCTTAACCACTATGTAATACACTAGTATAGTTACCAAAAAGTACATCAGGATGTAGGTAATTACTTAGAAGTATGAGTGCAGGCTTGGTTTTGGTCAATATCAGTAGGAACAGAGGGCAAGGTAGAATACTGTCTTCAGGAATTAAGGAGAGAATGGGAAGTGTGATTGTGAGTAGAAATTAATTATCTGAAGCACTTTATAAGAAATAAAATAGAAGATAATAAATTAGAATAAAATGATGGCTCAATAAATATAGGGTCTAAGAGCTGGAGATATATTTACCAAATACTTGAGGATATTAAATAATGATGTTAAATTGTTTTTGGGGTGATAAGGACTCTTTTTTAAAGATACCATTACCTATTAGAGATTTATACTAATATTTATTGATGGAATAAGATCTCAGGAATTTGCTTCAAGATGATGTGAGAAGAATGGAGAGTACGTGAATGGAGAACAGATGAAACATTGGCCTTAGGTTGATAGTTGTTGAAGCAGAGTGATGGGCACACAGAGGTTTACCATACTCCTTTGTAGGCTAGATATGTGTTTGAAATTGGCTATGTTTGTAGTGGATTGAATAGCCTCCCCCAAATAATCACGTTTATTCAAAACCTCAGAATGTGACCTTGTTTGAAAATAGGGTCTTTACAGATGTTATCAGTTAAGGATCTTGAGATGAAATCATCCTGGGTTTAGGGTGGGACCTAAAAACAATTACTTGTATCCTTATAAAAAGGGGGAGAGGATGCACAGGCAAAGAGAAAATGGCCATATATAGACTGAAGCAGAGATTGAAATTATGCAGCTACAAGTTAAGAAATGCCTGGGGCCACCAGAAGCTGAAAGAGGAAGAGGATTCTTTCTTAGAGCTTTCAGGGGGAGCATGGCCTTGATGACTTCTCTCAATGTCCTAAATGAAATTGATAGGAATCATGGAGAGAATACACCTGAAGAGGCCAGTTTCACTCTCTAAAAGCCATGCAAGGAAGATTGGGAAGCTGATTCAGGGCAATGGTGCTCAAGTAGATAAGGAGTTATGTCAAATATTGACAATTATTCCTAAAGGTCCAAGGCCTTTAAAAGAGTCCTGTAGAATATTTCTCAAAGATGCTGATATGGTTTGGATCTATGTCTCCAGCCAAATGTCATGTTCAATTGTAATCCTCAATGTTGGAGGTGGGGCCTGGTGGGAAGTGATTGGATCATCGGGGCAGTTTCTCATAGTTTAACACCACCACACTTGGTCCTGTCATCACGATAGTGAGTTCTCACAAAACCTGTAGATGTCTATTAGGTCTGCTTGGTCCAGAGCTGAGTTCAAGTCCTGAATATCCTTGTTAATTTTCTGTCTTGTTGATCTGTCTAATATTGACAGTGGGGTGTTAAAGTCTCCCATTATTATTGTGTGGGAGTCTAAGTCTCTTTGTAGGTCTTTAAGAACTTGCTTTATGAATCTGGGTGCTCCTGTATTGGGTGCATATATATTTAGGATAGTTAGCTCTTCTTGTTGCATTGATCCCTTTACCATTATGTAATGGCCTTTTTTGTGTCTTTTGATCTTTGTTGGTTTAAAGCCTGTTTTATCAGAGACTAGGATTGCAACCCCTGCTTTTTTTTGCTTTCCATTTGCTTGGTAAATATTCCTCCATCCCTTTATTTTGAGCCTATGTTTTTAGTAGAGATGGGGTTTCACCGTGTTAGCCAGGATGGTCTCAATCTCCTGACCTTGTGATCCACCTACCTCGGCCTCCCAAAGTACTGGGATTACAGGGGTGAGTCACTGTGCCCAGCCCATTTTTAAAAATAATTTCTATTTCTTTGTTGATATTCTCTATTTAATGTTACATTGTCATCAGACTTTTTTTGGTTGGTTCCTTCACTTGTTTAATCGTGATTTTATTGAATTATCTGAATACATTTATACTAGCTGCATTATTATTATTATTATTGTTATTAATCAGTAGAGATGAGGTCTTACTATGTTGTCCAGGCTGGACTCAAACTCCTGGGCTCAAGCAATCATCCCACCTTACCCTTCCAAGTAGCTGGAACTAAAGGTGAATGCTACTGCTCCTGCATATAATAGCTGCTTTGAAGTGTTTGTCTGCTATGTCCAAAACATAGACTCTTTCAAAAGCACTTTCTGTTGTCTCCTTTTTCTCTTGCATAGGAGTCACATTTTTCTGTCTCTTCACATATTTCATATTTATTTTTGTTGAAAACCAGACATTTTAGATAATGTGTTGTAGCAGTCCAGATACTGATTCTCTCCCCCAGGAGCTGTTGTCTTTCTTACTTGTATATGTGTTTAGTGGCTTGGCTGGACTATTTTAATAATGTGTATTTCCCTGTAGTATATACCATCTTTTATACTAATGTTACTTTTCCGATAGTGCAGCCTTGGGCATGGACAGAGTTATCCTGGGATGACAGTAACTTTTAATAGGGCTCTCTATGACTATCTCTTTCCCTGATGTCCCTGTTAAGCTATCTGCATCTCTTGGTATCACACCTAGCCTTTGACTTCCACTAATTGTTTGATCATTGCCTCACTGTTTTTGGCAGTGCCCTAAGGCATAAAGTGTTCCACAGTCTGATATAATTAAATTCAGATTCTTACAAGAGTGGTCTTTGAGGCCAGTCCTTGAGGTTTGTTCTGACTCTGGGAGGGCTCAGATGTTTCCCTCACCCCCTCAATCTTGTCTGGTAAACTTCTATCTGGGCTTTAGCTTGCTCTCATAACACTACCAGCTTCCTCTTAATTGCTTACTATTAAAATACCAATTATATTTGAAAGTACCCTTATGCTTGAACTTCCCCACTCAACTGTTCCAAATACAATCAGTTACTTGGGGAAAGCTTCAAAGTTCCTCTTTGTTCTTACAATCTTCCTCTCTCTCTCTGGGCAAACCTACATGCCAATTATGTGGAGATGGAGTCAGGGACAGTGGCCCCCTTCCCTTGGCATGACACCTCTGCTTTACTAGCAGAGCACTGGGTGGGGGCAATAGCCTCTGGTCTTCTTGACTTGCTTCTCCTGGCATGAAAACTCTGCCCTAACAATGAGCTAAGGCAAGTAGGTCCCCAGTATTCTCGGCTTGTAACACATGGGGTAGAGCCTCTGCTCTAGGAGTGGAGGCTGGGAGGAGAAACTGCCCCATTCTTTTTTGATTTTTGAGACAGGGTCTCACTCTGTTGCCCAAGCTGGAGTGTAGTGGCATCATCTCAACTCACTGCAGCCTTGACCTCCTGGGCTCAAGCAGTCCTCCCTCCTCAGCCTCACAAGTAGCTGGGACTATAGGTGTACACCCCCATACCTGGATAATTTTTTTTTTATTTTTGTCGAGATAAAGTCTGGCTATGTTGCCAGGGCTGGTCTTGAATTCCTGTACTCAAGCAATCCTTCACCTTGGCCTTCCAAAGAGCTGGGATTATAGGTGTAAGACATGCTTTGCGAGAGCCCTATTGTTGCCTACAATAAAGCTTCTGTAACACAGAGCTAAGAGAATGAGAAAAGTTGGAGGCCTGCCCCTCATGGGGAGACGCCACAGTTCTAGACTGGAAAATGAGAAAGAAGAAGCTCTGTTTCTTGGCCACATCTCCTTGGAATGAAGCTTTCATCATGCTGAGCTATGGGTAGGGGAAGACAAGATTGTGGCTTAAATGCCACAGAATCTCAAAGTTCTTACCAAGATTTATTGGATTTTCTTAAATAAATGTTTTTTCACTTCCAGTGATCCTTAGGACAATTTCCAGAGCTTTGAAATGTTTTTTTAGTTGTTGTTTGTTTTTTATATTTTTTTCAACTTATCATTTATGGTAATTTTTTGGAGAGAGAAGGTCTGTGGAGCTCCTTTAACCACCATGTCCCCTGTGTTTCACAGATGAAACAAACAAAAGAAGACTCCAAAAAGTGAAGAGAAGGCACACTAGTTAGGGACTTTGGGATTCAATGCACTGAGTTTGCTGGGTTTTCTTTTTGGCTTATATATCCCAGGCCTGGAATTGAAGAATATGGTAACACAGAAACATCAATTGACACAGACTAAAGAGTCCTACCCCCAACTCACCCCTCAAAAGCCTGGTTGCTTTAGCTAGAGAAAACTTATAAAAATTCATAAAAAGTAACTGCTGTACTGCAGTGAAACACCATGGAAAAATCTGTAACTTCATCCTGACTTCTATGAATTAAATTGTACCCTCCCCCACAAAATTCATATATTAAAGGCTTAACCCTGTGAACCACAAATATCTGAGACAGATCTCAGTCAATTTAGAAAGCTCATTTTGCCAAAGTTAAAGATACGTGCCCATAACACAGCCTCAGGAGGTCCTGATGACATGTGCCCAAGGTTGTCCAAGCACAGCTTGAATTTATACATTTTAGGGAGATATGAAACATCAATCAATATATGTAAGATGAACACTGTCTTGGTCTGCAGAGGCAGGACAATTTGAAGCAAACGCAGGACAACTCAAAGTGGGGAGGGGGTTTCCAGGTCATAGGAAGGTAAGAGACAAATGGTTGCATTCTTCTGAATTTCTGATTAGCCTCTCCAAAGGAGGCAATCAGATATGCATTTATCTCAGTGAGCAAAGGGATGACTTTGAATAGAATGGGAGGCAGGTTTGCCCTAAGCAGTTCCCAGCTTGACTTTTCCCTTTAGCATAGAGATTTGGGGGCCCCAAAATTTATTTTCCTTTTTTTTCCCCACTCTCAGTTCATCTATTTATTATTATTACTTATTTATTTATTTATTGTTATTATTATACTTTAAGTTCTAGGGTACATGTGCACAACGTGCAGGTTTGTTACATATGTATACATGTGCCACGTTGGTGTGCTGCACCCATTAACTCGTCACTTACATTAGGTATATCTCCTAATGCTATCCCTCCCCCCTCCTCCCACCCCACAACAGGCCCCAGTGTGTGATGTCCCCCTTCCTGTGTCCAAGTGTTCTCATTGTTCAATTCCCACCTACGAGTGAGAACATGTGATGTTTGGTTTTTTGTCCTTGCGATAGTTTGCTGAGAATGATGGTTTCCAGCTTCATCCATGTCCCTACAAAGGACATGAACTCATCCCTTTTTGTGGCTGCATAGTATTCCATGGTGTATATGTGCCACATTTTCTTAATCCAGTCTATCATTGTTGGACATTTGGGTTGGTTCCAGGTCTTTGCTATTGTGAATAGTGCTGCAATAAACACATGTGTGCATGTGTCTTTATAGCAGCATGATTTATAATCCTTTGGGTATATACCCAGTAATGGGATGGCTGGGTCAAATGGTATTTCTAGTTCTAGATCCCTGAGGAATCACCACACTGTCTTCCACAATGGTTGAACCACTTTACAGTCCCACCAACAGTGTAAAACTGTTCCTATTTCTCCACATCCTCTCCAGCACCTGTTGTTTTCTGACTTTTTAATGATCGCCATTCTAACTGGTGTGAGATGGTATCTCATTGTGGTTTTGATTTGCATTTCTCTGATGGCCAGTGATGGTGAGCATTTTTTCATGTGTTTTTTGGCTGCATAAATGTCTTCTTTTGAGAAGTGTCTGTTTATAACCTTCACCCACTTGTTGATGGGGTTGTTTTTTTCTTGTACATTTGTCTGAGTTCTTTGTACATTCTGGATATTAGCCCTTTGTCAGATGAGTAGATTGAAAAAATTTTCTCCCATTCTGTAGGGTGCCTGTTCACTCTGATGGTAGTTTCTTTTGCTGTGCAGAAGCTCTTTAGTTTAATTAGATCCCATTTGTCAATTTTGGCTTTTGTTGCCATTGCTTTTGGTGTTTTAGACATGAAGTTCTTGCCCATGCCTATGGCCTGAATGGTATTGCCTAGGTTTTCTTCTAGGGTTTTTATGGTTTTAGGTCTAACGTTTAAGTCTTTAATCCATCTTGAATTAATTTTTGTATAAGGTGTAAGGAAGGGATCCTGTTTCAGTTTTCTACATATGGCTAGCCAGTTTTCCCAGCACCATTTATTAAATAGGGAATCCTTTCCCCATTGCTTGTTTTTTTCAAGTTTGTCAAAGATCAGATAATTGTAGATGTGTGGTGTTATTTCTGAGGGCTCTGTTCTGTTCCATTGGTCTATATCTCTGTTTTGGTACCAGTACCATGCTGTTTTGGTTACTGTAGCCTTGTAGTATAGCTTGAAGTCAGGTAGTGTGATGCCTCCAGCTTTGTTCTTCTGGCTTAGGATTGACTTGGCAATGCGGGCTCTTTTTTGGTTCCATATGAACTTTAAAGTAGTTTTTTCCAATTCTGTGAAGAAAGTCATTGGTAGCTTTATGGGGATGGCACTGAATCTATCAATTACCTTGGGCAGTATGGCCATTTTCACGATATTGATTCTTGCTATCCATGAGCATGGAATGTTCTTCCATTTGTTTATATCCTCTTTTATTTCATTGAGCAGTGGTTTGTAGTTCTCCTTGAAGAGGTCCTTCACATCCCTTGTAAGTTGGATTCCTAGGTATTTTATTCTCTTTGGAGCAATTGTGAATGGGAGTTCACTCATGATTTGGCTCTCTGTTTGTCTGTTATTGGTGTATAAGAATGCTTGTGATTTTTGCACATTGATTTTGTATCCTGAGACTTTGCTGAAGTTGCTTATCAGCTTAAGGAGATTTTGGGCTGAGACGATGGGGTTTTCTAGATATACAATCATGTCATCTGCAAACAGGGACAATTTGACTTCCTCTTTTCCTAATTGAATACCCTTTATTTCCTTCTCCTGCCTGATTGCCCTGGCCAGAACTTCCAACACTATGTTGAATAGGAGTGGTGAGAGAGGGCATCCCTGTCTTGTGCCAGTTTTCAAAGGGAATGCTTCCAGTTTTTGCCCATTCAGTATGATATTGGCTGTGGGTTTGTAATAAATAGCTCTCATTATTTTGAGATACGTCCCATCGATACCAAATTTATTGAGAGTTTTTAGCATGAAGGACTGTTGAATTTTGTCAAAGGCCTTTTCTGCATCTATTGAGACAATCATGTGGTTTTTGTCGCTGGTTCTGTTTATATGCTGGATTACATTTATTGATTTGCATATGTTGAACCAGCCTTGCATCCCAGGGATGAAGCCCACTTGATCATGGTGGATAAGCTTTTTGATGTGCTGCTGGATTTGGTTTGCCAGTATTTTATTGAGGATTTTTGCATCAATGTTCATCAGGGGTATTGTTCTGAAATTATCTTTTTTTGTTGTGTCTCTGCCCGGCTTTGGTATCAGGATGATGCTGGCCTCATAAAATGAGTTAGGGAGGATTCCCTCTTTTTCTGTTGATTGGAATAGTTTCAGAAGGAATGGTACCAGCTCCTCCTTGTACCTTTGGTAGAATTCGGCTATAATTCCATCTGGTCCTGGACTTTTTTTGATTGGTAAGCTATTAATTATTGCCTCAATTTCAGAGCCTGTTATTGGTCTATTCAGAGATTCAACTTCTTCCTGGTTTAGTCTTGGGAGAGTGTATGTGTCGAGGAATTTATCCATTTCTTCTAGATTTTCTAGTTTATTTGTGTAGAGGTGTTTATAGTATTCTCTGATGGTAGTATGTATTTCTGTGAGATCGGTGGTGATATCCCCTTTGTCATTTTTTATTGCATCTATTTGATTCTTCTCTCTTTTCTTCTTTATTAGTCTTGCTAGCAGTCTATCAATTTTTTGGATCTTTTCAAAAACCCAGCTCCTGGATTCATTGATTTTTTGAAGGGTTTTTTGTGTCTCTATCTCCTTCAGTTCTGCTCTGATCTTAGTTATTTCTTGCCTTCTGCTAGCTTTTGAATGTGTTTGCTCTTTCTTCTCTAGTTCTTTTAATTGTGATGTTAAGGTGTCAATTTTAGATCTTTCCTGCTTTCTCTTGTGGGCATTTAGTGCTATAAATTTCCCTCTACACACTGCTTTGAATGTGTCCCAGAAATTCTGGTATGTTGTGTCTTTGTTCTCGTTGGTTTCAAAGAACATGTTTATTTCTGCCTTCATTTCATTATGTACCCAGTAGTCATTCAGGAGCAGGTTGTTCAGTTTCCATGTAGTTGAGAGGTTTTGAGTGAGTTTCTTAATCCTGAGTTCTAGTTTGATTGCACTGTGGTCTGAGAGACAGTTTGTTATAATTTCTGTTCTTTTACATTTGCTGAGGAGTGCTTTACTTCCAACTATTTTGGTCAATTTTGGAGTAAGTGTGGTGTGGTGCTGAGAAGAATGCATATTCTGTTGATTTGGGGTGGAGAGTTCTGTAGAAGTCTATTAGGTCTGCTTGGTGCAGAGCTGAGTTCAATTCCTGGATATCCTTGTTAACTTTCTGTCTCCTTGATCTGTCTAATGTTGACAGTGGGGTGTTAAAGTCTCCCATTATTCTTGTGTGGGAGTCTAAGTCTCTTTGTAGGTCTCTAAGGACTTCCTTTATGAATCTGGGTGCTCCTGTATTGGGTGCATATATATTTAAGATAGTTAGCTCTTCTTGTTGAATTGATCCCTTTACCATTATGTAATGGCCTTCTTTGTCTCTTTTGATCTTTGTTGGTTTAAAGTCTGTTTTATCAGAGACTAGGACTGCAACCCTTACCTCTTTTTATTTTCCATTTGCTTGGTAGATCTTCCTCCATCCCTTTATTTTGAGCCTATGTGTGTCTCTGCACGTGAGATGGGTTTCCTGAATACAGCACACTGATGGGTCTTGACTCTTTATCCAATTTGCCAGTCCGTGTCTTTTAATTGGAGCATTTAGCCCACTTACATTTAAGGTTAATAGTGTTATGTGTGAATTTGTTCCTGTCATTATGATGTTAGCTGGTTATTTTGCTCGTTAGTTGATGCAGTTTCTTCCTAGCCTCAATGGTCTTTACAATTTGGCATGTTTTTGCAGTGGCTGGTACCGGTTGTTCCTTTCCATGTTTAATGCTTCCTTCAGGAGCTCTTGTAGGGCAGGCCTGGTGGTGACAAAATCTCTCATCATTTGCTTGTCTGTAAAGTATTTTATTTCTCCTTCACTTATGAAGCTTAGTTTGGCTGCATATGAAATTCTGGGTTGAAAAATCTTTTCTTTAAGAATGTTGAAAATTGGCCCCCACTCTCTTCTGGCTTGTAGAGTTTCTGCCAAGAGATCAGCTGTTAGTCTGATGGGCTTCCCTTTGTGGGTAACCCGACCTTTCTCTCTGGCTGCCCTTAACATTTTTTCTTTCATTTCAACTTTGATGAATCTGACAGTTATGTGTCTTGGAGTTACTCTTCTCAAGGAGTATCTTTGTGGCATTCTCTGTATTTCCTGAATTTGAATGTTGGCCTGCCTTGCTAGGTTGGGGATGTTCTCCTGGATAATATCCTGCAGAGAGTTTTCCAACTTGGTTCCATTCTCTCCATCACTTTCAGGTACACCAATCAGATGTAGATTTGGTATTTTCACATAGTCCTATATTTCTTGGAGGCTTTGTTCATTTCTTTGTATTATTTTTTCTTTAAACTTCTCTTCTTACTTCATTTCATTCATTTGATCTTCCATCACTGATACCCTTTCTTCCAGTTGATCAAATCAGCTACTCAAGCTTGTGCATTCATCACATAGTTCTTGTGCCATGGTTTTCAGCTCCATCAGGTCCTTTAAGGACTTCTCTGCATTGGTTATTCTAGTTAGCCATTCATCTAATCTTTTTTCAAGGGTTTTAACTTCTTTGCATTGGGTTTGAACTTCCTCCTTTAGCTTGGAGAAGTTTGACCATCTGTAGACTTCTTCTCTCAACTTGTCAAAGTCATTCTCCATCCAGCTTTGTTCCATTGCGGGTGAGGAGCTGTGTTCCTTTGGAGGAGGAGAGGCACTCTGATTTTTAGAATATTCAGTTTTTCTGCTCTGTTTTTTCCCCATCTTTGTGGTTTTACCTACCTTTGGTCTTTGATGATGGTGATGTACAGATGGGGTTTTGGTGTGGATGTCCTTTCTGTTTGTTAGTTTTCCTTCTAACAGTCAGGACCCTCAGCTGCAGGTCTGTTGGAGTTTGCTGGAGGTCCACTCCAAATCCTGTTTGCCTGGGTATCAGCAGTGGAGGCTGCAGAACAGCAGATACTGGTGAAAAGCAAATGCTGCTGCCTGATCGTTCCTCTGGAAGTTTTGTCTCAGAGAGGTACCCGGCCGTGTGAGGTGTCAGTCTGCCCCTACTGGGGGGTGCCTCCCAGTTAGGCTACTTGGGGGTCAGGGACCCACTTGAGGCAGTCTGTCTGTTCTCAGATCTCAAGCTCCATGCTGGGAGAACCACTACTCTCTTCCAAGCTGTCAGCCAGGGACACTTAAGTCTGCAGAGGTTTCTGCTGCCTTTTGTTCGACTGTGCCCTGCCCCCAGAGGTGGAGTCTACAGAGGCAGGCAGGCCTCTTTGAGCTGCGGTGGGCACCTCCCAGTTCGAGCTTCCTGGCCACTTTGTTTACCTACTCAAGCCTCAGCAATGGCGGGCACCCCTCCCCCAGGCTCACTGCTGCATTGCAGTTCGATCTCAGACTGCTGTGCTAGCAATGAGCGAGGCTCCATGTGCGTAGGACCCTCCAAGCCATGCGCAGGATATAATCTCCTGGTGTGCCATTTGCTAAGACTGTCGGAAAAGCACAGTATTAGGGTGGGAGTGACCCGATTTTCCAGTTGCTGTTTGTCCTCCCTTCCCTTGGCTAGGAAAGGGAATTCCCTGACCCCTTGCACTTCCCGGGTGAGGTGATGCCTCGCCCTGCTTCGGCTCATGCTCAGTGTGCTGCACCCACTGTCCTGCACCCACTGTCTGACAATCCCCAGTGAGATGAACCCAATACCTCAGTTTGAAATGCAGAAATCACCCGTCTTCTGCGTCGCTCAAGCTGGGAGCTGTAGACTGGCGCTGTTCCTATTTGGCCATTTTGGAACCGCCAATTTATTTTCTTTTCACCTTCCCACTTTTCTTTTGAAAATCTTTTGGAGAAAGCATTTTAGAAGAAAATGAGTCTCTGGTTTCAGGTTTTGTCTCATCTCTCATGGCTAGGATGGTTTATTCCTAGATGAGTAGGTCCCACATTATTAGGAAAGCTCAATTTTAGCACTTTGTGAAGTCTCATGCCCTATGAAGATAAAATAGGTGGAGGAAGGGAGAAAAATAACAACAGAAAAAGAACACTTCTGGAAAATCAATATAGGCAATATTACTCAAGTAATATTGTAGGCAGGTATAAAAGTGTCTTATGTATGTAAATAGGTTGCTGTTATTTTCTTCTGACATATAAGTTGTCTAGTTTCAGTTCACAGGGCTTTAAGAAAACATGGCTTAGTTTTCAGTGATTTTAAATTAGAAAAAATGTAAGAAGAAAACAAAGAAGGAGAAATAATTGAAAACATTATTTTGGAGACTTATTGCCAGGAAAAATTAGAATTCAGTCTACATTGTAGAAAATAATAAAAATCGAAAAACATTAGGCAAGACCAGAATCTAACAACTGGTGCACTATAACTCTTGAAACATAATTTTTCTATCTCTAGTTTCCCATTTTTTCTAAAGACAAATCATGGTAGGACGAATTTGCCTTATTATACTTGGCCAGAATATTTGTATAAAGTGTAGCAAGAATAATTATTTTTCACATAGGCTTTTAAAATTACCTTTGATGGAACTTTGTTCCATAGAAGGAATCTCAGATAACACTTTTTTAAAGCTGAGCCCAGCCATGGATTTGTACCATCAAATACCTATGAGTTGGGTAAATTCCTCTCCTTTTTAGGTCTCATGATAACTTGGGGCTCCTGAGCCTGTCAGAAAGTGACATTCTTTACTTACCACAGATCAGGAACCCTGTAGAGGGACTGTGTAGACAAGTATGAGGCTAGTTTTCTCAAGGGGCTTTTATTGGCTCTATAAATCAAGTTTGAGTCCTTAAATGAAAGCACACCATTCCAGTCAAAGCCTTGGTAAAATAAACAGTTTCTCCAATGGTGTCCTGTTGCAAAAGACAGCATTCTTATTGTGCTTATGCAAATAACTAAATTGCTGTAAGTTAACAATACTCACAAATAGTTTCCAAATTCTGGAGAAATCATGTAAAGAGAAATATGCTCCACATTTTGTTCTTAGGAGTATACTAAGTTGTTAAAAGCTGTCAATAGCTTAAAAAAAGTTTCCTTGACTCTGAAAAAACAAAACAAAGGATCAGCAACATTTTAGGCAAAAAGTAAAAAAGATTACTTCAGTCTTCTATTAGTTCAGTCTATAGAGTTAATTCCTGTTCTGCTTGATATTCATGAACATTTCAGCTCTCCATGAGTCCTGAAAGGTTTTCCTCTATTCTCATGTCACAATCTCCAAAGTTATCAGAACCCTGCATTCAAGAACACCTGTTAGAGTTTTATAGCTGATTATAAAACCATCTTCTAAAGAGGACCAAAACAAGACAACAATTGTTCATGGATGACAAAAAGTTTTAGGCAGCCATAGTCAAAGAAACAATTGACAAGGAAATCTGTTACCTCTGTGGCAAAAAGTAATTTAACATGACAATTATAATTATATCTGATAACATACACTAAAAGTCATATCAGAATTATAAGAGTTTCCTATAATTGTATAGAAATTTTATAAATATATAATGTATGTATACAAATACAGCCGAAAGAAAGCCAAATACCATTTCATATGTGACAATGCTTCCTGTATGATTTTGATACTAAATAAGCCAAATATGTAATTTTTGGACTTTACAGAACCTAATATCTTAAAGGATTAATTGTATCAGAAAAACACATGATTTATAATTTGATTTGGGAAGTTTGTCAAATATCAAATGTTTAAAACACTTGATATCACAAAATAGGATCACAGGTCATTGTAAAATAAGTCATTTATTTAACCAAAGTGATAACTCAAGGATTTCAAAAAAGGCAAAAAGCCTTCATTGTTCGAGAGAGGAGACATAATTTTCCAAAAAAAAAAGCCCTAATTAAGACAGCATGGAGCCAATTAAATTTTTTTCAAAATTTTATAAATGATCTATAGAATTTTAATCATCTCGGCCATAAGATATAATTTCCATAAGCCTTTTAAACCTTTATAACCTTTATTAAGGAATTGGTTAATGCGTCAAGAAAACCTTGTTCATCAGACACAGGGGCAAATATTCCAGTCTTGCATCAGTGTGCCTTTGATATTAATGGTTAATTTATATAGAAACTGAAGTTATTTTATCTCTCAAAATCAGCCCTTACAATCTCACCTGCCCACCTCTTCCGTGACAGTCTCTGGGCCTTGAGGAGTTGAATAGCTTTAATTTCTGGCTGTGTGTCTCATGAACACAGTGTACTTTGATTGGCATCTTCTATGGGGTCTGAAGATGAGGCTTTAACTGCTGTCAGTATTAAGATTTAGCAGGACTTGGTGACCTTTTAGACCCAGGTGTCAAAGCCCTTTAACTTAATGGCATAGGACTTTAATGGACATATAGAAAGTTCCAGGAATATAATAACTTTAATTTAAATTTTTTTAATCTCAGTTTTTTTCTAAGCAAACCCAACTTAGTAGTAATGATACAGAAATTATTTAGATAAAGACTAAGATCTGTTTATTAGGCCAGTCACTCAAGGCAAGAGAAAAGAACTACTGCAGTGTGACTGCTGTTTCCTATGGGGAATATTATGTTAGAAGGAAACATTTCCTTTAGACCTTTAATATAAAACTTTTTTTTTTAAGTGTCAGGCCCAAGTTAGAACCTGAAGAAAAAAACTTACAGGATCTGAAAATGAGTTGAAGGATAGAGTTATTATTTCAGGCCTTTTAAGAGGGGAGAGAAAGCTGAAAACAGTGAGATGCAGTAAAACTTGAACTTTGCATAAAATTAATTATAATGTCTTGTAACTTATTAAGAGTAAAGCAATACCTTAAGAAAATTTCATAGTTTGAACCCATTCTTTAGTGTATGTGTTTTTCTAATTAAAACTCAATTTCTAGAAAGACCATTATAATGTCCGTTTAATTACAGACAACTTGATCATATAAAAGTTTTTAAAAATAAATCCTCTTATTATGACTTACACAAACCATTTATTACATGCTTGGACTTTCTGGTTTGCCCTGAACATCCCTCTTTCTTGAACAACCAGTCATTTTATTCTAGGACAGAATTTCCTATACAAGATTCTTTCTCATATAAAATTATTTTTCTTTAAACTTTCTTACCAAAAAATACTTTTTTATTTCTACAACTTTCTTCACATCTCTCTTATCTCCTGGTTCTTTTTGCCTTGTTTTACATATAACCTTTAAATAAACTTTGAATTAGATAAAAATTATTCATCTTTTTTAAAATGACACATATTTTAAAAAAATAATGTTTCCCTACAATATATTTTTATTGAAAATACTCAAATAATGAAATATCTATTAATTTAATAAAACTTTAGATTCTAAATTATGACAAGTTTGTCTACAAGTATTTATCCCATTACATTTACCTAATTATTTTAATTGTTTACCTTGATTATTTATGAAAACTGCTATAGTCATCATTTAAGTCATCATCATTTTGAAACCACCATTGCAAAATCATAACTGAGACAGTGAAAAAGATCTGACCTAACTGACTCCATCTTGCTTCTAACCTCCAAGCTGTCCTTGTTCATTCCTGGGTGTATGCCAAACCAACTTTGAGAGGAACTTAGTTTACAGTTTAGCTTTGAAACAAAGATGATAACAGTCCTTTCCCAAAATAAACCCCCTTCCTGCCTGGGGACTAGACTGCCTAAAGCCTCAAGCTTAGAAGTTGTGGTTATTTTACTAAATAATTTAAGATTTAGCTATATTCATTAAACCAATATCAATGTCTTATTTATTAAAAATTACCCAAGCAAATATCATTCTGTTTTGAGCTAGGTGTATAGTTTTGTAACCCCTATGCCAAATTTTGACACTTTGTAGTATTTGGCAGGGATAAGTATGAAATTGCTTGATCAATGAATGCAAACAAAAAAATCTATACAGGCAATTCTTAAGACATTTCTCATATTACTTTACCAATAATTTTAAAGCTAGCTTATTTATTAAATATTTTCCTTAAGTTACATAAACTTGAAAAAGCATTTGACTAGTCTTTCCTTCTTCTGATAAAGTATTTGATTTAAGCATTTTTATTTTTCTTTAAGCTAATTGGAGCTCTTTTATGTATTTTTAATAGTAAAACTATGTACACAACACATAAATACATAGACGTATTAGGCATACTGATAGAAGTACAACTTATAGATTCATCAGTCCTCCTTTTTTTTACCCGTAGACTTGCAAACTCTTGATAACCTGTTTCATTACTCTGGAAGTTGTCAGATAAATAACCCTAAATCTGCATATTGAAAGAAACTACCTTTAGGTGAAAAATCAGATAGCAAAATCTACATCTCAAGGTACAGAGAGAAAAAGTCTGGTGGTACTAGAGGGAGATTAAAGATGTATGCCAAATCAAACATTAAGTTATAGAAATCAATCATAGGATTCTATAAGGAGACCAATTTTATTTAGATGGGGACTACCTATCTTTTAACTGGGATCTCTAATCTCTGGGCAGAGCCCACACTGAATCCTGGGTTTTCAAAAAGGGAGAATTATTATGAAGCTAGACCACGTGATGCTTTTACAGTGCACTTAAATTTTTTTTTAAACAAAAACATTTCTAAGTGTCTAAACTACACTCTTCCTTAAAAACCCGAGTAGCCTCTGTTGCAATAACTATTTTAGTCAAAAAATTAGGTAACACAATACAAAAGCAACCAGTTTAAGAGCTGAGACAGGCCGGATGTGGTGGCTCATGCCTGTAATCCCAGCACTTTGGGAGGCCAAGGGGGGCGTGGATCACCTGATGTCAGGAGTTCCAGACCAGCCTGGTCAACATGGTAAAACCCTGTCTCTACTAAAAATACAAAAATTAGCCAGGCTTGGTGGCAGGCGCCTGTAATCCCAGCTACTCAGGAGGCTGAGGCAGGAGAATCACTTGAATCTGGGAGGCAGAGTTTGCAGTGAGCCAAGATCATGCCATTGCACTCCAGCCTGGGTGACAAGAGTGAGCCTTCCTCTAAACAAAAACAAAAAAACAAACAAACAAAAAGGCTGAGATGAACTTGTCTGTTTACACTCTTGGGGTTCCATAAGGAAAAACAAATATTTCTCCCCAAAAGGAAGTCTGGTACCTTCTCCATTTGCTTTAAGGAATCCCAGGCTATTATAAACTATTTTAGGTTCCTCATGCAGCAGAGGGTGCAAGAGAAAGGAGAGACAGCAGAAGTAAATAAAGAAAACATAATTCAGTCAAATGAGAAGAAAAAACTTTTGCTCAACAAAGACAAGGTCCTAGGAGAGGAAAAACAAAAACAAAAATATGAAGGCCTTTTAAATACGAAGACGCACACACACACACTCACACATACACACACATCTTGGATGTTAGCTTTTAATTAAGCTGACTTTTAACCACTGAGCTCCTTTAAAAAATATTCTTAAATCTCATTACCATATTTCAGCTAGGACAAATTGATGCTACTTCAGAAGTACCAGGTATCAAACCAGAGCTTGACTTAGGAACCAAACCCAGGCTGGTGAAAAAACACGGCATAATCTTAGCTATGGAACTGTAGCCTGGGAGACAGCCATTGCTTTTTTGGTTTCTCCCGGCTAGCAAAAAAGTGGCCTTGTTATGTAAATAAAGCCCTTTTTTGTGGGAATTTAGCCACTTTAGAGGCTTTGTACCCCATAATTTGGAACTTTCCTTTGGATTTGATCATGTCAGATACAGTTGGTCAAACTCAATGGGAAAAAGACTGAAACAACAACAAAAACAGAAACAAACAACAAAAAAAAGCTAAGCAAAACAATCACACAACTTAATATGATTATTGAGTGCTCTAACGGTAAGAAGAAATTAAGACCAGCTGGTTGTTAATCTTAACTTCAGCCAAGACAAACCCCAGTTCATTTACTTACCTAGGGATGGGTCTCAGATGGAAGACTGCTCTCTACCATCCTAGGAGCAGAAAAAAAACGAAACTTGTCTTCCCTGTTAGAAGTCAGCTTAAACTCCATAAGGAGTTACCTGCCTTCCAAAATCATGGAAGTGGGAAAACTTGCCTTCCTTGTGTTGGTAGCAAGTAAAACTTCAAAAAAAGAAGTTGTACAGCAAAATAAACTTTAGATCTTGATGAAATTTTGGGAGATCAGGGATTATGCATTATCAGAGATAAATGCAGTCAGATAGCCATTTATCTCAGTGATCAGAGGGATGACTTTGAATAGAATGGGAGGCAGGTTTGCCCTAAGCAGTGTCTAGCATGACTTTTCCCTTTAGCTTGGTGATTTTGGGGCCCCAAGATTTATTTCCCTTTCACACCTGCAATGTGACTGTATTTGGAGACAGGGCCTTTAGGAGATAATTGACAATAAATGAGGTAATAAGAGAAACCAGTGAGCTCACTCTCTCTGTCATGTGAGGACGCAAAGAAACCAACACTGCTGGCACATCATTGATCTTGAACTGCCTGTCTGCAGTACTGAGAGAAAATTAATTTCTGTTGTTTAAGCTGCCCAGTCTGTCGTATTTTGTTATGGTAGCCTGAGCAGACAAAAACACTCACCCATGTCTAAAAGACTGAGTGGGGGCCGGGTGCAGTGGCTCACACCTGTAATCCTAACACTTTGGGAGGCTGAGGTGGACGCACTGCCTGAGTTCAGGAGGTTGAGACCAGCCTGGGTAACACGGTGAAACCCCGTCTCTATTAAAATACAAAAGAAATTAGTTAGTCGTGGTAGCGTGCGCCTATAGTCCCAGCTGCTCGGGAGGCTGAGGCAGGAGAATTGCTTGGACCCTTGAACCCGGGAGGCGGAGGTTGCAATGAGCCAAGATTGTGCCACTGCACTCCAGCCTGGGCGACAGACCAAGACTCCATCTCTACAAAAAAAAAAAAAAAAAAAAAAAAAAAAGACTGGGGAGCCTAGCCTCCCACTCTTGCCAAGTTGTAATGGAGAAGGCTGAGTATGGAGCCAGGAGTTTCATCCCTATTGGGTGGTAAAGAACCCTTCTTCATCCATGATGTCACTGAAGACCAAGTGAAGACCTTAGACTTTCTCAACCATCCTGTAGTAATGCCCCACTCCTTTCCCACTGGGGTAGTGTCAGAGAATACTGGGGTAATGGAGAGTCAGGACTTTCACCACTTCCTACCAGTAATGAGGCTCCTCCCCTGACAACACCAGCACAGGCCACATGGAGTGGAGGCAGTAACACAGTACTCCTCCCCCTCCCAGCCGGTGGAGAACTTGTGGGGAGCTGAAACTCCCATTCCCCAAGAAGTGCGGAGCCTTCCTCACCTTGGGCATCAATGGAGGCTGAGTGGTAAACTGGACTCCTACCTATACCTGAAAGTAACAATGTGGTGTCACCCTCACTTCCTCTGCTGGAGTGCTGTCACAGGAAGCCAGCTACCACAGAAGGATTAATTAAGATCTAGGTCTCATAATATAATACACAAAATGTCCAGGTTTCAATTTAAAAAACATTCATAAAAAGCCAGGAAGATATTACACTGAAGGAAAAAAGACAATCATTAGCTGCCAATCAAGATGACAGAGATATTAAAATTATCTGACAAAGATTGTTAAGCAGCCTTTGTAAAAATGCCTCAATGAACAATTACAAATGAAAAACAGAACATCTCAGCAAATAAACAGAAGATATAAAGAAAAACAAAATGGAAATTTTAGAATGGGAACATACAATAACTAAAATTTTAAAACTCTGTGAATGGACTCAATAGCAGAATGGCAGGAGAGGGGACAGAGAATAGTATTACTAAGTGAAAGAACAGTGGAAATTATGCAATCTGAACAATAGAGAGAAAATAGAAGAAAAGAAAATAGAACAGTGCCTCATGGAAATGTGGAACTATATCGAAAGATCTTACATTCATGTCTTTGGCATTCATGAAGGAGAGAAGAATGAGGATGAGGCTAAAGAATTATTCAAAATAATAATGACTGAAAATTTCCCAAATTTGGCCAACCCCCGCCCCAAATTTAGAAATTCAAGAAGCTGAGTGAATCCCAAACAAGATAAAATGAAAAGAAATCCATGCCAGGAAACATTGTAGTCACATTTCTAAAAACCAAAGAGAAAGTAAAAATAATGAAAACTGCCAGAGAGAAACAATGCATTCCGTATAGGAGAAATAGAATTCGAATGAGAGTTGATATCTCCTCAGAAACCATGGAGGCCAACAGGAAGTAGCACAGTATTTTTCAAGTGCCGAAAGAAAAGAACTGTCATGCCAGGTGTGATGTTAGCAAGATGGTGGTGTAGGATTTTCCAGTGCTTGTCCCCTTGCAGAAACATCAATTTGAACAACTTTTTATTCATGAAAATGTCTTCATAAGAGCTAAGGATGACAGCACCTGGGTGTAGCACAGAATAAGAAAAGATGCCTTGAAGAGTGTAGGAAGGAGAGGTTTACATTACTCAAGTCACCCCTCCCACAAGGCAAGGCAGTGAGGAGAGAGATACCCTCTTTGTGGGGGAAGGAGAGAGAAGTGAGCACCCAACTTTGCCATGGACCCCAGCACCAGGCCAGTCCCAGTGAATCCTGCTGCCAGGCCAGCTCTAGGCTCCAGTCTAGGCCTTTGGCCCCAGACGCTAGGCGGGCTCCCCTGGCCCCAGGCTTGAAGCTCACCCCAGAACCAAGACAGGCCCTGCAGCCCCAGGCTCTAGGCTGCCCCCTGCAGACTCAGGTTCCAGGTCTGCCCAGCACCA